>NC_000005.10:154559054-154859371 GCF_000001405.40 Homo sapiens | reverse complement strand
AGTTATGGGGCCGCAAGAACTAAGGAAGAGGCGGCGATTTAGAAGGGGGAGGCCCGCAAGATTCCAAATTCAGGTCCTCCTCCCCACTACTCCGTCTCCCATCATCATTCTCTTCTCGTTTATCATCATCCTTCCACTTCAAATCACACTCAGTCCTCCTCCTTCTGACACGCCATTCTTCTTCTGTTTTTGTTTGGTAAAGCAAAGTTAAAATTACGGGCCTTAGGACTAAGATAACTAAGTTCGAAGCCAGGCCAGGCCACGTAGTAGTCGTGTGTCCTTGCATAAGCCACTTAATCTATTTCGTGCCTCGGTTTTCCTATCTTGTAAAATGGGTTTGATAACAGTACGCACCTCGGAGGATTGGAGTAGAAGTTAAAATGAAGCATATGAGATGCTTTGTAAAGTCCCCGCACATATTACTCGAATATTATCGTGTGACGGTGGCCATTATTATTACTACTCTTTGCTGGGGTTCCTCTCCTCCTCACACACCCTGCCCCTTACACACGCCCCCACTCCCCTTCCCCCTACAGACCCCCAATGGTCTCTCACACTCTTTCATCTTACGCTCCTCTTTCCGGTAAGCGCAGGCCCGCTTACCGGGACCGACAGGGCCCGCGAAGCGCTGGCTGGCGGGCTGACGAGCTGGCGGGCTGGCGGGCTGACTCCCCGACGGCGGCGACGGCAGCCCCTGGCCCGGAGCTCTTTTCCCTCTACCCCGGATCTGCTCCTAGAACCGAACGAGCCAGTGAGGTGAGCGCCCCCGTGCCCAGAGCGGTCTTACGTGCCTCCCACCAAACAACCGGACGGCACCACTCTACCCACCCGATCCGCCCGACTCGCCTGCTCTCTAGAGTCACTCCAGACGCGCGCGCGCGCCTGGTCACGCCCGCTCCTCCCCCTTTGCGCGCCCCTGCGACTCCGTGCGTGTTCGCTCTGCCTGTGAGGTCGCGGGAAGCAGCGCGCAGGAGCAGAAGTAACAGGGTGCCGCCGAATAGGTGGGGAGTGGAGGCCTGGAAGCACGCTTGCGGAAGACGGCCCGCCTGCGGCCCTCTTCGCGTGATTAGTTGCGCTCGCTCAATTTAATCATGATTCTTACTCCTCCATTTTGGTCCTCTTTCCGAGCGAACAAGGAAGGGGCGTGGTCTAGAACTAGCGCCCCCCCCCACCCCCCCGCCGTGGGCGCGGCCTGGAAAAATCCAAAGGCCGAGGAAAGGGCGTGGCCCTTCGAACAAACCCCTCGAATTACCACGCCCCCTCCTCCTGGCTTTGAAGGACCGTTAAAATCGTTGGCACGAAGGGATTTGTGAAGAGGCTGACGGAGAAAGAGGCTGTCGCGACTTTCTGTTCTAACATGGCCCCGTAGATGTCTCACAAAGCATCTATCCTACGGTTCCTTTCTGGCAAACAATTAGTTGGGGGTGGGGCGGCTCCCCAAAGCCGAATGTGGGTGACGTCCGCCAAGGCCCGCCTACCTCCCGGCCTCACCGAGCAGAGCGAGGAACATTGCCATAGCAACTGGCCCGCCAGGGTCTGCTCGAGTTACAAAGAGGACGGCGCCTCCCGTGGGCACGGCGCCTGGCCAGCGCAGGCGTCGCCGGGCTCTTCAGAGCTCCAAAATCTTTGCGGACGCGCAGGGAGCTCGCCAGATTTTAGTGTCGAGACCCACGGGCTCAGGCCTCGCCCAGGAGCTTCTGAGGCCCCTCTGCCAGCCCCTTGGTTCCCTCTTAATCCTGCTTGAAGAGAGGGCTCTTGACCGACGCCGGCCCTGGGCAGCGTGTGGCCAGCTGGGGCGCGCCTCCGCCTCGTGTTCTCCGCGGTGGGAGAGCAGACAAAGCGCCCGCTTCCTGCACACAGTGTCGGCGGCGGGCCGCCCTCAGCCACTCCCGCCAGCGCTCCACCCCTGTTCCCGAGAGGACGTGGGGGCTGCCCCAAGCACGGTTCTAGTTCTTGTCCCAGATGCTTGTACTTGAGAGGCTGTTGATAAGAAAACGGCAAATGTACCCCTAGTGACGAGGAGAGGGGCTTCTACTATTCACTTTGCACTTTTAAACATTTCCCCCTAAGGGGATTCTCCAAAATCCTCCAATTCCTAGGCTGGATGCCGAGCTGGCCTTGAGCGGCAATTTCAAACGGGATTCCCAAAAGCTGTTCTCCAGGGAGGTGAACTAGCTCCAGCCTCCAGGATAAGAGCATCAAATGCACTTTCTGAACTCCAGTCCTCCTCTTCTCCCCCCCAAATGAGTGTCTAGCTCCTTATCTGCAAAATTAGGTTACGAATGGCTGTCGTGAGCTTGTGAAGATTAAATAGTTAATAATTGGAAAAACACCCCGCACCGAGGAAGATATAAAAGAGCGTTCAATAAATGGCATGTCTCAGTTTGCTCTCCCTAAAACAGTCGATTTGGGGCCGGGATTGGTGGCTCACTGAGCCTGTAATCCCAGCACTTGGGGAGGCCAAGGCAGGCGGATCACCTGAGGTCAGGAGTTCAACACCAGCCTGGCCAACATGGCAAAACCCTGTCTCTACTAAATAATACAAAAATTAGCTGGGCGTGGTGGAGGGCACCTGTAATCCCAGCTACTCCGGAGGCTGAGGCAGGGAGAATTGCTTGAATCCAGGAGGCGGAGGTTACAGTGAGCCTAGATCGTGCCACTGCACTCCAGCCTGGGCGACACAGCAAGACTCCCTCTCAAAAAATAAAAAAATAAACAGTGATTCCGTTGAGGGATACACTGATAAAGAAGGCAGGCAAGTGCCCCATCCCCCAGTCAGTTCTATGGGTTTCTTTTTTTTTTTTTTTTTTTTTTTTTTTTGAGACTGAGTCTCGCTCTGTCACCCAGCCTGGAGTGCAGTGGCGCGATCTCGGCTCACTGCAAGCTCCGCCTCCCGGGTTCACGCCATTCTCCTGCCTCAGCCTCCCGAGCAGCTGGGACTACAGGCGCCCGCCACCATGCCCGGCTAATTTTTTTCTCTTTTTTTAGTAGAGACGGGGTTTCACCCTGTTAGCCAGGATGGTCTCGATCTCCTGACCTCGTGGTCCGCCTGCCTCGGCCTCCCAAAGTGCTGGGATTACAGACCTGAACCACCGCGCCGGGCCAGTTCTGTGGGTTTCTAACGTGCTTTCTTCCACTTGTAATTTAGAGTCAGAAGAGGCTAGCGCTGACAGGCAGGCAGTAGTCACATGAAAAGCGGCCTCCCCAATCCTTTCTTGGAATTTTGTTTTTTCCTGTGGCACTGGGCCTGGTGTGTGCTAAAACAAACAGGAAACACCATGTCCAGCCTCACTACCACCCCTCACCCAGAATTGGGTGTTCGTTTCTCAAATTATTGAAAATAGATATAAAGCAAACAGATGGATTTTATTTTAGGAGAAGTTAGAGTGTTACTCTTTTTTTTTTTTTTTTTTTTGAGACAGAGTCTCGCTCTGTCGCCCAGGCTGGAGTGCAGTGGCGCAATCTTGGCTCACTGCAAGCTCCGGCTCCCGAGTTCACGCCTTTCTCCTGCCTCAGCCTCCCTAGTACCTGGGACTACAGGCGCCAGCCATCACGCCTGGCTAATTTTTTGTATTTTCTTTTAGTAGAGAAAGGGTTTCAATGTGTTGGCCAGGATGTTCTCGATCTCCTGACCTCGTCATCCTCCCGCCTTGGCATCCCAAAGTGCTGGGATTACAGGCCTGAGCCACCGCACCCGGCCTAGAGTGTTAACGTTTTGAACATTGGATATGATGCTGTACTCATGGATATCGCAAAATTAGAATAATTTTCCAGAAGTCACTGCTTCCCAGTCGGAAGGAAGCCCCTAATGAATGAGAGGGTAGTTGGAAAAGAATATATTCAGTTACATCATTTCATATTTGAGAAGAAAACTCTATTGCTTTTTGAGATGAGGGTCTTGCCACGTTATCCAGGCTGGTCTTGAATCCCTGGGCACCCAGCCTCAAGTAATCCTCCTCACTCAGCCTCCTGAGTGCCTGGGATTACAGGTGCATGCCGCTGCTCCTGGCCCCTATTGTTTTTGAGCTGCAAACTATAGAAAGTCAGGTTCGAACAAATCTCATTTGGGAGGGTATACGTTTTTGTTTTTTGTTGTTGTTGTTGTTGTTATTTTTCATTTTTTTTGAGACGGAGTATCGCTCTTGTTGCCCAGGCTGGAGTGCAATATCGCGATCTCGGCTCACCGCAACCTCTGCCTCCTGGGTTCAAGCGATTCTCCTGCCTCAGCCTCCGAGTAGCTGGGATTACGGGCATGCACCACCACACCCGACTGATTTTGTATTTTTAATAGAGACAGTTTCTCCATGTTGGTCAGGCTGGTCTCGAACTGCTGACCTCAGGTGATCTGCCCGCCTTGGCCTCCCAAAGTGCTGGGATTACAGGCCTGAGCCACCACGCCCAGCAGGAGAGTATAAGTTTAAGAAAATTGAGAAGGCCAGGCGCGGTGGCTCACGCCTGTAATCCCAGCACTTTGGGAGGCCAAGGCGGGCAGATCACGAGGTCAGAAGATCGAGACCATGCTGGCCAACATGGTGAAACCCCTGGATTAGCTGGGTGTGGTGGCACACGCCTGTAATCCCAGCTACTCGGGAGGCCGAGGCAGGAGAATTGCTTGAACCCGGGAGGTAGAGGTTGCAGTAAGCCAAGATCACGCCACCGCACTCCAACCTGGCGACAGAGAGAGACTCCATCTCAAAAAAATTAATAAATAAACAAAATTGAGAAACACTCGTTATAAAATGAATGGGACCCCTTAAGAACCACACAGCTGGCTGGGCGTGGTGGCTCACGCCTGTAATCCCAGCACTTTGGGAGGCCGAGGAAGGTGGATCACCTGAGGTCAGGAGTTCAAAACCACCCTGGCCAACAAGGTGAAACCCCGTCTTTACTAAAAATACAAAAATTAGCCGGGCATGATGGCAGGTGCCTGTAATCCTAGCTACTAAGGAGGCTGAGGCAAGACAGTCGCTTGAACCTGGGAGGTGGAGTTTGCAATGGACCAAGATCATGCCATTGCACTCCAGCCTGGGCAACAGAGCCAGACTCCATTTCAAACAAAAAAAAAGAAAAAAAGATAGGATGGAGAGAAAACCCAGGAAGGCTGGAGAGCTTCTCACTAGACAGATGCTCTTCTCTATAAGGCTTGCTCAGCAATCAACTATTTACTGAAGACCAGTGTTATTAGTGCCAGAGTTATTACTGCCATGGAAATACATAAAGACCCTATATGAAATGATTGTAGGAAAAAAAGTACCTGCTACTCCAGGGAGTGTTGACCACTTAAACTACAAAAGTTCAAGAAGAAAAGAATTAGGCCGGGCACAATGGCTCACACCTGTAATCTTAGCACTTTGGGAGGCTAAAGCACTTTGGGAGGCTGAGGCAGGAGGATCACTTGAGGCCAAGATTTTGGGACAAGGTTGGACAACATAGCAACACCCCATCTCTTAAAAAAAAAGAGAGAGAGAGAGAGAGAAAAGAACTGGAGGCACAATACTTGACAGGAACAGGAAGGAAATTCCAGGTGAGAGGATTAGCGTAAGCAAAGATATGGACATGGAGACAATAGGAAATAGGAAAAAAAGTTTCTGTACATCATAGTAAGTGAACAATAAATGTTTGCACATGACAGTGATGCTTGGCATTAGAAAGTAGGAAGGAGGCCAGGCACAGTGAATCATACCTGTAATCCAACAATTTGGGAGACTGAGGCAGGAGGATTGCTTGAGTCAGGAGTTCAAGACCAGCCTGGGCAACATAGCCAGACTCTGTCTCTCCAAAAATGTTTTTTTTTAATTAGTGGGGCATGGTGGTGTGTGCCTGTAGTCCAACTGCTTGGGAGGCTGAGGTGGGAGGATCACTTGAGGCCAGAAGGTTGAGACTGCAGTGAGCCATAGTTGAGCCACTGCACTCCAGCCTGGGTGACAGAGTGAAACCCTGTGTCTAAAGAAATTTTTTTTTTTTTTTTGAGGTGGAGTCTCGCCCTGTCGGTCGCCCAGGCTGGAGTGCAGTGGCGCAATCTCGGCTCACTGCAACCTCTGCCTCCTGGGTTCAAGCGATTCTCCTGCCTCAGCCTCCTGAGTAGCTGGGACTACAGGCGCCCGCCACCACGCCTGGCTAATTTTTGTACTTTTAGTAGAGACGGGTTTCACCGTGTTAGCCAGGATGGTCTCGATCTCCTGACCTCGTGATCCACCCGCCTCGGCCTCTCAAAGTGCTAGGATTACAGGCGTGAGCCACTGCGCCCGGCCAAGAAATTTTTAAAAATAGGCCAGGTGCAGTGGTTCATGCCTGTAACCTCAGAACTCTCACCTGAGGTCAGAGTTTGAGACCAGCCTGGCCAACATGGTGAAACCCTGAGTCTTCTAAAAATACAAAAAAAAAAAAAAAAAAAAAAAATTAGCCAGGCGTGGTAGCAGGCGCCTGTTGTAGTCCAAGCCACTCTGGAGGCTGAGGCAGGAGAATCGCTTAGAGGCAGGAGAATCGCTTAAACCCAGGAGGCGGAGGTTGCAGTGAGCCGAGATTGTGCTACTACACTCTAGCCTGGGCAACAGAATGAGACTCCATCTCAAAAATAAAAATAAAAAAATTAAAAAATAGAAAGTAGGAGGGAATAGGAAATAATATCATCTGAGAGGAGCCAAACTAAAGTGAGTCTTGGAAGTCTGGTAGCACAGGTTTGTTCAGTGCACAAGATAGACTTGGTCAGCTGGAAAATATAGACATTCTGCAATATCTGGAATATTGAAAAAAATTAGTATCTCTGAAAGGAGAGATGAGGAAAAACATGAACAAGTTGTACAAAATGTAATTAATTTGTGAGCAAGCATTGAATGTTTACTGAGCCCTTGCTTTGTGCAACGAATTAGGCAAGGAAAATGAGGAAGACATGGTCCTTTATTGGCCAAATAAAGTATGACACATCTATACAATGGGACGGGAGGCAGCCATTAAACAGAACATGGCAGCTCTTAAGGGTACTATATGGAGCAGTCTCCATGTTTTGTTGTTGACAGTTTTATTTATTTTAGAGACAGGGCCTCATTATGTTGCCCAGGCTGGTCTCTAACTCCTGGGCTTAAGAAATTCTCCTGCCAGGCCAGGCACGGTGGTGGCTCATGCCTGTAATCCCAGCACTTTGGGAGGCTGAGGTGGGCAGATTATGAGGTCAGGAGTTTAAGACCAGCCTGGCCAATATGGTGAAACCTCATCTCTACTAAAAAAAAAAAATACAAAAATTAGCCGGGCCTGGCAGCGCACACCTGTAGTCCCAGCTACTCGGGAGGCTGAGGCAGAAGAATCGCTTGAACCCAGGAGGCGGAGGTTGCAGTTAGCTGTGATCATGCCATTGCACTCCAGCCTGGGTGACAGAGCAAGACTCCATCTCAAAAAATAAAAAAAAGAAATCCTCCTGCCTCAGCCTTCCAAAGATTGCTGAGATTACAGGCATGAGCCACTGCACCCGGCATTTTTTATTTTGTTTTGTTTTTTAGAGACAGGGTCCCACTCTGTCACTCAGGTTGGAGTGCAGGGCACAATCATAGCTCACTGCAGCCTCCAACTCCTGGGCTCAAGCCATCCTCCCACCTCAGCCTCCCCAGTAGCTGGGATAACAGACATGTGCCAGTAAGCTCTACTAATTTTTTGTATATGTAGTAGAAATGGGGTTTTGCTACATTGCCCAGGCTGGTCTTGAACTCCTGGCCTCAAGTGATCCTCCCGTCTTGGTCTTCCAAAGTGCTGAGATTATACATGTGAGCCGCCGTGCCCAGCCAAGTTTCTGAGTTTTGTTTATTTTAGAAAGGAGTCTTCCTGTGCTGCCCAGGCTGGTCTCAAATACCTGGGCTCAAGTGATCCTCCAACCTCAGCCTCCCAAATAGTTGGGACTACAGGTGAGCACCACCATGCCTAGCCAATCTCCATGTTTGATTGTTAAGTGGAAAAAGCAAGGTGCACAACAAACATACTATGGTGCTGTTGCTAAAGGAGAAGCACAAGGCCTACACATGTTTCTATTTACAGAGGTAAGCTCTGGAAGGATATACAAAAATCTGGTCACAGAGGTTGTCTCTTGGGAGGAAAAAAAGGGGACTGAGGAGAAATTAAAAAAAGACTTTTCATTGTACATTCTTTTGACCCTATTGTATTTTATATCATTTGCACATTTGCTTATTTAAAAAGTTTTCAGAAATTTAAAAGCAGCTCTTTTTCCAAAGTGCTCCTCACTTCATGTCATGGGTCCTGTATCCTAAGTTCCCCTATTTCAATCACAGTGCAAATTTACCCTCCACAGGCATGCCTTTCCTGCATCTAGACTCACTAGAAATAGCTGATGCATCTCTCCTCCCTTGCCTGCCCTCCACAGGAAAAGAAGCAATGAAAAAAAAGAAAATGAGATCCTCTGGTCTCTGTCACCTTTTTATCAACTTGTACTACCTGCCATTATCTGACACCCACATCTTTTCTTGAATCTGCCTCCTCCTATGGGACAGCGACATTTTCTTAAGTTGCAGATGATGGAGAAAATTTTTTAAAAGAAAAAAAGGGGGCAGGGGGAGGGAAGCCCAGAGTTTGGCCAAATGCACGTTTTTCAAGTTCCTGCTTGAGCTTAGATTCCCTTTCCGCTTTAAGGACATGCCCTCTGGAAAGAAGGGTGTTTTGTTTCCAGCCCACACAGACCCAAACTTTTTTCATCACGTGCCTGGTCCGAGCCAGTACGCAGCTCTGTAATGAGATCACCATGGCCAGCCTCCCACCCGAGCAAAAACAAGGTTAGCCTGCAGCAGAGCCGCAGCAGCAACAGCCACCAAAGCGGGGGCTGAAAGGGAAGAGAACTTAGATTTGACCTGTGCAAGGACCTCAGCAGCTTGGACACAGCCCACTGCAGAGGTAAGTGGGAACTACGGGGGAGGGGTGGTGTTTGCAAAGGTCAGGACATGTCCAGGTTCACTTAAAGTAAGGGCAAAACAACACTCTTCCCACCTCTGCCACCACCCTGTCCTCTCTACTTATGGCAGGGTTAGATTTGCCTCTAAACAGGGTTAGATGGCAGGGTTAGAATTTGTCCTAGGACATTGCTGTAGTGCAGTCGCCTCCTTGTCTCTTACTAATGTCTGTATCCTCTGCCTGTGTTTGTACCATCTACCTCCTCAGTAGTCTAATTTTTCTAGCAATTGACAGGTGATTGTAATGGACAAGTAATTGTTTGACTTTAAAACCATTTGTAAAGGAGCAACTCCTAATTCAGAACTCAAATGAGAGGCAGAACAAACTGGAAGAGACTGTTGGGAAGCAACTGCTGCCTAATTGCTTCTCATCTCTACTCTGCCATCACCAGGAAGGTATGGGGCAAAATACAACAGTTTTAAAGTCTCTGGATAGATGTGTGGGCTATGAGCTAGACAAGTAGGTTGAAACTGTTTTGATGCAACATACTTGGATTTACCAACAGTGGCTCCAGTTGTGAAATCGTTAGTGGCTTGATAGTACCTATGGAAACACTCCACGAAGGTTATTGAGTAAAGGGCATACAGTAAAGTGTGTAGGTGGAGATGAACAATAGAACAGTGGCTTTCAGGACCTTCTGGGGCTTAAGGCAAGCAAGACAAGATGCTGATTTGTGGGTTGCTTCAGTTTCATGTGCAATTCCAATTAAATTTCTTTGAGTGGGATATACAGATTCAATTCAATTTGCTAAAACACAGATGCACTGAGCATCAGCTTCTAACTTTAGTTACGAAAGTAATTAGCACAAGGGAATGGTGCTAAAATGTTCCATAGCAAATGTTGAACACTTTTTGAGGGCAAAAAGCAATGCTTTTGATTCGTGTATCTCTTATTTATTCGGCAAATCTTTCTTGAGTATCTTCTACATGCCAGGCTTGGGCTTGATTCTGTGGATCTCGTGGTAAACAAGACAGGCAGATTCTCGGCCTCATGGACATGCAATCAAGCAGAACAGTAAGCTCAAAGGGTGCAAGTACCATGCAGCAAAAGGAGTGAAGAGAGTATTACTAAAACTGGCCCATGGGAATCATTTTTAACCTTTCCTTTCATGCATTTCATCTTCTGTTTTTGTTTTTTTTGTTTTTTGAGATGGAATCTCGTTCTGTCACCCAGGCTGGAGTACAGTGGCGCGATTTCAGCTCACTGCAACCTCCACCTCCTGGGTTCAAGAGATTCTCCTGCCTCAGCCCCCCAAGTAGCTGGGATTACAGGTGCCCGCCACCACACCCAGCTAATTTTCGTATTTTTAGTAGAGATGGGGTTTCACCATGTTGGCCAGGCTGGTCTCCAACTCCTGACCTCAGGTGATCTACCCACCTCGGCCTCCCAAAGTTATGAGATTACAGGCATAAGCCAACGTGCCCAGCCGCATTTCATCTTTGTTTTTTTTTGTTTTTTTGAGACAGACTCTTGCTCTGGCGCCCAGGCTGGAGTGCAGTGGCATGATCTTGGCTCACTGCAACCTCCGCCTCCCAGGTTCAAGCGATTCTCCTGTCTCAGCCTCCAGAGCAGCTGGGATTACAGGCGTGCACCACCACACCCGGCTAATTTTTATATTTTTAGTAGAGACGGAGTTTCGCCATGTTGGCCAGGCTGGTCTCAAACTCCTGACCTCAGGTGATCTGCCCACCTCGGCCTCCCAAAGTGCTGGGATTACAGATGCGAGCCACCGCTCCTGGCCGCATTTCATCTTCTTAAATGAATATCGGCCACTCTATCTTCTATATAAGCCTCAGATTAGTACAGATGTTGAGTCATAGCAGCTCCTCAAAACCCTCTTCACCAGAGGCTTTAAACTGTGTAATTACATTACAGGTCAGTCTCCTCAGCCCTGGAGGTCGACTGCTCAGCTTTTTCCTAGCATACAGTCTGAGAGCAGAGGCTGAAGTAAGGGGAGTTCTAATCTTTGGGTCAGTTGCCCTCTCCCTGTGTCATTTCTTATGAAATAGAAGTTATGCTATTCCCAAAATACATACAGCACTAGGCAAAGTGTTAAGAAGCCTAGATTTTGCCAGAAACCATGTGGAGTTTGGAGCAAGTCATTTCTACTAACTAGGGCTTCCTCCTTAGCTTATAAAATGGAAGGGGTAGACCAGATGAACATGAGGTCTTTTTTCTCCCCCCTCTAAGAGTAAATTGTCTCAACAATTTTACAAGTTGTTTACAAAACAATACACATTCACATAAAGGTGATGTATTTATATCTATAAAATAGGAACATTCAGTAGGCCGGGCATGGTGGCTCACGCCTGTAATCCCAGCACATTGGGAGGCCGAGGCGGGCGGATCACAAGGTCAGAAGATCAAGACCATCCTGGCTAACATGGTGAAACCCTGTCTCTACTAAAAATACAAAAAATTAGCCAGGCGTGGTGGCAGGCACCTGTGGTCCCAGCTACTCGGGAGGCTGAGGCAGGAGAATGGCATGAACCCGGGAGATGGAGCTTGCAGTGAGCCAAGATCGCGCCACTGCACTCCAGCCTGGGTGACAGAGCAAGACTCTGTCTCAAAAAAAAAAGGAACATTCATCAATCATGCAGAATATCCAGGAAACAAGAATATGAAAGAAAATCTGGGCCAGGCGCAGTGGCTCATGCCTGTAATTCCAGCACTTTGGGAGGCCAAGGTGGGTGTATCACCTGAGGTCAGGAGTTCAAGACCAGCCTGGCCAACATGGTGAAACCCCGTCTCTACTAAAAATAAAAAAATTAGCCAGGCATGGTGGGGGTGGGTGCCTGTAATCCCAGCTACTTAGGAGGCTGAGGCAGGAGAATCGCTTGAACCCGGGAGGCAGAGGCTGCAGTGAGCCAAGGTCATGCCATTGCACTCCAGCCTGCGCAACATGAGCGAGACTCCATCTCAAAAAAAAAAAAAAAAAGAAAGAAAGAAAGAAAAAAGAAAATCTGAAAGAGTTGGGCTGTAGACAAATAAAATTCAAGATTAAACCGTCTGTATTCCTTCCAGCCTCACCTTATTCCCATGTCCTTTACTCAGATTCTTGAAGTTGTAAACATTAGCTATAGCTTCACTGTGTCATTTATCTAGATTGGGGATTCTTTAATAAAAAGCCTGCATACTGAGAATCATCTGCTTTCAACAAAACCACATAGGCAGGGCAGAGTGGCTCATGCCTGGAATCCCAGCACTTTGGGAGACCAAGATCACTTAAGCCCAGGAGTCCAAGACCAGCTTGGGCAACATAGGGAGACCCCATGTTTACAAAAATTTTTTAAAAATTCGCCGGCATGGTGGCACAGACCTGTAGTCCCAGTTACTCAGGGGACTGAGGTGGGAGGATCACCTGAGCATAGAAGATTGAGGCTGCAGTGAGCTATGATTGAGCCATTGTACTTCAGTCTCGGCAACAGAGCAAGATGCTATCTCTAAAAAATAAAAATAAATAAAATCCTTGGTTCACACTAAAAAAAAAACAAACAAAAAACCAGAACCACACTAAAAAGTATCTAATTTGCTACTAGGGAGGCTGAGGCAGGAGGATCACCTGACCCCAGGAAGTCGAGGCTGCAGTGAATCATGATTGGGTCATTGCACTCCAGCCTGGACAGAGTGAAACTCTGTCTCAAAATAAATAAATAAATAAAATTTGGATAAACTCACAATAGAATATCAAATTCACTTTAAGGAAGTATCCATTCATTGTTGTAAAATATTAGAACCTTCGGCCAGGCATGGTGGCTCATGCCTGTAATCCTAACACTTTGGGAGGCTGAGGTGGGAACATCACTTGAGCCCAGGAGTTTGAGACCAGCCTGGGCAAAATAGTGAGACCCCATCTCTAAAAATTAAAAAAATAAATGTTTAAAAAATATTTACTTTTAGTACACTTCATTTCTTTCTGTCCTCTGAATGCATTCCATTCTAAAATAAGTATGCTATTATCCTCCTACTTTCTCTGGAAAATCAAAGTTATACGATGTTATAAAATAGGGCAAAAAGCATGTCTTATTCATCTTTCTATCCCATGTCTAGCATTGTCTCTGGCATCTGATAAATGTTTCTTGAAAGAATGATTAGTATTTTAGAGAAAACGTGTCCTTTGGTATTAACACACACACACACACACACACACACACACTATCTAGTTCACTATTCATGGCTAATATAGGCCAATCTCATGCTTTTGTGTCCCTTTCAATCCCTGACACTCACCCTGTGCTCTTCAACATCAATGTATTCTATACTTTTGTAGTCTCAGTTGGTATAATGAGCACTGAATTCAAGTTCTGCCACTAATATGTGTCCAGGCTGGGCGTGGTGGCTCACGCTTGTAATCCCAGCACTTTGGGAGGCCGAGGCAGGCAGATGATGAGGTCAGGAGATCGAGACCATCCTGGCCAACATGGTGAAACCCCGTCTCTACTAAAAAAAAATATATATATATATATACAAAAATTAGCTGGGTGTGGTGACGCATGCCTGTAATCCCAGCTACTCAGGAGGCTGAAGCAGGAGAATCGCTTGAACCCGGGAGGCAGAGGTTGCAGTGAGCCGAGATCACGCCACTGCACTCCAGCCTGGCAACAGAGTAAGATTCCATCTAAAAAAAAAAAAAAAATAGGTGTCCAACTTGAAGCCAAATACTAAATACCTCTGCACCTCTGTTTCTTCAGTTGGAAAATGGGGGCATCTGAATAGATGAGCTCTAATACAACTTCCAGTTTGTTTTTTTTTGTTTGCTTGTTTTTTGTTTTGTTTTTTGAGAGTCTTCCTCTGTGGCCCAGGCTGCAGCATGAGCCACCACACCTGGCTAATTTTTTTTATATTAATACTTTGTGGATATAGGGCCTGTGTTTCCCAGGCTGACTCAAGCAATCCTCCCGCTTCAGCCTCTCAAAGTGCTGGGATGATAGGCATGAGACACCATGCCCAGTCCAACTTCCAGTTCTTAAGACGGCACACTCCAAAAGGAAGAAAAAAAGAATTAGTCAAGTCACAGAAAGTAATGACTATGGTACTTCAGTGTATTAGTAAATGTTGTTGCTAGTTTTATTTGCCAAAATTTCTAACTTGAACACTATCATTAGCAAACAATGTTAAGGAGCTTCTTTGGGTGAAGACCCACTGCCTACCATGTTTGAGGTCTCCCCTAGAACCTTTCTGACTGACCATGTTCATGTAAAACTGAAAACATGTCTGCAGGCGGGCAGAGAGGCACAGAAAGCAAGCTGCTTTGGCATAACATATTCAGCAGAACAATACAATTGGAGGACTCAGTACCTAGATAAGTATCTCTGGAAATTGCATATGGCCATATTGGCGTAACTAAAGAATAAATGACATGTCAGGAAATGCTTTGTTTGTTCTAATGAAATGAGATGTCAACAGATAAATGCTGCTGCTCTTACAGCCGAGAAGCCTTCTCACCACCAGAAAGTAAGCAATCATTTTCCCTTTGGCCAGAAGGTGTACGTAGAGCAGAGGAGTCCAGTGTCAAACATACTTATCAGCCCCTAATCACTCAGTCTCAGCAATACGCAGTTTCCATAACATGGACACAGTGGGCATGATCAGCACTCTGCCCTGTAGAGTGAACCAGAGCTGTCTTCTTCCAGAGCCAAGATCTTATTGTACTGACAGTCATCCTAGTTCCTCTTGGTTTTTGTTTTTAATTTCAATATCTGATTCTGTTTATTTATACTTTATACCCAGCCTATATGTCAAAAGGGTTTGAGGTAGTTTCCAATAAAAGGATATATAGAACAGCTTCAAATAAATAAAAACTGATAAGAAACCATCAGACAATAACCTAAATCATTTTGGTGGGGAAGGTGTGATTTGTAGAGAAAATAAACAGGTGCTTTAAAAAGAGGGAAAAATGGATTGTCCAATTTTCTTTGCACACCATAAGAAAGCATACCACTTCTTCCAGAGAGGCAAAACTTCTGTGCACTTATTTCTGTTTTGGTCTTTATCTGACTCAGTCTCTATATGTACTTGTTTCTTTTTCTTTTTTTTTTTTTTTGGAGGCAGGGTCTTGCTCTGTCATCCAGGCAGGAGTGCAGTGGTGCAATCACAGCTCATTGCAACCTCCACCTCCCCAGCTCAAGTGATCGTCCCACCTAATCTTTTTAATTTTTTGTAGGGACAGGGTCTCACTATGTTTTCCAGGCTGGTCTTTTTTTTTTTTGAGACAGAGTCTCACTCTGTTGCCTAGGCTGGAGTGCAGTGGCGCAATCTCGACTCACTACAGACTCCACCTCCTGGGTTCAAGCAATTTTCCTGTCTCAGCCTCCTGGTAGCTGGGATTACAGGCACCCGCCACCATGCCCAGCTAATTTTTGTATTTTTAGTAGAGGTAGGGTTTTGCCATGTTGGCCAGGCTGGTCTTGAACTCCTGACCTCAAACGATCCACCCACCTCAGCCTCCCAAAGTGCTGGGATTACAGGCATGAGCCACTGCACCCGACCCAAGACTGGTCTTGAACTCCTGGGCTTAAGCAATCCTCCTGCCTCAGCCTCCCAAAGTGCTGGGATTATAGGCATGAGCCACTGTGCCTGGCCAAACTTATTTCTTTATTGGAATCATCATCTATATCCTCATAAAAAGTATACTGCTTCTTCTTAACTAAATAATGGAGTAAGGAATGTCTTCAATGGCTATTTTGGTATTCATGTGGCAGACTGTTAAATATTTTTTTCTCTTCTATCTATCTTGTTTAACTATGGTCTGACTAAAAACAGCATTCTTTGGATAAGCTAAAATGCAGTCTGGGAAGAAAGTTCAGTTTTGAAGTTGGAGACCATGTATCCAAGAGCATGAAGAAAGCCTGGACATTGTCTTCCTATAGAGATTTCTTGGTGTACCAGATCTCCTACCTGTCTAGTAGTTTCTTAGCTCTGGCATAGACCTCTAGCCCAGTACTTTGATATAAATTTCAGAATGATGAATATGTATCCAGACTGAGAGTTTCTCATTTTTGCATCTTCAGCACTTTCTACAGCTCCTTGCACATAGTAAGTTCGTAAATGTTTTTGGAAGGAATGGATGAGCTCCTAAAGATCAAAGGCCATGTCTCGTTTGCTTTGCAAGCTCTTAGCAAAGATAATGGAGTTGATAAGACAGGGAAAAGGCTAGGAGACTTGGACTTGTGAGTGAAGTTCCCTGTGGCATGGCATAGCAAAAAGAGCTCTGTAAGCTTGAAAAGCAAACAAACAAACCCCAAATCCTCTCTACTCCCTTCCCAAACAGGATGGTTATCTCAACAGGGTCAACAGAACCTTTTATCCTTCCTAACAAACACTGAAGAGGGAAATCCACACTAACGTGAAGGCTCTGCCTGTTTTCAAATGGTTTGCAGACATTTAGATCTCCCAAGTATTTCCCAAGTTGAGGTGTTTCTTTTGACAGTTGGTTCCTTGTCATTAAATATTTGAGCTGGGCCTGGTGGTTCATGCCTGTAATCCCAGTGCTTGGGAGGCTGAGGCAGGAGGATCTCTTAATAAGACCCAGGAGTTAGAGACCAGCCTCAGCAATATAGCAAGACCCTATATCTCTATTTTTTTTTAAAAAAAAAGGGCCGGGTGCAGTGGCTCACACCTGTAATTGCAGCACTTTGGGAAGCCGAGGCAGGCAGATCACGAGGTCAGGAGATTGAGACTATCCTGGCCAAAATGGTGAAACCCCATCTCTACTTAAAAAAAAAAAAATACAAAAATTAGCTGGGCATGGTGGTGCGTGCCTGTAATCCCAGCTACTCGGGAGGCTGAGGCAGGAGAATTGCCTGAACCTGGGAGGCAGAGGTTGCAGTGAGCCGAGATTGCACCATTGCACTCCAGCCTGGGTGACAGAGTGAGACTCTGTCTCAAAAAAAAAAAAAAAAAAAAAAAAAAAACACACAAAGGGCTGAGCGCAGTGGCTCACGCCTGTAATCCCAGCACTTTGGGAGGTCGAGGCGGGTGGATCACAAGGCCAGGAGTTAGAGACCAGCCTGGCCAATATGGTGAAACCCCATCTCTACTAAAAAAAAAAATACAAAAAAATTAGCCGGGCATGGTGGTGCATGCCTGTAATCTCAGCTACTAGGGAGGCTGAGGCAGGAGAATTGCTTGAACCCAGGAGGTGGAGGTTGCCGTGAGCTGAGATTGTGCCACTACGCTCCAGCCTAGGTGACAGAGTGAGACTCCATCTCAAAAAACAAAACAAAACAAAACAAAAAACACACAAACAAACAACAAGGGTGGGGGAAATGAAACATTTGATAGGTTTAGCCCTAAAAGTACCTAACACCACTACCTCCCTTGTGCTTAATGATCCATGCTTTTTGGGACTCCAGACAGCAAACAAAGTGCCAGGCTGAAAATGACACAAGCCAGGCACGGTGGCTCATGCCTGTAATCCCAGCACTTTGGAAGGCCGAGGCAGGTGGATCATCTGACATCAGGAGTTCGAGACTGGTCTGGCCAACATGGCAAAACCCCGACTCTACTAAAAATACAAAAAAATTAGCTGTGCATGGTGGCAGACCCCTGTAATCCCAGCTACTTGGGAGACCGAGGCAGGATAATCGCTTGAACCAGGGAGGCGGAGGTTGCAGTGAGCTGAGATCGTGCCACTGCACTCCAGCCTGGGCGACAGAGTGAGACTGCCTCAAAAAAAAAAAAAAAAGAATATGACTTTGCCTCATCCCAGAATCCTAGCACTGTGTGAAGGGCAGCTTCTCTGAAGGGACCCTTATCCACCTTGGAGATGTGAGCCAAACTCAGAATCAAGCCACAGGAACTGCTTAGGACAATGAGGGTGGAGAAAATCATTATTTAAAGAATAATTCTTTGGAATCTTCATAAGCCCAATTTATTAAATAATGTCTGTTGTCCTAGTTGTGGGGCAGGGGTGTTTACAATTGGTTTAGGCTGAGACTTACCATCCTGAAATGCTTGCTCAGCTGTCCTTCTGGAAGCTCAGGTGCTGCAGAATATGACTACAGAGCACCCTCTAACCCCCAAGTCCACAGAGGAATCCCAGCCACCCACTCAGTATCAGAACCTGGAGTGAAGGAATGCCTGCAGCTGCACTCTACTAACTTCTCTTTTTCTGGTTTTCCTAGAACTTGCATTGAGGCACAAACTGCACACTTACAAGCCTCAGTAGCTTCCCTTGCTGTCAGTCAAGCAATGTTTGGGAAGGGAGCAGGGGAAGGGAGCATGGGTAAAGCAGGCCTAGGAGTGTGGACAGGGCCCTGTTCTAGAGTGTCTGAAACCCATTCCCGTCTCTGGGTAGGGGTTAGGCCTACGCCACACCAAACATCCTGGTGCCTGCTCTCAAGTCAGACAGTGTCTCCCTGGCAGGATATCAGATGCCTCGGTATTTCTCCCTGAGAGGCTCTTCCTCTGAGCTAACTGTACCCCTCCTGCTGTAATGGGACTCACAGTGGTAATGATAAGCAGCTTGCTTATCACCTCCTTCTGGTGTCCTAACTCCTCAAACACTGAAAGACACTTTATAGGTCACCATTCTCTCTTCCTTTCTTCAGCCTAAGTAATCTGTAAAAAATGTGGGCTGGGCACAGTGGCTCATGCCTATAATCCTGGCACTTTGGGAGGCCGAGGCGGGAGGATCGCTTGAGCTCACAAGTTTGAGATCAGCCTGGGCAATGTAGTAAGACACTGTCTCTACAAAAAATACAAAAATTAGCTGGGTATGGTGGTATGTGCCTGTAGTCTGTATTCCCAGCTACTCAGAAAACTGAAGTGGGAGAATTGCATGAGTCTAGGAGGCTTGAGCCTGGGAGGCAGAGGTTGCAGTGAGCCATGATCATGCTGCTACACTCCAGCCTGGGCAACAGAGCAAGACCCTGTCTCAAAAAAAAAAGAAATGTGAATGAGGCTGGGCATGGTGGTGTACACCTGTAGTCCCAGCTACTCAGAAGGCTGAGGCAGGAGGATCCCTTGAGCCCAGGAGTTTGAGTCCAGCTTGGACACCATGGTGAGACCCCATCTCCTAAAAAAAATCAATTTAAAAAAAAGGGTTCATGGGTGTAATTTCAACACTTTGGAAGGCTGAGGCAAGAGGATTGCTTGAAGCCAGGCAAGAGGATTGCTTGAAGCCAGGAGTTCAAGACCCCCGTCTCCTCGTTATTAAAATAAAAATAATAATAAAAAAAATGGGTCAAAGGGGAGCAGTTATTTCCTAAAGTCATAGCTGGTAAACATGCATTTAGAATAATAAAACTAAGTACAATCATATACAAAAGAATAAAACATCCATAGAGATGGAAATAAGTGGCACGAAGTCCAGTCTGGAACCTGGGTCCTAAGCCTGGCTCTGCTACTTATCATCTATAGACTCTGGGAGGTCACCTGCCTCTTCTTGTCTAGGTTCTTTCATCCTTGTAACATGGTGGGACCAGATGATCTGTAGTGCTCCTCTCCAGCCAGGTTATGACACTATCTAATAGGGATGGCCAGTGGGATAACATGTGCTAGCTTCTCTGGACTGGTGTGCCTGCCTTGAGTGCTGTGGTTGGGTCTGTGAGTTTAGTTAGTCTCAGGTGAAAGATGTTGGGAATGACAGGTGCTGTCTACCAGGGATGACAGAGTGATGGAGGAGAATTTGTCATCTAAGTTTCAATTACTATTATTTAAATTTAAAATTTTTGAACAACTAGTACATTCATATGGTCCAAAATTTCAACCATATAAAAACATAAAATATTTATTGCCAGTATTGTTCTATTGTTCTTTTTTTTTTCTTTCTTTTTTTGAGACAAGGTCACACTCTGTCGTCCAGGCTGGATCAGTGGCATGATCATGGCTCATTGCAGCCTCCATCTCCCAAACTCAAGTTATCTTCCCAGTTCAGCCTCTCAGGTAGCTGGGACCACAGGCATGTGCTACCACACCTGGCTAATTTTTTTTTTTATTTTTTGTAGAGACAGGGTGTCTCTATGTTTGCCCAGGCTGGTCTCAAACTCCAGGACTCAAATGATCCTCCTGCCTTGGCCTCCCCAAGTGTTGGGACTACAGGTGTGGGCAACTGCACCCAGCCTCAGACGTATTTCTTTTCTTTTTTTTTTTTTTTTTGAGATGGAGTCTTGCTCTGTTGCCCAGGCTGGAGTGCAATGGTGCGATCTTGGCTCAGTGCAACCTCCGCCTCCCGGGTTCAAGCAATTCTCCTGCCGCAGCCTCCTGAGTAGCTGGGACAACAGGCATGCACCACCATGCCTGGCTAATTTTTGTGTTTTCAGTAGAGATGTGGTTTTGCGGTGTTGGCCAGGCTGGTCTTGAACTCCTGACCTTAGGTGATCCACCCACCTTGGCCTCCGAAAGTGCAGGGATTACAGATGTGAGCTGCCCGCACCCGGCCCTCAGACATATTTCTAATGATTGTCCTTCTAGCCAATTCTTGTTAGGCTGCATTTTTAAAGGAGGTTAATGCCTGATATTCATATCCTTTTTCTTTTCCATAGAACTGTTGATTGGTTTCAGAAAAATCTTGGTCCATGTTTTTAAACCAACCAACAAGTAATACTAAAGAACAAACCAGCACTTTGGGAGGCCGAGGCTGGCGGATCACAAGGCCAGGAGATCGAGACCATCCTGGCTAACACGGTGAAACCCTGTCTCTACTAAAAATACAAAAAATTAGCCGGGCGTGGTGGTGGAAGCCTGTAGTCCCAGCTACTCAGGAGGCTGAGCAGGAGAATGGCGTGAACCTGGGAGGCAGAGCTTGCAGTGAGCCAAGATTGTGCCACTGCACTCCAGCCTGGGCGACAGAGCGAGACTCTGTCTCAAAAAAAAAAGAACAAACCAAACCAACTTGCTAGAACTACTCTTTGAGTTCTGGGTAAGTTCATTTTTTTCTCTTACAGCAACAGCTCTCTAATAAAAGGGAGAAATGAAGACAGGAGTTTGAGACCAGCCTGGGCAACGTAGTGGGACCCTGTCTCTTAAAAAAGCATTATCATACATTTTTTGTAGTTGGTAGACCTAGTAGCCCCCTCCCTTCCACCACTCTTTTTCTTTTCTGGCATTTTTCTAGCTATTCTTGTACATTTATCTCTCCATTAAGTTTTCAAATCAATTTGTCTGGTTTCAGGAAGAACAACAAGCCAATTTTTTTTTTTTTCAAAAATCACTGCTAGCCATACACTTTGACTTTCTCCACTCCCTACTTCCTTAGATGTTTATGAAAATAACTCCCCGGCTCGCCTGTGCTTTCTCATTCCAGATGAAAGGAGAAGCTGGACATATGCTACACAATGAAAAGTCAAAGCAGGTAAATGCCAGCACCTTGCCCCCAAACTGGTGAGAATGTAGTCAGTGGCTCTTTGCCATAGCTGCACTTGCTATGCATCCAACATCTCCCCCAAGGTTTAGGGGTGGCTGACACATGGTAATGTCTTCATTTTCAGTAACTGAGCAGAGTTCACTTGACTGCCAACTGCCTTTTACCCACAACCCCTTTGCCTGAATGCAGACTGCGAATGTGCGTTATGGAATTGAAAAGCATTGTAACTGTCCTCCCTTCTCCTCTTGGCTCTCCTGCCTGTAGCCCTTGGCATGTCCTATGCCTCGGGCCTTTGGAAAACCCCTTTCTATAACTTTCCTGGGGACAACAGAGGCTTTCTGGAGGTAGCTGAGAACTGGCCCTTGACCCCAGCTAACTCCTGCACTGCGTTTTCCTGCACTTCACAGAGGACCTTTGTCCTGTTTATATTTCCTTCACCTGGGCTGCTAGAGAGATGAAAAAACCCAACATCCCCGAACAAATATCTAATCCTGTATGTGAAACTGAGGTTTTAATTTGACTTAATTTGGTTTGATCAAACTCAGAAGATTAAAACTTCCAATGAGTCTAGAAAAGTTCCTGAAAAGAGCCCTTAAATTCCAAACAAAGGAATAACTGGAAAAGCCCAAGGTCACCAGTCTAGCAAACACAGGGCGACCTTTGAATGGCCCATGTAAAAGAACAAGTTCTGGTGGGTTACAGTGGCTCACACCTGTAATCCCAGCACTTTGGGAGACTAAGGCTGGAAGATCACATGAGGCCAAGAGTTTTGGACCAACCTGGGTGACAGAGAATAACATTGGCTCAAAAACAAACAAACAAACAAACAAACAAAAAAACAAAAAAAAGAGCAAGTTCCTCCAATTGGTCTGGCCAATCCAGCCTGAGAGAGAGAGAGAGAGTGTGTGCACGTGAGAGAATGCGAGTCAGTGAGTGAGCATGCTCATTTCCAAAGCTCAGGACTAGCCCTTCAAAAAAACATCCCTGCCCATGAAAAATGACTTCTGCTTGGTCTTTTGATCAGAAGTGGGATAGGATAATGCTGAGAAGAAACAGTTCAGTGCAGATTCAGATTGCTTAGAAGGGGTGAATTAAAACAATGTTTCCTCAGATCTTGAAAGTCTGGATTAAAATGTAGTGTCCTGGCCAGGTGTAGTGGCACATGCTTGTAATCCCAGCATTTTGGGATGCTGAGACAGGCAGATCACCTGAGGTCAGGAGTTCAAGACCAGCCTTGCCAACATGGCGAAACCCCATCTCTACTAAAAATCCAAAATTTAGCCGGGCTTGGTGGCAGGCACCTGCAATCCCAGCTACTCCGGAGGCTAAGGCAGGAGAATTGCTTGAACTTGGGAGGCAAGAATCGCTTGAACTTGGAAGGTGGAGATTGCAGTGAGCCGAGACTGCACCACTGCACTCCAGCCTGGGCAACACAGTAAGACTGTCTCAATTAAAAAAAAAAGTAAAAAAGTAGTGTCCTATTAGATCAGCTCCTCCAACATCCCCTCTGACACCCTGTACATGGCCCCATTAGCTAATTGCAGATGAGCCCCAGGCACACACAGGGTAGGGACCACCACCTCCAGTTCTTTCCTATGAAAGAATATGAGCAGACCCCGTCTGAGTTTAGAAACGGGATATGAGTGGGTCATCTGTAATTCCTGTCTGTCGTACAACGGAAATTGGTGATACACCTGGCAGCTGGTGTTTTCCCTCTCTGAATCTGGGGCATTGTTTGGTCATCGAGCTCACAATGACTTCTGGTTTAGAGGAGAACCTTTTGGAGGAGAATATACAAGGACCTCTCAGTGATTTCCAGTGGTCTCTCCTTGACCCTCAGAATGGCTAGTCGTCTTGTCCAGCTGGGAGCCTGGGCTAATCTTGCTGGAAGGCAGAGAGGGGTTATTAAAAGTCAGAAAGTGGCCGGGCACAGTGGCTTGTGCCTGTAATCCCAGCACTTTGGGAGGATGGGGCAGGTGAATTGCTTGAGGTTTAGAGTTCTAGGCCAGCCTGGCCAACATGGCAAAACCCCAGCTAACTTCGCTACTAAAAATACAAACATTAGGTGGGCATGGTGGCAGGTGCCTGTAATCCCAGCTACTCAGGAAGCTGGGGCAGGAGAATCACTTGAACCCTGGAGGCGGAGGTTGCAGTGAGCCAAGATGGTGCTTCACTCCAGCCTGGGTGACAGAGCAACACTGCCTCAAAAAAAAAAAAAAAAAAAAAAAAAAAAAAGTCGGCCGGGCGCGGTGGCTCACTCCTGTAATCCCAGCACTTAGGGAGGCTGAGGCGGGCAGATCACAAGGTCAGGAGATGGAGACCATCCTGGCTAACACAGTGAAACCCCGTCTCTATTAAAAATACAAAAAAATTAGCCGGGTGTGGTGGCGGGCTCCTGTAGTCCCAGCTACTCCAGAGTCTGAGGCAGGAGAATGGCATGAACCCGGGAGGCGGAGCTGGCAGTGAGCCAAGATCGTGCCACTGCACTCCAGCCTGGGCGACAGAGCGAGACTCTGTCTCAAAAAACAAAAAAACAAAAAAAGTCAGAAAACGTGTACAATTCACTCTTTCCTTCTAAAATAAGAGGAGGGTAGGGATGGAAGAAATGGGCCTGGCCTATGCACACAGTGAAGCCTGTATGACTGGGAAAGGATTTCCTCATCATGGTTTTGGCAGATGCTGCTATGATGACTATCTCAACCTTGCCTGCCCATTGGAATTAACTGGGGAGCCCAGGTCCCACCCCCAGGGACTCTTTATGTAATTGGATTGGAGGGGACCCTGGGTATTGGGACTTTTTTTAAGCTCCCAGGTGATTTCAATGTGTAGATAATGGGTATCTCCATTTGCCAAGAGGACTGGTGATGAAATCCTATGGCTGATAGAGGCTCGCCTGTCCTCTGACTGACAGAATTGCCTGCTAGTTTCTCTGGAGTCAGGCTAATTCCCTTCCCTCCCCCAACTTGAGCTCTAATTTTCATAAACACACCCATGTACAGCCTGAGAGCTCCTGATAAGGAAGAGGCTCCCACAGAAGCTGGAAAAGGCCAGCTGGAAAACGCAGATGTGCCTTCCTGGTTGGTTGAGATGCTGATCCTACAGCACTCCCGCTGTGCCTCAGCAGTGAGCTGGGTGTAAAGGCAGGAGGCTTGCTGGGGTCTGACACTTCCCTGCCCTCCTCCAGGAGGGACACATCTGGGGCTCTATGAGGAGGACAGCTTTCATCCTGGGCTCTGGACTTCTCTCATTTGTGGCCTTCTGGAACTCAGTGACATGGTAAGTCGGCTCCACCCAGCTAGGGTGCAGTGTGGTGGTGGTCGGGGGCAGAGCATAGGGGAAGGAGCTGTCCACCCACTAGTCTTCACCCAGAAACCTGGTTTTTTTTCCAAGGCATCTTCAGAGATTTTGGGGTGCTTCTGGCTACTTTTGGCAAGCCCAGTGGGAGAGGCTGCTGACTACATTTGAAGGGAAGGAGTGGATCCTCTTCTTTATAGGTGAGGTTCCCAGACCACCAGCACCTAGCATGTGGGTGCATGATTATAACTTAATTCTTTTTGTTGTTTTGTTCTCTACTTTGGGACTTTTCAGTTTATTATTCCAAGGGATGAGGACTTGAACTTCAAAAAAGTGGTAGTCCCAAAGAATACTAAACTTGTGGGCAGTCTGAAAACAGGATGTCTAAAAAAAGAAGCTGAGAAGTTAAGACTCCTCCCAAAATATAGAAAAATAAGAAATATTTTATGTAAAAATGAATGCACATTTAGAGCAATAATCCTGTTTCTACACTTAATTCCACAAGCACAGAGAGCTGCCCTGTCTTGTCTGAGACTATGTACCCTGTACCTGGTACAGTCAGTGCTTGACAGCAAGTGGCCAGTCAATAAATATTTACTGACAGCTTCAATGGCTCCAAACAAGCCTAAGTAAATAGATGGAAGGAAAAGCCATGTAAACATAGATATTTATAACAGCATTATCTATAATAGTGAATGTCCTCGATCATACATTCACTCAAATAATAATTATATACAATTTATTTAATATATATTATATATAATATACATTTATTTATATTATTAATATGACATATAATATATAATGTTACTATGTGCTACACTTGTATCGAGGATATAGAAATATTTAAGATGGGAGGCCAGGCGTGGTGGCTGACGCCTGTAATCCTAGCACCTTGGGAGGCTGAGGCAGGTGGATCACGAGGTCAGGAGTTTGAGACCAACCTGGCCAACATAGTGAAGCCTCGTTTCTACTAAAAATACAAAAAAATTAGCTGGGCATGGTGGCAGGCTCCTGTAATCCCAGCTACTTGGGAGGCTGAGGCAGGGAGAATCACTTGAACCTGGGAGGCGGGTTGCAGTGAGCCAAGATCATGACACTGCACTCCAGCTGGGCGACAGTGTGAAACTTCGTCTCAAAAAAAAAAGAAAGAAAGAAATATTTAAGATGGGGCTGGGCACAGTGGCTCACGCCTGTAATCCCAACACTTTGGGAGGCCAAGGCAGGTGGATCACTTGAAGTCAGGGGTTCGAGACCAGCCTGGCCAATATGGCAAAATCCCTTTTTCACTAAAAACACACACACACACAAATTAGCTGGGTGTGGTGGTGCGTGCCTGTAATCTCAACTACTCAGGAGGCTGAGGCATGAGAATTGCTTGAACCTGGGAGGCAGAGGTTGCAGTGAGCCGAGATGGTGCCACTGCACTCCAGCCTGGGCAATAGGGCACGACTCTGTCTCAAAAAAAAAAAAACAAAAATTAAGATAGGCCAAGATTAGTGGCTCACACCTGTAATCCCAGCACTTTGGGAGGCTGAGGCAGGCAGATCACTTGAGGCCAGGAATTCAAGACCAGCCTGGCCAACATAGTGAAACCTGTCTCTACTAAAAGTACAAAAAATGAGCCAGGCGTGGTGGTGCGTGCCTGTAATCCCAGCTACTCAGGAGGCTGAGGCACAAGCATCGCTTGAACTCAGGAGGTGGAGGTTGCAGTGAGCTGAGATAGCACCACTGCACTCCAGCCTGGGTGACAGAGCAAGACCCTGTCTCAAAAAAAAAAAAAGAAGTATTTAAATGAAATGTTTCCCTCCCCCATTAAAAAATGATGTCATAGTCTAGAAGGGAAGATAAAAAGTGTCAGTTGCTATAAAGCAAAATGCACCTGAGGATTGTTTTCAACTAGAAGGAGGACTCTGACAATGGGCTGAACATTAAATATGACAGATTTAATGGGATCTTAAGCAGTCATTGAACAATGCAGATTACCTATGTATATGGAGAAGGTGGTAGAAAAACTTTATTAGCTTGAACCTGCAATCTAAAAAAACCTCAAATATTTTATATATGTTAGGTACAATCCTGTGAAAATTACCTATTACCTTGGTGATAAGCCAATATGAGAGAGAGAAAATATTTCCAATTTTAAGTGTTAGAGCTAGAAGAAGTTTAAGATCGTCTTACGGTGTGCTTTTCATCTGTATTCCTCAGGCAGCCTTTGAAGTTCCAAGTAGGTAGACACCTTGGATGGCCCACTGGGTAACCATCAGCCTTTTTTTTCCAAAGTAAAAAATAGTTTATTTTTTCTGGGTATAAAAGTAAATATGGGCCAGGCGCAGTGGCTCACGCCTGTAATCCCAGCACTTTGGGAGGCCGAGGCAGGCGGATCATGAGGTCAGGAGATCGAGACCATGGTGAAACCCCGTCTCTACTAAAAATACAAAAAATTAGTCGGGCGCGGTGGCGGGCGCCAGTAGTCCCAGCTACTCAGGAGGCTGAGGCAGGAGAATGGCGTGAACCCGGGAGGCAGATCTTGCAGCGAGCTGAGCTCACGCCACTGCACTCCAGCCTGGGTGACAGAGCAAGACTCTGTCTCAAAAAAAAAAAAAAACAAAAGTAAATATGTGCTCATTGTTAAAAATAAAAATCAGGCAATTCAAATAAGCATAGAAAGTGTGAAAATCACCCACTGTCTTACCTTCAAGAAATAACCACTGTTTATATATTAGTGTGCATCTTTTATATATTGGGTATATAGTTGTACTTATGAGATACCAACTATTTTTAAATCTTTTTTTCATTGAATAGATTGTAGGTATCTTTCCATGCCTATTAATGTAGCCTTACTTAATACTCTAAGCTTCCCATTCTATTCCATTATATGGAAATACTCTAATCTGTTTAGTCCCTTCCCTACTAATGGGTATTTAGGCTGCTTAAATTTTTTTTTTAATGCTGTGACGGACATTTATGCATACAAACAGACGTGTGTCCTTTTCTTCTTTCTCCCTTTCTGTCTTGGCTCTCTGACTCTCTCACTTTATTACTTCAGTTACTGCCAAATTGCCCTCTAGAAGGTTTGTACCAATCCTACTCCCCTACAGTGCTGGCAAGTATTTTCCAAGTCCCAGCCGCCACAGTTACTTCGGTTGATGGAGCATGAAGGGTGCTGGTGGAGGGGCACAGACATGGAATTAAGCAAAGCCGAGTCCTAGCTGGGCATGGTGGCAGGTGCCGGTAGCCCCAACTATTCAGGAGGCTGAAGCAAGAGGATCACTTCGGCTTGGCAGGTCGAGGCTACAGTGAGCCATGATCACACAACTGCACTTCCAGCCTGGATGACAGAGAGAGGCTTTGTCTCAAAAAAACAAACAAACAAACAACAAAAAAAAAACAACGATGAGTTTTCCACTTATACTGACTAGATGACACCTGAAGTTCTGCTGCTCAGTTAGTAGGATGACAGGGATTAAGTTTCCTGACTGACTCCTAGCCCAGGGCTCACTGTGACCCATACCATACAGAGTACTTCCTTTGCTTCTCCTTCCTTGGCAATTCATAAAGGGTTCAGTGGGCGCAGACTCCCAAATGTCAACCTGAATTCATTTCTATTTTAGAGGGTATTATATATCTTAACATACTTTCATATGTATTTATATGAAAACCACCAACCACCTTGAAGGTTGTCCCTATTTTATGGCTAAGAAAATGGAGACACTCCTTAAATGGCCTGTCCAAGTTCCTACCCAAGACTACAGGTAACCCCTTGGTCCCAAGCCCTAAGACCTCCCTGGCAAAGAAATGTCTAGGATGAAGCCTCAGTCACCACAAAAAAGTATGTTCTGTTAGTCTATGTGCTGTGAGAACCCAAAGTCGCCCTGACTGTTTCTGTTTCCCAATCTCAGGTGCCATCCAAGTGCCTTGTCTCTTCTTCTGGAGCTTCAATGGGCTTCTATTGGTGGTTGACACAACAGGAAAACCTAACTTCATCTCTCGCTACCGAATTCAGGTCGGCAAGAATGAACCTGTAAGTGTTGTTGCAACTTCTGGTCAAAGCACAGAAAGCAAGAGCCAAAGCCACACTCTCAGAATTCTCACCACTGGCCCAGGAGAGACCTGGCCAGTGTGAGCCAAGTTATTAGCAACAAGGCTCCCCCAGTTTAGAAGGTTAAAGAGAGGAAATAATTTGCCCACAACCTCAGAGTCACTCAGCTAGTGGCCAGTCAAGACCAGTGTTCTGGTCTCTTGATTCCTGGCCCAGGCTCTGGACCTGCCTGTGGTGCCCCATGGCACTGTGGTCAGCCTGGCACTGAGAAGGCAGGCAACTCCACTTTACCCATAGGAATGGAGACAGCAATGGGTGGATGCTAGAATATGGGTAACAGCTGTTGTTATGAGAGAGGGAGACAGCTGCGAAAACAATGGATAACTCCACTGTAATAGACGGATAGTATGGATTCTGAATGTGTGGGCGGTGGCTGTCTTTTAAACAAGTTCTCCTTCCGAAATACTCAATTCGACCAATAGTGAAAGGCACCAGGGCAAATCCATGATAAGTGAGGCCCAGACCCTGCTTACAAGGAACTCTGACTTGCACAGCGCCGGGAAGTGGGTCCCACTGTTCCCTGAGTCTGGCTCGCCTTTTCCTACACAACAAGGAAGAAGTTGATTCTGAAACCCAGGTTCTTTACCCAGCTCCACCCAAACCACATCCTGGCTTCTTTCCCAGACAAGACAATCATCTTTTAGTCATCTGCCCAGGTGTCTGGGTGAACCACCTCAGCTCTCAGGTCCTTTTGCCCCAGCCCAGCACTCCAGAAAGGCAAACAGTGCTCTTGACCCACTCCTTTGAAGTGGGCCCCTTCCTGAACTGGACTGCTGGCCTGGCTTACTGTCCCCCTCACTTGGGACAACAGCTGCCAGCCAGGCTTGGGGGCTTCCTCCAGGCCCAGCTTGGCAGGACATGAATCAGAGCCTAAAGTGTCAAACCCTGTGCTTGGTCCTTGAGAACACTTCATCTGTCAACCACGGCTGTTGTAGCACCACTGACTAAATGCTCACATCTTCAACTGAGGCCAAGAACCTTCACTGTTCAGATGAGGAAACAGAGGTGTTACACGGGTAAACTATGATTCAAATGCAGGCTTTGTGACTTCAGGGCTCACATTCTTAATTGGCTCTCCAGAATATTACCTGCCGTCTGTACAACCTTGTGGTCTACACAATGACTACAGAGCTACATTGGAAGATGTCATTGCATTCTGCAGAAGCTGAGGTTCAGAAATGTCCAGTGACTAGCTCAAGATCAGATTGCTGCTAGGAAACAGAGCCAGGGCTCATCCCATCTGACACCAAGTCCAGTGTTCCTGTACCACATGCACCCTCAAGTGGGCACACAAGCAGGAAAGAACCTCACGAGGCCATTTAATCTTTGGCTGTTTCAAGGAAGGACTGGCCCCTGAACTAACACATCAGAAACAGATCCTCAAGTGGGGAGCTGAATGCTACCTGGTGTTCCTATGATCCATTCCTGCTCTGTTTACTCTCCCACTGCCTGAATGGCTAGTTCACACCTCCTCCCCTAACTGCTGGCAGAGGGAGGGGCCTTGCTTCCCATTTCACTAAGAAAATTTAAGCCTGGGCGTGGTGGTTCATGCCTGTAATCCCAGCACTTTGGGAGGCCGAGATGGGCAAATCACTTGAGCTCCGGAGTTCAAGACCAGCCTGGGCAACATGGCAAAACCCTGCCTCTACTAAAAATACAAAAATTAGCTGGGCATGGTGGCGCATGCCTGGAGGAGAATTGCTTGAACCTGGGAGGCAGAGGTTACAGTGAGCCGAGATTGCACCACTGCACTCCAGCCTGGGCGACAGAGCAAGACTCTGCCTCAAAAAAAAAAAAAAAGAAAAAAAGAAAATTTACGCAGGCTGGGGCACAGTGGCTCAGGCTTGTAATCTCAGCACTTTGGGAGGCAGAGACAGGAGGATCGCTTGATGCTAGGAGTTCAAGACCAGCCTGGGCAACATAGTGAGATCCCTGTCTCTACAAAAAAAATTATTTTAATTAGCCGGGCACAGTGGCGTGTGTCTGTAGTCTCAGCTAGTCAGGAGGTCAAGGCAGGAGGATCACTTGAACCTAGGAGTTCAAGGCTGAAGCGAGCCATGGTTGTGCTATTGCACTCCAGCCTGGGAGACAGAGTGAGACACTGTCTCTAGGGGGAAAAAAAAAACAAAAAACTAAAGCAAGCAGAAGAGTTTTATAGATGCACACCACATTGGGCAGTGACCAGTACCTGCACCCACATGCTCTGCCTGCCCACCTGACACCACAGGTGAACTCTCCTTGCTCCTGTCTGTGGGTGATTCCTCCCCTATCCATGTACTACATCCAGGAAATGGCTGCTGCAATTCTCTCTTTGCTTTCTTGTATCTTCTTTTCCTTCTCTTTCTCTCATTATTCCTCTCTAGATTATTACAAACGTGGTAAATTTTTTCCATCTAAAAAACAAAACAAAACAAAACAAAACAAAAAAAACCCCACCAAGTGTGGTTGCTCACTACTGTAATCCCAAACTTTGGGAGGCTGAGCCAGAAGAATCGCTTGAGCCCAGGAGTTTGAGATCAGCCTGGGTGACAGAGTGAGATCCTGACTCAAAAAGAAAAATAAATAAATAAAACAGGCCAGGTGTGGTGGCTCACGCCTGTAATCCCAGACTTTGGCAGTCTGAGGCAGGAGGATCACTTGAGCCCAGGAGTTCGAGACCAGCCCAAGCGACAGAACGAGATCCCATCTCTACAAAAAATTTTTTAACTAGGCAAGTGAGGTGGCGTTTGCCTGTAGTCCCAGCTACTTGGGAAGCTGAGACGGGAGGATTGCTTGAGCCCAGGAGGTCGAGGTTACAGTGAGCTATGATCATACCACTACACTCTAGCCTGAGTGACAGAGTGAGACACTGACTCAAAAAGAAGGAAAAAAAACAGGCCAGGTGGAGTAGTTCACACCTGTAATCCTACCACTTTGTAAGGCCAAGGCAGGAGGAATGCCTAAGCTCAGGAGTTTGAGACCAGTCTGGGCAACATGACAAAACACCCCACCCAACACTGTCTCTACAAAAAATACAAAAATTAGCTGGGTGTGATGGTGCATGCCTGTAGTCCTAGCTACTTGGGAGGCTGAGGTGGGAGGACTGCTTGAGCCCAGGAGGTTGAGGCTGCAGTAAGCTACGGTTAGGTGTAATGGCCTCACCTAACATGTCCTCTCACAACAGGCTGGCGAAACCTGGCCTCGCGATGGGATGGAAGTAAACAAAGAGTGCACTCCAGCCTGGGTGACAGAGTGAGATCCTCTCTCACAAAAAAACAGACATACACACACACACACACACACACACACACACACACACACAAAATAACAGAAAAAACAACTCTTAACTAGCAAAGTTCTTTGAGAGAGTTATCTTTATAGTTTCCAATTCCTGTCTGTCCACTCTTATTTGGGTTTTGTTGGTTTTTTTTTTTTTTTGAGACAGTCTCCCTCTGTCACCCAGGCTGGAGTGCAGTGGCACTGCGATCTTGGCTCACCGTAACCTCCACTTCCTGGGTTCAAGCAATTCTCCTGCCTCAGCCTTCCAAGTAGCTGGGATTACAGGCGTGTGCCATCACGCCTGGGTAATTTTTGTATTTTCAGTAGAGATGGGGTTTCACCATGTTGGCCAGGCTGGTCTCGAACTCCTGGCCTCAGGTGATCCACTAGCCTCGGACTCCCCAAGTGCTGGGATAAAAGGCGTGAGACACCACGCCCGGCCATCTGTCTACTCTTTTCCCCAACATCCTGTAATTATGAAAAATGTTAAAAATACATACAGAAGGTTGAAAAATAATGTAAGAATTATGCATTTACATATCACTTAGATTCACCAATTTTAAATATTTTTGCTTTATATATAAAAATATAAATATATATGCATCTATACATTTTTCCTATTTGAAAGTGAGTTTGAAACATCATAAAACTTGACCCCTAAATCCTTTAGCCTGCATCTCTCCTAAAGTAATCACAAAAGCATTGTCTCATTTTCTCTATAAACCTCCTCCAAATTAGGTGTCACACCTAGAAAAAGGCTCTACCAACATTTCTTTTGGTAAGTTCACCAATGATATGGTTTCATTAGAGCACCAGAGACATTTCCACAGCTGCTGACTCCCTCAGCCTTGAAATATTTTTTTCACTTGGCTTCCAGGACACCCTGCTCTCTAGGTAGCCCCTCAATATTTTCTTTTCTTTTTTTTTTTTTTTTTTTAGAGACAGTCTTGCTCTGTTGCTCAGGCTGGAGTACAATGGCGCAATCTTGGCTCACTGCAACCTCTGTCTCCCGGGTTCAAGCGATTCTCCTGCCTCAGCCTCCCCAGTAGTTGGGATTACAGGCACCTGCCACCATGCCCAGCTAATTTTTTGTATTTTTAGTAGAGACGGGGTTTCACCAAGATGCCCAGGCTGGTCTTGAACTCCTGACCTCAGGTGATCCATCCACCTCGGCCTCACAAACTGCTGGGATTACAGGCATGAGCCACCGCGCCCGGCTCCCCATCACATCTGATTGTTCACTTTTTCACTGTCCCTTTCCTGATTCCTTCTCTTCTCCCCAACCTCTTCATGCTGAATGTCCCATGGGCTCTGGCCTTGGTCCTCTTCTCTATATTCATTCCCCCAGTTATCTCTTCAGTGCCATGACTTTAAATACCATCCATAGGCCGACAGCTCACACATTTATCTCTCTAGCCCAGAACTCTCTACTGAATTCCAAGCTGAAATATCCAACTCCCTCCTTGACATCTCCACGTGGATACTAATAGAAATTGCCAATTCATGATGTCCAAAAGAGCATTTCTGATCGTCCTGCCAAAGCCTTTACTTACTACCCACAACCTCCCCAATCTGAGTGGATGGCAATTCCAATCTTCCAGTTTCTCAGGCCAAAAACCTTGGAGTCATTCTTGACTACTCTCTTTCCTTCATACTCCACATCCAATCTATCCAGGAACCCTATTAACTCTATTTCTGAAATAAATTCAGAATCCAGTCACTTCTTACCACTTCTCACCACTTCCATCACTATTACCCTGGTCTAATTCACCATCTTCTCTTGTCTATATTACTGCTTTTTTTTTTTTTTTTTTGAGACGGAGTCTCACTCTGTCACCCAGGCTGGAGTGCAATGGAGCAATCTCGGCTCACTGCAACCTCCCGGGTTCAAGTGATTCTCCTGCCTCAGCCTCCTGAGTAGCTGGGATTACAGGCGCACACTACCATGCCTGGCTAATTTTTGTATTTTTAGTAGAGACAGGGTTTCACCGTATTGGTCAGGCTGGTCTCAAACTCCTGACCTCGTGATCTGCCTGCCTTGGCCTCCCAAAGTGCTGGGATTACAGGCATGAGCCACAGCACCGGCCTGCCTTTTTTTTTGATGGAGTCTTGCTCTGTCACCGAGGCTAGAGTGCAGTGGCATGATCTCGGTGGCTCACTACAACCTCCGCCTCCCGGATTCAAGTGATTCTCCTGCCTCAGCCTCCCGAGTAGCTGGGACTACAAGTGCATGCCACCACGCCTAGCTAAGTTTTTGTATTTTTCGTAGAGACGAGGTTTCACCATGTTAGCCAGGATGGTCTCAATCTCCTGACCTCATAACCTGCCCACCTTGGCTTCCCAAAGTGCTGGGATTACAGGCGTAAGCCACAGCGACTGGCCCTTTTTTTTTTTTTTTTTTTTTTTAACAAGATTGGGTCTCACTCTCTCACGCAGGCTGGTGTGCCTTAAACTCCTGGACTCACATGATCCTTCCACCCCAGGCTTCTGAATAGCTGGGACTACAGGTGCACACCACCACATCCAGCTTTTTAAAAAAAATTAGATGGGGTTTCGTGATGTTGCCAAGGCTGCTCTCAAATTCCTGGCCTCAAGTGATCCTCCCACCTCCACCTCCCAAAGTGCTGGGATTACAGGTGTGAGCCACCGTGCCCAGCCTGATATATATGTTTTTATATTTGTTGTGTCTAGTCTACCTTTCTCACTGGAACATAAATTCCATGGGGGCAGGAATCTTTGTTTTGCTCATGCTTTATTTTCAACACCCAGTACACTGAGTGCTACATAGTGGGTACTCAATAAATATCAGTTAAATAAATAAATGAATAGATAGATGTGATACCCCGCCTCTTGGTCAAGGTTTCCAGAAGGTGTAATGGCCTCACCTAACATGTCCTCTCACAACAGGCTGGCGAGACCTGGCCTCGCAATGGGATGGAAGTAAACAAAGAGTGAATTCTGAAATCAGTTAATGCATGCAGTGCCTGGAAAGGCTGGAGGAAGAGGCAGGCCTCAAGCTGGGGACCATTCTGAACCTGTCGCGCTTTGGGGCAGAAATCCCTCCAGCTCACAGAGGGAACTTGGAGAAATCCCTTCTAACCAAACAAGTTCATCAGGATCCAGGAAGTAATCTATGGTCACAGGACTGTTGCCTGGAGCCCCAGTGCTCTGACAAAGGGAAGGGTCAAAGGGTTGCTGATTCTGGGGGAAATATTGGCTGCAGTATTGAGGCCAAATGGACTTTGGACACTTGGGACCAGCTCTGTACAGTGGACCCTGGTGGAAATGCTTGGGCAGGCCCCCATCTTCACAGCATCACTGTGAAAACCAGCAAGTTGGTCAAGAAGCTGGATAAGCAGTTCCTTGGCTTACCTGCTTCTTTGCTCTGGGCCTACTGCAGGGAGGCTGGACCACTTGAGGAGGCAGATGATCTTGATCTCTGCATCCAATCATGAACAAGGTTCTCTGATGAAGAGGGGCTAAATGGCTGAAATGGGGTATCACTCAGAAAGTCACAGCCTTCTCCAAGCACCATGGAGGCTACCCAAGTTACCTGTAAATACATGGGGCCTGGCCAGAGAAATGGGGAGGGCAGTGGTGATAATGTGCAGAACCAGGAAGAAGGCAGGTTCCGACACAGACTGAAGGCTGCTGAAGTTTCCAAGGACAGGGGTATTACTCACCTGCCTAGCAGCCAGGGCCTTATTCTGCAACGTTTCCAGGCCCAGAGCTGGGTGGCAGTCAGGAGCTACTGGCTGTCCCCCGACATCTCTCCCAGAATCCAACCAGAGTGAGGGCCTCCTGTAAGCAGGTCACGGTGGAGCCTACTTCTCACACTCTTATCCATCTCCCTCCTCCCTTCCCTTGGGCAGGTGGATCCTGTGAAACTGCGCCAGTCTATCCGCACAGTTCTTTTCAACCAGTGCATGATATCTTTCCCCATGGTGGTCTTCCTCTATCCCTTCCTCAAATGGTGGAGAGACCCCTGCCGCCGTGAGCTACCCACCTTCCACTGGTTCCTCCTGGAGCTGGCCATCTTCACGCTGATCGAGGAAGTCTTGTTCTACTATTCACACCGGTGAGCAGGCCCTGCCTGAGGCACAGCTGGCTCCTCATCCTGTCTAGGGCTCACTGATCAACAAGGAAACTGAGGCCAGGTGCAGTGACTCACGCTTGTAATCCTGGCAATTTGGGAGGCTGAGGTGGGCGGATCACTTGAGCCCAGGAGTTTGAGACTAGCCTGGGGAATGTCAGGAGACCCCGTCTCTACAAAAAAATTTAAAAAATTAGCCAGGCATGGTGGTGTGTACTTGTAGTCCCAGCTACTTGGGAGATTGAGGTGGGAGGATCACATGAGCCCGGGAGGTCAAGGCTATAGTGAGCTGTGATCACACCACTGCACTCCAGCCTGGGCGAAAGAGCAAGACCTTGTCTCAAAGAAAAAAAATAAAAGGGAACAGGCTTCTGAATTGAGTGTAGGCCAGTAAAATACTCCCTGGCCTCAAGTGTCCCATTAAATAGTTAACAGGGAGACCACTAGTTGTCTCATAACTGACAACTTGGGACAACTGAGGAATGAATGTCCAAAAGAGAAAAGGCCTCTCTGATTGTGTGGGAGCCAGGGCAGTTTCCCATTCATTTCCTTATTCAGTCCTTTCTGGGCAGCATCCCATTTTACAGCGAATACAACTGGCATAGAGAAGCAAAGCAACCCACTCCCAAACTATGCAGTATAAGGGCTGGGGTTGAAATTTGAAGGCAGGTCTTGGTGTTGTTAACTTTGCTCCATGGATGTAACCCCTAGTTCCTATTTTTGGTTTCTCATGGTCTGGTCGGGGAGGGAGAAAGAGGAATCAGCAGGTTATTAACTATTAACTATTTCCCCAGGCTCCTTCACCACCCAACATTCTACAAGAAAATCCACAAGAAACACCATGAGTGGACAGCTCCCATTGGCGTGATCTCTCTCTATGCCCACCCTATAGAGCATGCAGTGAGTAGAGCTCTATGCTCCCCAGAGCAAAGGGCAGATGGCCCCAACCACCTTCCTGAAGGTCTCCTGCAGAGAACTTAGACCACACCGGCCCTTTTTCTTCCCATTTAAAAATAGCTACCATTTATTGTCAGCCTTCCATATGCCAGGCTATGTTAAGTGCTAACACAGTTGTCTCATTTAATCATCCCAACAACTTTCTTTTTTTCTTTTTGAGACAGGGTCTTGCTCTGTCACCCAGGTTGGAGTGCAGTGGTGTGATCATAGCTCACTGCAGCCTCCAACCCCTGGGCTCATGTGATCCTCTAGCTTCAGTCTTCCAAATAGCTGAGACCACACGTGTGCACTTCCAAATAGCTGAGACCACACGTGTGCACCACCAAATCTGGAGTCTCACTGTGTCATCTTGGCTGGAGTGCAATGGCATGATCTCGGCTCACTGCAATCTCCCGCCTCCCGGGTTCAAGCCATTCTCCTGTCTCAGCCTCCTGAGTAGCTGGGATTACAGGCGTGTGCCACCACGCCTGGCTGATTTTTGTATTTTTAGTAGGACAGGTTTTCACCATGTTGGTCAGGCTGGTCTCAAACTCCTGACCTCGTGATCTACCCGCCTTGGCCTCCCAAAGTGTTGGGATTATAGGAGTGAGCCATCGCACCTGGCCACATCTGGCTAATTTTTAAATTTTTTTGTAGAGTCGGGATCCTGCTATTTTGCCCAGACTGGCTGGAACCCCTGGCCTCAAGCAATCCTCCCACCTCTGTCTCCCAAATTGCTGGGATTACAGGCATGAATCACCACACCTGGCTCCTCCAACAACCTTTTTAATCTTAATTTTGCTAACAAGAAAGTTGAGGCTCAAACTGCGTAATTTGTCCCAAGTTACAAAGGTGAATGCCTTCAACAAATCAAAGTCCCGAAACTCTCACCTTCTCCAGATCTGGGTCAAGGAAGTTTGCCTCTGGTACCACCTTGGGACTAAGTGTATACCCAACTAAGTCCCTTCATCTCCCTGGACCCTGCCTTCAATCATCCCTCCTCTTGCAGGTCTCCAACATGCTACCGGTGATAGTGGGCCCATTAGTAATGGGCTCCCACTTGTCCTCCATCACCATGTGGTTTTCCTTGGCCCTCATCATCACCACCATCTCCCACTGTGGCTACCACCTTCCCTTCCTGCCTTCGCCTGAATTCCACGACTACCACCATCTCAAGTAAGGACCTTCTCCCCACAATGGGTCCCTAGGCAACAACCATCACCCTCCCTCCTTAAGCTTCTGATAGCAGGCACTGGTATCTCAGTTTACATGTGAGTGCTAGTTGGGGAAGAGGTCTGATGGCTGGGAAAATAACCACACTGGGATGACCTTACTCTTTTCCTTCTGAAATTGGGTCCTCCTCCAACTGGGGGTTTTAAACCTTTATTTGGACTCTGGGCCCTTTGAATAAGCTCTGGACATTCTCTTTAGAAAAGTACATATATGCATAAAACTCCTGCAGGCAATCACAAGGAAGTCATGTATCTCTGAAAGCCCCAGACTTTTTCAAGTGTAGTCTACAAACCTCCTATACCAGAATCACCTGAGATGCTTGTTTAAAATATAGGCTCTTGAATTCCACTCCAAATATGCTGAACTAAGGTATCTGGGGGAGCAGGGCCTGGAAACCTGCATTTTAGTTAAGTGTTCCAGGGGATTCTGATGCTGGTGATCTCATACCTGAAGAAGCCTAGTTCTGCTAGAGATTCTCAGACTGTGGGCATCAATCACACAGCAAGCTTTTCAAAGGAGGACTCCAGATACGGCAAATTGCAGGTTTGGAGTGGCCCCCGGGAGATGCATTGGTAGCAACTCCCCAGCTTATTCTGATGCAGATGGTCAGGATGGTGGTGACAGGTGTGGGGTAGGAGGGCTGAGAAATGTGTGAGGCTGGCACAAATGAAATGGGATCTGCACGGAAGCCTCCAGCATGGGCACTGCAGTGCCGTCCTCTCTCTTCTAGGTTCAACCAGTGCTATGGGGTGCTGGGTGTGCTGGACCACCTCCATGGGACTGACACCATGTTCAAGCAGACCAAGGCCTACGAGAGACATGTCCTCCTGCTGGGCTTCACCCCGCTCTCTGAGAGCATCCCAGACTCCCCAAAGAGGATGGAGTGAGAGACAGCCTAAGTGTCATCCTGGCTGTCCCTCAGCCATGGGATGCAGACACGGCTTCCTGATTGCACCTAACAATTTGCCTCCTTCGGCCACACGCCCTAATGATGGCACCACCAGGGTAGAGGGAAGGTCGGCTTCCCGGAAAAGCAGGGCCAAGGATGAGGCTTTCTTCAAACTACTGCCCTTGATGTCCCTCAATGGGATCAGGAGTTAGCTTAAGAAAAAGGAAAACACAGCTCCCCAGACTGGAGGCTGGTCAGAGGGAGGAGACCCCTGGTCCTCTGCTGTGGAAGGAGAGGGGTTCAGCCCCAGATAACTCCTTTGTGGCCTGGGCAGGATGCAGAGAATGACAAGGCTGAAAGGAGGGGGACTGGAGGCTGCCTGGCTCCAGCGAGAGCTCCTTCTGGGACCAGAGGGTGGGACGGCCAGGTATCACTTTGCCCCTTCCTGCCCCAAAAGGCTTTCACATACCCGACTCAGGCCAGAGCCAAGACACCCTGGCAAATCATTATAGGTCTCAATTCATGACATACCAGATGCCAGTCGCCACTTCACCCAACACACACACAAACATACACACACCAAACACTCTGAGTGAGTGGTAAAGGCCCCGTTTTAACTCTGGCCCACCGCAAACAAAAGGTTTCCCTCTGTGGGGGAGAAAAAGAAATCCAGGAGCTCCTCCCTGGATTAAAACCAACGAGGTGCAGACCAAACTTTAACACCTTTAGCCTTATGTGGAAACCAAAAACCAACTGCTGGGAAACTGTGAAAAGCCCTTTTACCCACAAGGGGAGGGGTCAAAGTTGCTGCCCTTTGGGGACACCCGAGACCCCTAATTAGCCTATCTGAATGAGGACCAAAGGTTAGAGCCCTCTTTCTCCCCGAAGAAAGAGCCCGGAAAAACATGGCAGAGCAAAGAGCAAAATCCTTTCTCCCCCGAATGCTTTACCAGTTTCTCAGCAACATTTATTCAAGATGATTTTTACCAGGAACCTTATCAAAGGCAAAACCACAGCTGCTTGGGTTGAAGTCCCCATCCTGGCCTCCTCTCAGCCGCCAGACATGGCCAGGAACCCTGTGGTTCCCAAGAACAATTTAAAGATCACTCTTTGATTTGAAAGACCACCATTATCATTTTACTAAATTCTTATATATACTTGTGCCTTTTCCAACTTTCAGTTCTCTTAAGAAAAACATCCACTGTAGCTTTATAAAATACCTTAGTATCAGCTAGGTCCAAGTCTCCAGGCAGGACTATCAAAATGGACTCCTTCTTCCTATCAGCTCTAGAACCCCAGAGGACTTGCCCAGTAGGCCAGCTGAGCACTTACCAGGCAGCATCTCCCTGGCCTTCCACAGTCTCGCCTGTCTGTCTCTGGCCTTGGTGGACCTGGCTCCCTCCCTAGGAGGCTTTTGCCCTCAGCTTGAATACAGTTCCTGGTGCATCAAAGCTGTAAGTTCTCAGCTGCTGGCCTGCACTCATCACCTCTTCCTACAAATAAACATTTGGAAAAAAGTCCATCTTCAATATGCTTAAAGAGAAGGGTAGGAGATAAGGAGAAAGAACAGATACGGTTTTTTTCCCCTTTAAGGCCTTTAGATTTTGAGGTACTGTAAGGGGCCTAGAAGGACAAAAGGCTTTCATTCCCTCTTCCTTTTGGCAGGCAGGTTATCAGTCCTTGGCAGAAGGGCCCAGCCCTATCCTTTTCTGTATCAAACAAAATCCTTGAGGTTGGTATACAAGTTAAGGCTGAAAAAAGGCCTTAAATTCCCAGTAAAGAATGTGAAAGCAAGCATGTAAAATAAACTGGTCTTCATGAATTCCAGTGGATAATTTTTTTTTGAAGGGAGGTGTCTACTACAAGACTTCTAATACTTCAGACATAGCATTTGGAAGCTCAGGCTGTGAAATTAAGCTGCTGTGAGCATTCCTAACGATAATTTGTGAAAGTAAGTTTCAATTAATTCATCTTTCTGTTTTCAAAGTACCAATCCGTCTGCATCAGCCCTGGACACTATCTCCTAAACTTTCCTTTGGCCTGTGGAGGTCACTGGTGGTACTGAAGTACCTGCCAACCTCAAGAACAGTGAAAAAGCACTCTCTGGAAAAACCATTTACCCAAGCCAGGTATGGGAGACAGTTGTCAGATGAACACGTAAATAAGGCCATGCCCCATTTTTAGTTTTGTAATTTATACGGGGAATGGGGGACTCTTTGTTCCATCCCTCCCCAGCATCACATCTCAGGGTTCGGGGCTGACCAGGATTCCGTAAGTCCACATGGTGCTGGATCATTCCTCCTTCACCCCCCTGTGGAAAAGTCTGTTCATAGAGGGGTTGTGGCAACCCTCCATAAGAAGCCTCATCGTTTTTCTTCTTGGCTGTCTCATAACACAATGCAGGCCACAGCCAGGGGATGGAAAACCTGGAAGCTGACAAGTGCGCTGAAATCCTGGCATTATGCTGGACTGCTGTTTTGTGGCACTGGCTATGACTGTCACGTCTCACTTAAGACACAGGGTGGACATGAACTCAAGGCTTGTAGAAGCCCCTGCCTTAGGCAGACTCCTCGAAGCCCAATGGCAGAACCCCTGCCGAGGTTTCATGTGCACATTGAGTGCAGGGTTCCTCCGGATCTGGGGGAACTCTACCAGAAACCCATCCTTCACACCCAATAGCAGTAACCTAGATGGAAGACCAGCCAGTATTTTGCCTTTTCAAGTGTTTATTTTTATACATTTTTTTGTATTAAAAAGAAAAGCATAATTACCACAAATTACAAAGGACTAAAGCAGGACTAGAATAATGAATGAATCACTTCAGCCTGGAAAGCAGATACTCTCAATAATATTAATGTTATAATACAAGCTCATTCAAGTATTTTACATTTTTTTGTCCTTTTAAATATGATATCCTAGCACATAGTAAAGATAATGTACTACGAGCGTAAGGTGGAACCTTCTCCGCAAAGCCAGATGACAAGTTTTCCTCTCCAGTGAGAAATGGGCTCCAAGTTCTTATCTTCTCTGCCATCAGCATGGCTGAAGGGGGAGAGGGTGGGTGTTAGGGAAAATCCAGGGACCCTTCCACACAGGAGGTACTCTGGGGTTCCATTCAGGAGGGTGCCAGATAATTCAGATCACTCTACCCAGGCTTTTTGGCAAAAAACAACCCTCACCCTCCGTAACTAGTCATCTTCCTTGTCCCTCCTCCTCACTTCCCTTCCAGGGCCTTCTAAGCAGCTTACTTTCTTTTGTAAAATCAATCACCAGGAAAGGGGAAAAAAAAAAAAAAAGAGCTACAATGGAACAAAACAAAAACATTTAACAACTTTGACACAGGGGCTCAGCACCTCTATCTGAGCCCCAGGGGTCCAGGCTGGGGCACGGCTGGATGGCCCTTCTCTACTGGTAGTGCCTTTGCTCCCAAGTGCAGGAAGAGGGCTAAAGAGAAACCTGCCCCTTAACAGGGCTGAGGCACACAGACCTGCTGATGTCTGATGCCCAGAGGTTATGTTGGCATGGACCAACCTTGGAAGGGATAGGATGAACAGAGGGATCTGGGCAGGCTGTTGCTTTATCTCAGGTCTTGGATCCCCATGGGACGATGGTAGGTGTGAAGTGGTTAGCCCTGATGGCCCCTGCCACTTCTGGCATGCTTGTCACAGATACATCGGTCCTAAATTCAAGTGTCTTCAGAAAGTGAAGATGTAAACTACTCTTTGCAACATTAACTCCTAACATGTTACCAAAAACAAAAACAAAAACAAAAACAAAAAAAAAGGAAAGAAAAGAAAAAGCTCCCCTACCAACCACCAGCCGATGTTGAGATGAAGTCCTCACCTCCCTGCCCCAAAGGGGCTTCCTTTCAGGGATGTCTGTGAAGAAGATGGCAGCCCCCTGGCCTGGGAGTAAACTCTAGGTAATAACAGCCTTTCCCCATACCCTAAGGCTTCCTTGTGCCCCAAACCAGCAGAGGAAAAACACTGAGGTTTCTGTGGTGCTGGATACAGTACAGGGCTGCGTGACCTGAAGGAAAGAAAGGAAAGGAGAAGGGGGTCCAGGAATCCAGTGTCCGGTACAATGTGGGGCAGGCACCAGACTGGGCAGGGAAAGGCCTCGGATACCACCATCATAGCAGAGACCAGACGCTCATCCTTGGTTTGAGACATGAAGTCACAGGAACTGAGATGGGCTTCCCACATACCAACCACTGGGAGGGCAAAGGTGGGGAAGGGCACAGGCTAAAAATTAACAAGGTGCCCAAGGTAAAGGGCAAGCCCTTGTCAGCCTGGGATACTGTCTCCTACTCCCAACCTTTGGGCCCAACAGAGGAACCAGTTGAAAAGGAGGGCCAAAGACATTGCAGTAAGTAAGCAACAGGACAATGAACTCCATGTTGCCCAGATCCCACTGAGAGTGAACGTGCAGTCATGCCCATAACCGACACACATCCCAGTCCATGTGGGTCAGTCCTTCATCACCCTCCCTGCCTTCTGACAACAGCAGACTCCAGCCATTCCATTATCATTCACAGCCCAACCCAAGCAGTCAGTGGCTGAAGAAAGAGAATCAGGTATACTCTATGTCCACATATACCTTCCTGCCACAGGGCTTCACCAACTGGCAGGATTCCCCCCAGCCCCCAACTCCTCCTCATCCCTTGTTCCCAGGCGGGTCAATTGGAGAGTGAGCAGAGATAGATGGCTTGCAGAAGGGTATGCAAGATGGGGAGACTCCACCAGACCTTAGGGAGAGAATGGCATCTTTCTCCACCTTTTAAGAGAGACAGAGCCTCCCTGAGGTCTCAAAGATTTTTCAGGGCAACACAAGAAACGTTTCCAAGCCTCAGCTGCAGGTGTTCACCTTTCCACTCTGGGGTGTGAGGAGATGGTAAGCTGAGGACAAGTGTGTTCCAGATGCAGGCCAACTCTGTTCTCCAACAGTTTGAACCAACTTGGCCTTGGGGTTCCAAGGGTAGGATGAAGGGTGTCACGGCAGGACGGGGCCTGGCGTGAGGCAACAGCAAGCAGAGCGAGGACACAACAGTGGCAGCAGTGTACAGACACAGGACGTCAGCTTCAAACGATGCAACAGCAGGGATATCTTGGGCACGGCTCTGATTCGAGCCACTCCCAACTCTCTTGCCTCCAGGATGGAGGCACTGTACATGCAACAGTCCAGAGAAAGATTCTAGCCAGTCCAAGCCCAGGCACATCCAGAGAAGGTGGGAGCTCTTCGGGTTGACTCCACCGAGGAAAACAGGCATTTGGGTATTTCAGATTCCCGCTCCACAATAAGGCAACTTTTAAAAAAATATTATTTCCAAAAACAAAACAAAAATTCCAAGGGGAGGGGAAAGACATTACTTTCTGTGGATTAGGTGGGGGTTTTCTGATTTTTTTTTTTTTTTTGGTCTTTTATGGTCGATTTTGTCTTTTTTCTTCTTTTTTCCCCATTTTTTCAAGGATGGAAAGGTCAGAGAAAAATAAAATAAAACATCTTTCAATAGTCTTTCCTGGTAAAAGCAGCGTCTCTCTGGGCTGGGGAGTAAAGGGTGTGGGGCAAGGGGAGTGGGGAGAGGCTGAAACCTTCCCCCAAACCCCAGTTTTAGATCCTTTGGTTTCCTTCTCCCAGAAGATGGCAGAAGGGCATGGTGGGAACAGCAGGGAGAAAATATGGTGATGACAAACCCCAGATGATCAAGGGGCTGATGCTCCTGGGGCCCAGAGGTACCACCAGAGCCTTCTATGAGACAGTGCTGGGCAATGGGGGGGCCCGCAGGGCCTTCTTGTGGGCTGCATAGTTGGCTTGAGGGGGAGCAGGAGGTTAGGGGTGGGGACCAGGGTTGCAGCCTACTAGCCTCGGGCAGGGCTGCAGAGTGATTTTGGTAATCCAGATGAACTATCAATAATTTAAAACTTGATATATATATATGTATATATATATAAAAATCTCCCCCCTTTCCCTCCCCCCTTAGAAGAAGCTAGGATGTCAAGAGTCATGGAGAGAGGAGGGGGAAGGGGATGTAGAGGCTCCTGCCCAGGGGTACCTCTGATAGCCCAAATGGTGTATACATTGCTACTCAGCACAAAGGCCTGTCCTAGTAACTCCAGGCCTGTCCCTTCATTGTCCCCTTTCCTGGGACTGGGCACCCCCATGGACTCTTACCCACCCTACCCCTTTCCCCCCTCAAGCCCCAGGGCTAAGGAGCTTTTCACTTTCCCAAAGTCTGTGTGTTCGAGTGCTGGCTTGTCCATTTGGCATCTTCCCGGACAGGCTGGCCGGTGGGTGGTGTAGGGGGTTGGCTGATCATGGCAGCAGGCCTGCTGGAAGACTGGGAGGGGCACCGCTTCCTGCCCTCACCGCCGCCACCTCCTGCTACCACTGAGTGTCGCTTGTGGTTGCCCTCCTCACCCATGGGGGGCTGCAACAGAGGAAGGAGTCACAGGTGATCAGAAGCACTATCTACGCCCTCTTCCTTGCCAGGCCCGTCTAGACACTTCCTACTTTCTACCTCCAAATATAGAAAATGAATGGGTTTAACCTTAAAAATAAATTATAAGTTATTAAGCGTTTCTTCATGCCAAGCCTTGTGCTGTTTTATGCACACTCTCTCATGGGGTCAGCATCACCCTTTGATGTGGACCCATGGACATCTGATTTTATAGATGAGGAAACTGAAGCACAAAAAAGTAACTTCCCCAGGGTCTCATAGCTGGTAACCGATAAAGACAAAATTTAGGTCTACCTGCCCCAAAAGGCCAGGCTTTTATCCAACCTCATTTCTGCTTCCCTTCCAAGAAGGGATCTCTTGCTCAGAAATGTGGAATGTGGCATGCAGTATGCTGCGACGTCTCAGCTCAGAAGGCCCAGATCCTTCTGGGGATCACCTCATTCTCTTCAAGGTCCAGAGGATCCTGAACTAAGACTCAGACCATGCTCCAGACTGGCCTTACCACTAACAAAGGTCTTATAACCCCGAAGACAGACGTTTCCTTCCCATTTTGGGAACCAAAACTGAGTCCTTGTTCCACCCTAATAGGTCTACTTATCACAAAGGTTCTCTGTGACTTGTACCCTGCTCCCCTCCCTTCTCCTCCTCAAGGGTGGAAATGCTTAAGAATAAAAGAAAACAGATTTGTGTTTATATTGAGAGACCTGAGTGGCTCTGCCATTATGTCACTGGATGGCCACGAACCTCAGTTAACCTAATAAGTCCTGTCTGCGTCACCACATAAGGGTTAAATAAGGTCAATGTAAAGTACCTGGCACATAATAAACACTTAATAAATGGCAGTTTTAAAATAATAAATGTGATGATTTGGCTGTGTCTCCACCCAAATCTCGATCTTGAATTGTAGTTCCCATAATCCCCACATGTCGCGGGAGGGACCAGGTGGAGATAATTGCATCATGGGGGCAGTTTCCCCCATCTTGTTCTCGTGATAGTGAGTGAGTTCTCACAAGATCTGACGGTCTTATAAGGGGCTTTTGGGCCGGGCGCGGTGGCTCATGCCTGTACTCCCAGCACTTTGGGAGGCCAAGCAGGTGGATCACAAGGTCAGGAGTTTGAGACCTGCCTGGCCAACATGGTGAAACCCCATCTCTACTAAAAATACAAAAATTAGCCAGGCGTGGTGGTGCGCACCTATAATCTCAGCTACTCAGGAGGCTAATGCAGGAGAATCACTTAAACCCGGGAGGCGGAGGTTGCAGTGAGCCAAGATCGTGCCACTGCACTCTAGCCTGGGTGACAGAGCAAGACTCTGTCTCCAAAAAAAAAAAGGGGGGGTGGGGGGGGGGGGCTTTTACTTCCCTTCACTCTGCACTTCTCCTTGCTGCCACCATGTGAAGAAGGATGTATTTGCTTCCCCTTCTGCCAAGATTTTAAGTTTCCTGAGGCCTCCCTGGCCATGCAGAACTGTGAGTCAATTAAACCTCTTTCCTTTATAAATTACCCAGTCTCAGGTATGTCTTTATTAGCAGAGTGAGAAGAGACTAATACAAAATGTTAAGGGCTAGTCTAATTGTCATTTACTTGCATTTGCCTTTTTGCTAAAAGGTTTGAAGGGAATAAGACAAAGAGACATCTCTACTACATTATAAACTCTCAGAAGGAAAAACTGAGCCTCTTTCCCTTATCTCTAAAGCACCGAGCACAGAGACATCCAATCAGTATCTGCTGAATCAATTAAATCACTCCAACTTCCCTTGATATACCCAGCAGTAATAACCCAGCCCTGCCACTGGATGTCACCGTTGAGGCGCTGCTCCAAGAACATAAGAGACCTGGGCATTAATTTATAAACTGGGGTTGGAATTGGCTTTTTCCAGAAAGAACAAATGTGTGTATCTTGGATACCCATCCTGATCAACTAGTAGTGGCTAACTTGGGCACAGTAGCAAGGAGGATGGTGAGATAGGAGAGAAAGAGCATTATGATGGTACCACAGAAAGGGTAAGCAGGAGCAACCATACAACTATCTCCAACTAGCCTTCATTGGCCACTCACTCTCCATTTTAAAGGTGAAAAAGCAAAGCCCAAATTGTGGGGAGCAGGGAGAGGGGTTCCTGGGCTAGGGGCACAGCTGGACCAGAATCCAAGTATCCTGATTCCTGGTCCAGTTTTCTTTCCAGGACAAGCAGAGTTAGAGAAAGAGTTTCACTTACATCTACTCGGAAGTCTTCAAGACGTCGGAATTTGCCGAGGTATTCTTGCAGTTTGGGGTCAATGTCCAAATTTTTGGCTTTGGAATATTTCAAGAAGGCCCAGAACTTCTCCAGCCCATACAGTTGGCCTGTAGGGAGAGGTACAGAAAAGCTGAGCTGGTGAGGATAAAGAAGCTCAGAGGAGAGAGGGAGGTGTTGTGTAATACACAGAAAGACCCAGGTCCAACTGGGGAAGAGGAGGCCTACATGACCAGGCCTCACTCAGATCCAACTCTGGCTCTTACCAGCTTCATAGTCCTTCACCGTTTCCTCCTGAAAATCCTTGAATATGTCCAGCCGGAACTTCTTTTCCAGGCCATAACTGTAGTATCGAAAAAGGCACTCCAAACCATATCTGTAGAACACAAGTCAGTGAAATCAGGGCAGTTTCTTCATCTGTAAAACGGGAAATGTGCCTGCATAACAGAGGAACTATGAAACAGTTTAAACTACATGTTATTTCTGTATTGAAAAAACAGCATACACGCTTTTAGAATGCTAGTCTAAGTGGGTCCAGCATAAAATGTTCAGAGATTTCCTGCAGTCAAGGAACTCTGTCCCCCTGCCACAGACATTTGTTTACTCCTATTCTTTTATGAAGTATCTATGGTTGCTTTCTGCTACAATAACAGAGTGAACGGAGTTGAGTAATTACGACAAACACCTTATGGCCAACAAAGCCTAAAGTATTTACTGACTCTTTCTAGAAAAAGTTGGCCAATCCCTGGTATAACTCTGCAAAGCCATTTGACCATGCCAATTAGTAGGTTTGTTCATTTATCTGACTCAGAAATTTCACTTCAAGGAACACATGCGGCCAGGCGCTGTGGCTCATGTCTATAATGCAAGCACTTTGGGAGGCCAAGGCACGCAGATCACTTGAGGTCCGGAGTTCAAGACCAGCCTGGCCAACATGGTGAAACCCCATCTCTACCAAAATACAAAAATTAGCCAGGTGTGGTGGTGGGTGCCTGTAATCTCAGCTACTCGGGAGGCTGAGGCAGAAGAATCGCTTGAACCTGGGAGGTGGAGGTTGCAGTGAGCCGAGATTGCGCCACTGCACTCCAGCCTAGGTGACACAGTGAGACTCGTCTCCAAAATAAAATAAAACAAAACAAAAACAAACACATGCCAATAGATTTAGATCTTTTTTTTTTCTTTTTTTTGAGACAGAGTCTCGCTCAGTCACCCAGGCTGGAGTGCAGTGGCACGATCTTGGCTCACTGCAACCTCTGCCTCCTGGGTTCAAGCCATTCTCCTAGCTCAGCCTCCCGTGTAGCTGGAACTACAGGCATGTGCCACCACACCCAGCTAATTTGTGTATTTTTAGTAGAGACGGGGCTTCACCATGTTGGCCAGGCTGGTCCCAAACTCCTGACCTCAAGTGATCTGCCTGCCTCGCACTCCCAAAGTGCTGGGATTACAGGTGTGAGCCACAGCACCCAGTCCAGATTTAGATCTTAACAGATGTACCAAACTGTTTACAGCAGCATTAATTAAGCAAAATACAAATGTCAACGAATAGAGATGCAATTAAGAAAAATCATGGCAAATCTATACAATGGAGTAATATAAGCTATTAGAAATTAATAGTAAGGCAGGGCGCGGTGGCTCACAAAGTAATCCCAGCACTTTGGGAGGCTGAGACAGGCGGATCACAAGGTCAGGAGATCGAGACCATCCTGGCTAACACAGCGAAACCTCGTCTCTACTAAAAATACAAAAAAAATTAGCCAGGCGTGGTGGCAGGCGCCTGTGGTCCCAGCTACTCGGTAGGCTGAGGCAGGAGAATGGCGTGAACCCGGGAGGTGGAGGTGGAGGTTGCAGTGAGGCAAGATCGCACCACTGCACTCCAGCCTGGGCGACAGAGCGAGACTCCACCTCAAAAAAAAAAAAAAAAAAGAAATAGTATAAATGTATACTTAAGGATACTGAAGAATGCTTACAATAATACATTATCAAATGGAAAAGACATGTTCAAACATGTTAGACGTAGAATGAGCCCATGAGTCCATTTTTGTAAACAAGTATGTAAATTTTACAACTACACATGCATACAAAGTCTGGAAGAGCACAAACTTCATAGGATGAGCTAAATACATTAAATATGCCAAGAAGAAACTAGGAAGCTTGATGGCAGAAGAACACTTGCTGTCTCTGGAATGATGGATGTTTTCATCAGCTTTTCCAAACTTGTCTTTTTTCATGTAGTTTACAGAGAGCACATTTTACATTGAAAATTGGGGAGGGGGTGGGGGTGTGGGGAGGTCTTTTTTTTTTTTTTAATAGAAACAGGGTCTTACTATGGCAGAACGATCGCTTGAGCCCAGGCTGGTCTCGAACTCCTGGGCTCAAGTGATCCTTCTGCCTTGACCTCCCGAAGCGCTGGGATTATAGGCGTGAGCCACCCAGCCAGGAAAAAAGGACTCAAGGTTTTTTTAATAGCAAAATATTGGAAACAACCTAAGTATCCACTAATAGGAGATGGACTAAATAAATCATGGTACATCCATATAAGACCATGTTACAGCCCATAAAAAAAGAACAACAAAGTTAATTATGTACAGATATAGAATGATCTCCAAAATATAGTATTAAACAAAAACAAATGCAAGGTGCAAAAAATATTATAACGTAGGCCAGCTTTTGCGTAAACAAAAGGAGTGGTAGTGGCATGGAAGACTACACAGATGTCTACTTACTTACATAGGGTCCTTTATAAAGGACCCACAAGATTCTAATACTGGTTGCCTGTGGGGAAAGACACCAGATGGGTGGGGGACAGGGATAAGACAACTCTTCATTATACAACCTTTTAAAATGTTTGAAATTTGAACCATGTGAATATACTGCTCATTTAAAAACAAATTTTTCATCAAGTATATGAATGAACATACACATGCAAGGAATTTCCAACTACAGTTCTGGAAGCAGACCAACTAGGGATCCCACATCATCCCTAAGCACCAGCCAAAGTCCCCCACCCAAACCTGCTCACCTGTAGCCTTCTTTGGCGTCCTCCAGAGCCAGCTGCTTGAACTCCTCATACATCTTTTTGTTGAAGTGATCTCGGAGGAAGAAGGACCAGAAGCGGAAGAGTGTGTTCATCTCCTGAGACTGGCCAATGCCCAAGCGTTTCCGCTCTGATGGGAAAGAAAGGAGGAAAGGCATGTCTCAGGTTCAGGCTGCCCTTGCTTCAGGGAGAAAGGATCCTGGAACTTAAGACTTGGTCCTTTCTCATGTACTTCCAAATCCCCTCACTCATCATCTGCCACTCAGTCATTCAGCAGATATCTATTGAGCACTAACCACTCTGCCCCAGGCCCTGATGCTGGGAGCTGGGCCTGTACTTTTCCAGGAGCAGGTGGCAGCAGCTTCTGAACCAGGCTGGCAGTCTAGCTCTTCACCTCAACTGGTACTACTTTCAAGTGCCGTCGAGACAAGACAAGGCATGAACAAATTGTTTGTAAATTCTAACAAACTGTATTTAGCTCATTACCAATATTTACCTCAAGAGTCCTACAATAGTCACAAGTACAAAACAGTAATATCAAAAAATGCACAACACCAAAAGCACAAGCAACAAAACAAGAGAAAATGAATATCATTAAAACAAAAAAATTTTGTGCATCAAAAAAGTGAAAAGATAACCCATAGAATCAGAGAAAATATTTGCAAATCACGTATTTGATAAAGGAATTCCTACAACTTAATAACTAGAAAAACAATCCAGTTAAAAAAGCATCTTGGCTGGGCAAGGTTGCTCACGTCTGTAATTCCAGCACTTTGTGAGGCTGAGGAGGGAGGACTGCTTAAGGCCAGGAGTTCAAGACCACCATGGTCAACATAGTGAGACCCCTGTCTCTACAGAAAACTTTTAGTAATTAGATTGGTATGGTGGAGCATGCCTGTAGTCCCAGCTACTCAGGAGGCTGAGGCAGGAGGATTGCTTGAGCCCAATAGTTCGAGACTGCAGTGGGCTATAATTAAGTCACTGCATTCCTGCCTGGGTGACAGAGTAAAACGCTGTCTCAAAAATAAATGTTAAATAATAAAAATAAAGAAAAATAGACAAACAATAACAAGTGTTGGAAGGATGTGAAAAACCAGAAGACTCACATATTGCTTTTAGAAATATAAAACGAAAATTTTATATTTCAATATAAAATTCCAAAATTTCCACTTTGGAAAACAGAGTTTAATTTTGTCAAAGGGTTAAACATGGTTACCCCATGACCCAGCAATACTACTCTTCTAACCAAAATAAAGGAGAAACTACGTCTACAGGAAACCTGTATGTGAATATGCCCAGTAGCATCATTCACAATAGACAAAAAGTAGAAACAACCCAAATGCCAATCAACTGATGAATGGATACACAAAATGTGATACATCCATACGATGGAATATGATTTGGCAATAAAAAGAATAAAGTACTGATGCATGCTATGACATGAACCTTGCTGTGTATTTGTTAGTATACCAAATATACTAAGGGGAAGAGGCCAGTAACAAAGGACCACATACAGTATAATTTATGTGAAATGTCCAGAATAGGCAAAATCCTTAGAGGCAGAAAGTAGGTTAGTAGTTTCATAGGGCTGGGAGGATTCTGGGGGTGGGGAGTAGTTTGCATGTATAATGAGTATGACTGGTAAGGGGCATAGCATTTTGGGGGTAATGAAAATGTTCTAAAATTGATTCTGGTGATGGGCACACAACTATATGAGTACACTTAGAGCTATTACATTGTATTCTTTAGGTATGTTCCATCATATGTAGATTATATCCCAATAAAGCTGTTATTACACATAGAGTAAGAAAGAGAGAAGTGAAGTGGATGAATCAAGAATTTAGCAACCACGTTTTGTTGAATGAAAGAGGATGAATGAGTTAATAACTACAGGTGACTAGATTGGTTTTGCGCGTCTTTACAGCCAACCTATCAGAATACTAAAAGAGCAGGGACAGACAAGAGCATCTAGACAGGCTCGTTCCTTACACTATCATCTAGAGAGGGGATCAGCAAACTACTTTTGTAAAGGGACAGAGAACAAATATTTCAGGCTTTACAGAAGACATATAGTCTCTGTCACAAATCTTTTTTTCTTACAACCCCTTAAAAATGTAAAAACTGTCCTTAGCTCCAAAGCCATACGAAAACAGAATACTGGCTGGATTTGACTCACAGGCCAGTTTGGCAACCTTTGTTCTAGAGAGCATATGTCACCTCTTACATACCCTTTTGTGATGGACAGTGGACTAGACCTGACAATGGCTGAGTCAGTAATCTTGCCAGAGATATGGAAATACTTAATTGACAGCTTTAATAATCAATAGAGGAAGATCAAAGAACACGAACGTTGTGAGTGCCATATCCCCCTAGCTTCCTACAGTTTAAAACTACCTGGCCCGAGTCTAACTTCAGTCTTTCTTGCTATAATGTCATGTCTTTTTTTTGCTCTGAAGTCAGAGAAAAGAGTCACCTATCCCCGTATCCCCCAACTCTTATACTCTGGGTCTAAATAACGGGCCCAGAGGCTCATCTCCTGCCCCCCACACTTCTTACCATTAAGGCAGCGCCTACGATACTTATGGTAGACGTGTTGTGTGAAGCCATTTTCCTTGAGCAGTTCATGGGAAGGATGCTGGAACTTGGGCAATGACTGAGGGGTACAGCCATAGCTGCCAACTGTAGGCGTCCCTTCTGAGGGGCTGGAGCTACAGAAACCACAAAAAATACTGTCACCAGGTTCCCCACAGCAGCCCCACCATGTCAGGAGGGGTCCCTCTGATCCGTTCTGTCAGCCAAGATCCATCCTCTCACAGGGTATCAAACAAGGAGGCCCAGTTACGGACCTTTAACTTATATCCATGGGTCTGATTAACTCTGCATCAACTCTCAGAGAGTTTTACAGAGGATACTGAGGCTTACAGAGATTAGGAGACTCATCCAGGGTCATAAGACTATTTAATGGCAGAAACGTGTCCAATGATAAAACTTGAGCTTTTAACCATTTATTAACTTTAAGCATTTAACCTTTTAATGAGCCATCATGGGTCAATCCATCTACAGTGAACCCTTGAACAACATGGGTTTGAAATGCATGGATCCACGCGTGGGTCCACTTATACGCAGATTTCTTCCACCTTTGCCACTCTTGAGACAGCAAGACCAACCCCTCCTTCTCAGCCTGCTCAATGTGAAGACCATGAGGATGAGGACCTTTATGATGATTCCCCTTTGCCACTCGAGAGAGCAAGACCAACCCCTCCTTCTCAGCCTGCTAAACATGAAGACCACGACGATGAAGACCTTTATGATGATTCTACTTCCACTTACTGAACAGTAAATATTTTCTCTTATGATTTTAACTTTTATTTTAGGTTCAGAGGTATGTGTACAGGTTTGTTAAGTAGGTAAACTGTACCTCACTCTCCTCCCTCTCCCCACCAAGTAGGCCCCAGTGTTTGTTGTTCCCTTCTTTGTGATTTTCTTAGTAATATTTTTTATTTAGCTTATTGTAAGAATACAGTATGTAATACATATAATATGCAAAACATGTGCTAATTGACTATATGTTATTGGTAAGGCTTCTGGTTAACAGTAGGCTTTTGGAGAGTCAAAAGTTATACACGGATTTTCAACTGTGTGCAGCTGGGCACCCCACGCCCTTCGTTGTTCAAAGATCAATTGTATATTTTCTTCAAAAGCATGCCTATTTGCAGTCTGTGCCATCTCTGCAGGGAGTAGAGAGCATTGGTCATAGGTAGGTGGCTCTCAAAGCTTGCTTTGGGAAACAGGAAACACACACTGGGGCCATCTTACTGAAATAAATAAAAAAGAGTGTGGGCCCTACCCCAAGAAGCAGGGTCAGCAGATACAGGTTGGGGCCAATAAATATGTATTTTTTTAATTTTTAAAACTTTTCAAGTAGCCTCCCAAGACATAGTAGGCTCAGAGAGACTGCCAGAAATCTGTTTATTCAACTACCTGGCTATTCTTCCTCAGACAGAAAGTAGATAGCCAGGCTTGGAAACCAATTCAGAGATTTTCTCTCTGCATGTATGAAAATCTGGTCTCACGTGACTGCCACACCACTTCTTTAGGAAAAAAGCCTACCCGTCATTCCCAGGTCCTGGGCTGAGCTTTCCACACCACTGGTTTTTTGAAAACCTCTTAGATGAGGGTCCCTTTAATTTTCAGACCAATCTTCTTGGTCCAGTCAATTTCATGGCTCGCCCACCCATCCCATAGGCAGCCTGATCACTCTTCCCCCACTGCCCCAGGTACCTGATGGAAGCAGTACGGGGCCTGTGCTCACGGGAATCCATCACCCAGCCCACATGGCTCTCCAAGGGTGGGTTTGAACTGTGTCTTGTCTTTCTTTTTCGAGGCATCTGCAAAGGTTAGCCCAGGGTTTGTTACTGTTTGTACTCCTACAACTCTGAGGAGCATCAAGCACTTGTAGGACTAAGATGGGCATGATCTCTCACATTTTACAACAGCATTTTCATATTCATTCTCGTATAAAGTTCACAGTGGTGAGCTAGGAACTGGTATGCCTATTTCAAACAGGTGAAGAAATCAAGGTTTGGGAATGCAGTGATTTGCCCAAGGACTCATACCTGGTCAATCCTCCTTAGGCCTTTCAACATGGGGTTACCACTCCCACACCCAGTATATTTTGCAGATGTGGCTACCTAATCCTAGGTAAGCCCACCAGCCTCAGAACACAGAGCAGGTGAAGGATTTAGCACTTCCTTAGCTCAGACAAGGCAAGGGAGAGAAGCAAAGCACTGGAATGCAATGAAGTAGACCCAAGACTCTGAGCAGCCCGACAGGAATGCCTCACCTTGGCATCCAGTGTCCGTCCTTCTTTCACCACTGGGTAAAACCGTGATGTCTGGCTTGAGTCTTTGAGCTGTGGTGTCCGGGGAGTGCGAGGGGTCCTGGTGTTGCGGTAGTTTGGTGACTCTGGGACAGTGGTTGGTAGAGAGCGGGCGATGGTGGAGGGCTCAGGAGCACCAAACAACTTGTTGGCCAGGGCATCCGTAGGAACTGCAGAGGCAGAGAGAGGAGTCAGGAAGCAGGGAAAGGCCTGTGGCATCCACCCCAGGATAGCCCCCAGTCCAAGGGCCCTAGATCCTCTCACCCATGTCAGGATCTCAGGTGTCTGCTTCTCACCTTGCTGGAACCGAGGTGGCCCAGGAGGAACTTCCTGGTTGGGATCCACAGGGGGCTCAGGGGTCAGTGTGTCAAACTGCTCCCGGCTGATCATATTGACCTTTTTGAAGTTCTCGACTTCTTGCTGCAGAGGTCATGAGATGAGTGGGGAAAGATGTAAGTAAGCAGGCTGCTCTAGCCTGTTTAAGGAATCAAGACTGGCAGGAAGTTGGAGAGGGCAGCTCCCACGTCGACATACGTGGAATTCTGGTCCCCAGGCTCTCAGCTGCCCAGTCACCATTCCTCACCCCAGTTACCTTGGCACAAGTGTGCTAGCCCAGAAGAAGACAGTGCTTGCCCTGCCCTCCCTGTAGTAAGACTGAGATCAGGCTGACAGTAGCTCCTCAGGAACTCACTACACACTCCCCCCTGAAAGCTCCAGTGTTTCCCCATCTCTCTTTCTGCTACTGCCTTATCACACAGTGGCTGGGCAACTCTCCTTCCTCCTTACTTCCAGGAAACACACTGCTACTTATTACAAAGGCTCACCCTAGGACAACCTACCACCAAACATACCCACTCTAAAATCCCACAACAGAGATGTTTTGACTATTTCCAGGCAGCAGCAATTTTTCAAAAGACTTATCTTTTCTCCATTTTCCATACTCAACACAAGCTTCTTAAAAGGCTTCTAAATTTTTAGATGCCTAAATATTTAAGACTAGAAATAACAATCTAACCCTTTTTCTGTTCCCCACAAAAGTGTCTAGCCAACTGTCAGAATATTAACTATGGATCCGCAGATAGGATAATAATCACCACCGCCTCACCTGAAGAGTTTGCAGTGTTTACACATCACCCCTCACTCCTAATGCCCAAGCTAGATGTCAGTCATCATCCCCTTCCCATATATAAAAATCCTGAGACTCTGAATTATAAGGACCTGCCTAAAATTGCACAGCTAATCAGGCTTCCTCTTCTCCGTACAATACAGGCACACCAGGCTCCACACTCACTGCTATGTCCAAGCCTCACCTTGATCTGGGAATACTCAGGTTCAAACTTTTCAGCCCACAGGTCCTGCTCATAGTAGAAGAGGCCATCATTAATGACCTTGGCCAGTTCGGCGCTCATCTTGGCACGCGAGGTGTGGTTGCCTGTGCGGTCCCCCCCTGGGTGCCGGCGCATGTAATGTGGTGTCTGGGTGACAATGAGGATCTTGTTGACATCCCTGTCATCAATCTCATAGTCAGATTCCTCATCAGACCAGGCAGTGAAGGTGTTCTTCCGCCCATCCATCTGCTCCATCTCCTCGTCAAACAGAAAATCCAGTTCCTCTTGCTCATCCTGATCCTTGGACATCAGCTGCTGGGAAGGCAGCTGCTGAGGCAGAGAGGTCAGGTGGGAAAATCTGGACTCCTCTGACTTCTAAAATAGGACAGACGAAGGGGAAAAGGAATCACCAGAGATCCTTGGCCCAGATTCTGTAGCTATACCATGAGAGGGAAGCTCCAGCCTCTCAACATAAGACTGTTCAACTATGACCCTGGTAACACCAGCAGGTCACAAGCGTCATCCTGGGAGTCAGCTTTATGACTATGAGAAAGGATGTTTCATAGAAGTCCAGGTTCCTCCACTCACAGCTCATATCACAGTCATGCACAAACAACTGATGATGACTTCTCTATAGGCAGGAACTGTGCTCTCATTTACCTTTATATCCTACATAGCACCTAGCTTAGGAGTGGACACACAGAAGTTCAGCAGGTTGATTCATCCACTTATCCATCTATTCAACATCTCCCAATAAACTGGAAGCTCCATGATCCACAGCTGCCTTGCTTTCCATTATATACTCAGTACCTAGACGGGGATCTGGTAATACCAGATGTTCAATTATATAATAAATGAGGGAGTACCCATTAGTCCTAAGCTCTGTATGAAAAACCTAAAAGCAGAATAAGACAAGGTCCCTGTTACTTAGGGAGCTCAATGGGAGAAAGTCAACCAAACAGCCAACTGCATTGTGGTATGGTAAAGGCTATAAGCAGGTTTGTGGATGCACACAGTTAAAGGAGCTTAGTCAACTGTGACTAAGAATGGTTACGGAAGGCCTCCTTCAAGAAGTGACTACCACAGGATGAACATAAGTAAGCCAGATGAAGATAGGGACAGACTAGGCAGAAAGAATACCATTGTTCCAAAGGCAAGAGAAAACACGGTGCCTTCAGCAAAGAAAAACTATTTGTTTTGATAGACTGAATATGAGACGCTGAGAGAGAAGCATTTGTCTAAACCCACAGTATTTATTCAAAAGTAGATTCCCTGCTGTGCCAAGAGCACATAAACTCTAAACCTATCTTTTTTTAAGGTTTAAGATAGACCAGGTCAGAGTAGGGGCTCTAATTCTGGAATGGGAGCTAAGTCTGACCCCTGTTTCAAACAAAACTTTGTAGGCCTGGACTTTGTAAAACCCTCATCTACTTACTACCTTTCTCCTCATGTCTCTGGCTGGATCTCCAACACTTTTTGAGGGCTGAAGCCACAACTGTGGGGAATTCTGTGTATGAACAGGCAGGCAAGAGAAAGGAGATGAGAGGTAATCACTGTGGGAAAATAGATAAGGGAGTATAGAATTCCATAGACCCAAAGTTCAAGGTCAATTCTGCAGTCTCCTCACAAGCCCCAGGCCAGAGGTCTCCAAAGTGGGTGACAGTGAGCAGGTATGTGGAGAAAAATTCAGCACTTAAAAAGGAAGTAGTAATTTTAGTTAGAGATTGCAATACTTCTTTAACAGTGAACTTCATCTGTTTATATATATAAACTATTTCTAGAATATTCTAATGTCTCCTTCCTTTCATCTGCAGATGGAGAAACTGAAGCCTTGAGGTATGAACAGGCTTCCCAAGGTCACCTTGCCATTAGTGCAGCAGACTTGTGTAGACTAACTCCATATTTGGGCCATGCATCTGCTCCCTCTCCCTTCCTTCTTCTGAGGACCTAAGGGGCTTACATACATGATAGTGGGGACATACTCAGGGAAAAGACACCAAAAACGCAGCCCCAGAAATTTAGATGGAGCAAAAAGAAGAGCCAAGAATCAAGAAGCCAGAAACATCGCTGCCAGATGCTGCATGATCCCTTAAGAAAAATGTCACCGAGGAACTCACACAGTAGGGCGCCCTAAAGGGTGGTTCCCCACAGGAAATGGAAACAAGCCAAATCAACCTTTCTGTAGCCACTACTGGTAACTTCAACTCACACTATGATCCTGAACTACCCAGATTTCCTGCTGGCCCCTCAGAGCTAGAGTGCTGTGCCCATGTGTTATCCCCTTCAAGCACCCTAGCTCAGAGTGCTAGAACCAAGGCAAGGGACAAGGCCTCACCCACCTTGGGCCGTGCTGGGGATGGCCGAGGCCTCTTCTTCACTTCAATCCAGTTCTCAGAATCCAGGTCAGGCAGGCTGGCAGACAGGCCCTTGGGTAGTGTCTTTAGGTTGCTGACCTCCTCTGTTTTGGTTGGCACTGGGGTGACTGCACGAGGAGAGCCAGGTGCCGACTCTAAAGGGTGGAAAGGGGAAGTCCTCATCCCTCCAGTCCTCCTCCTGATGCCAGCCCTGAGGAGGACTGTTGCCCAGAGGACAAGGGCAATCTTCATGCCAGCAGGTACCTACCTGTCTCCTTTTGGTAGTGCTGACGGGGAACAAATTCAGGGCAGTTGAGAAGCTGGGAGAAATCAGTCTGTGAATAATCCACTATTGGGGGAAGAGGCCACTTTTCTGGTTCCTCCCTCCTACGAACTTTCTCATCAACGATCTCCACCACCTTGCTGTCCTTTAGGGCCTGAAGGGGAGGAGAAGGAAGAGGGGATTAAGAAGAAAATCTTGGACAGAAAGATCTTGGAAATGGTAGACAACTGGGTTCCCCTGAGCTTGGTATGAGTCCAATGCTACCAGTAATATAAGAAAATTGACACCATCTTCCACGACTGGTAGATAATGTGAGATGTTCAAACTTGTAGGAGGTACCAGCATAATAAATACACCTACCCTTTTACTCTTTGAGCCTGCAATCCTACTTCCAGTAATCTGCTCTAGAGAACACTTGCACAAACAGGGAGCAGTATGTATAATATCTGGACAAAAAGCCATTCACAGTAAAACTAGAGTAGAAAAAGAACTATAAAATACCTAACTTGCCATCGCATAGGCAATTTAAATATTTACAGCATATGCATGATGGAACACTACTCAGACATTAAAAAACTTTACAGGTCGGGCCTGGTGGCTCACGTCTATAATCCTAGCACTTTGGGAGCCCCAGGCAGGCAGATCACAAGGTCAAGAGATTGAGACCATCCTGGCCAACATGGTGAAACCCCATCTCTACTAAAAATACAAAAATTAGCTGGTTGTGGTGGCACACGCCTATAGTCCCAGCTATTCGAGAGGTTAAGCAGGAGAATCGCTTGAACCCAGGAGGTGGAGGTTGTGGTGAGCCGAGATGGTGCCACTGCACTCCAGCCTGGGCGACAGGGCGAGACTCCGTCTCAAACAAACAAACAAACAAACAAACAAAAAAACAACCAACTTTACATGTGCTGAGGTGGATAAACCCACAAAATATTAATCAAAAAAGCAGGCTGGGTACAGTGGCTCACACCTGTAATCCCAACATTTTGGGAGGTCAAGGTGGGTAGATCGCTTGAGCAAAGGAGTTCAAGACCAGCCTGAGCAAAATAGCGAGACTCTATCACTACAAATCGTAAAAAGGTGGCGCTGGCATACATCTGTGGTCCCAGCTACTTGGGAGCCTAGATGGTTGAGGTTGCAGTGAGCTTTGATAACACCACTGTACTAACTCCAGCCTGGGCAAAAGAGCAAGACCTAGTCTCAAAAAAACAACCAAAACATCCATCTATAGGAGCAGCAGTTGAAAAAACATGGAGCATTCCACACAATGGTGAACTATGCAACTGTACACAGGAATGAGGAATATCTTTCTATTATATACTGCTACTTTGCAGTTAGCTCCCAGATATATTAAGTTAAAACAAAAAAGAATTGAAGAAATGCCATGTGTTGTATATTTCCATTTACCAAGGATACAAATACATGTAGAGGCATTTGCTTTTTTCTTAAATGGAAAGGTTCTAAAAAGTTTGCCTGTAAGAGAAGAAAGGGTGTAAGTGACAGAATTTAAGTCAGACTTCTATGACTATACCATGCTGAGACTCTAGAACCACGTAAATGTTTTACACAAATGTAAAACAACTTAGAAAATTATAGGGGTAGGGAGAAAGCAATCTCTAAAACTTGGAAGCAAAATAAAACTAATATATATATCAATTTAAATGTGAAACCACACAAAGATTCTTTCAAATGACTTGAAGATACTGTATAAGTGGAAAAACTGTTTTCAGTGGTAGTGGAGGTATTGTAAGAATGTAGAGCTTGGCACAATGGCTCACGCCTGTAATCCCAACACTTTGGAAGCCGAAGTGAGAGGATGGCTCAAGCCCAGGAATTTCAGACCAGCCTGGGCAACACTGCAAGACCTCATCTCTACAAAAAATTTAAAAATTAGCCACACGTGGTGTGCACCTGTAATCCTGCTACTCAGGAGGCTGAGGCAAGAGGATTGCCTGATTTCAGGCGGTTGAGGCTGCAGTAAGCCATGATCACACCACTGCAATCTAGCCTGTGAGAGCAAGACCCTCTCTCTTTAAAAAATGTTTAAAAAAAAAAAAAAAAGACGGTAGACATACTGTGAAATAAAACAAAATGAGTAATTATGTTGGTATCATTAGGAATTAAGATTATGGGCATGGAAGAAAGCAGTAGGTAAAATAAAAGATCCACAAGTCTACGTAAAGACCCTTTAATAGAAAATACCAGAACAGGCCGGGCGCGGTAGCTCATGCCTGTAATCCCACCACTTTGGGAGGCCGAGGTGGGTGGATCACCTGAGGTCAGGAGTTCGAGACCAACCTGGCCAACATGGTGAAACCCCATCTCTACTAGAAATACAAAATTAGCTGGGTGTGGTGGTGCATGCCTGTAATACCAGCTACTTGGAAGGCTGAGGCAGGAGAATTGCTTAAACCTGGGAGGTGGAGGTTGCAGTGAGCTGAGACCATGCCACTGCACTCCAGCCTGGGCAACAAGAGTGAAACTCTGTCTCAAAAAAAAAAAAAAAAAAAAAAAAAAAAACAACAACAACAAAACAGAATAACTCCATGATGTATTTTATCTCACCAAAAAACAAAAAAATCATCTAGAAAGAATGACCAACCAAGTAGCAATAAAGCACCCCTATAACTCAGACTGGTATCTAAATACCATTTCCCAAAAGAAAGGAACTAGAATTCCTTTTAAAAGTGGCCAATTCCAGATCTGGGGCAGGAAATGTATAGGGTCCCACTGACCAAAGGTGGGACAATTTGATCCAATCCATTAACTGCAATGGACCAAAATAAATACGTTTGAGCCCATAAGCTTATAATAACAAATGATACGAAAACAAACCACCAAATCTCACTGGTCACCTATGAAACCTATTAGAGATCAACTCATAATTATGCAAACTGGCTAACAAAGGGAGGAAGATCAAACATTAATCTGCCCTTCCTGAACAAACTATACCTCTTGGTAACTGAACAGTTGATGAGGCAAAGTTACTTCTTGAAGAGGTATTCCACCTAATAAATGAAGACCGACTGACAGAATTAGTATATTGTCATTTTGCAATCCTAACGAACACTGCTGGCAGCTTATAGCACAAGAGAGACAATCAAATGAAATGTTATGTGCCACCTGAGAGAAAATACATCATTATGATAAAGTATTCTTGACAAGGAGGGGAAAAAACTTCAAAACCTGAATCTGATCAGGCCTCTAGATCACAATTTACAAAAAACTTGGAGTACAGATGAACATGTTAAAATGACATCCCTGTGCCCTGTGGAAAATCCTACAGGATGTACAACTTAGTCTATTCAAATAATAAACGGCAAAGAAAAAGAAAAATAGAGGCAAGAGGAGACTTAATAAGACAATACACAGGTCTTGTTAGTTTTTTGTAGAGACAGGGTCCTGCTATGTTACCCAGGCTAATCTTGAACTCCTGGGCTCACATGACCCTCCCCTTGGCCTCCCAAAGTGCAGGGATTATAGGTGTGAGCCACTGCACCCAGCCTATAGGTATTATTTGGATTCTGATTCTCACAAACTATATATATATATAAAATATATATATAATATATAAATACATAAAATATATATATAATATATAAATATATAAAATATATATAATATATATACTATATATAAATATATAAAATATATATATAATATATATACTATATATAAATATATAATATATAAATATATAATATATATAAAAATATATATAATATATAAATATATAATATATATAAAAATATATAATATATAAATATATAATATGTATAAAAATATATATAATATATAAATATATAATATATAAATATAAATATATAATAAATATATAATATATAAATATATATAAATGTATATTTTATATATAAATGTATATAAAATATATATAAATATATATAAAATATATATATAAATATATATATGGCGCCAATTGGGATGAATCTGAACTAAATATTTGATGATATTAAGGAACTGTTAATATGTTAAACTGTTAATTTAGGTATGATAATGATACTGTGGCTATTTTCTTTTAACAAGTCTATCTTTTAGAAATCTATACTGAAATATTTGTGAACAAAATGCTAGGTTTTCTAGGATTTTCTTCAATGTAGTATGTGAGAATAAACAGATGAGGGTACAGATGGAATAAGATTAGCCATAAACTGATACCTGCCGAAGCTGATGATGGGCTCATTATACTACTCTACTTTTGTTAAGTGTCTGACATTTTCCATAATGAGCAAGAGAGGGAGAGAAAGGAAGGAAGGAGGGAGAGGAGGAGACTAGCCAAGCCTTGAGACTTCAGCAGAAGTCATCAGATGATGACTCTTCCAGGGCTTTCTGCCTTGGCCCAAACTCCAGCTCCCTAAGGACCTTTCTTTCCCCTGCATCCCAGCTCCAGGGAGGAAGACATACCGCAAAGATGAGTGAAATGTCAGTGGTAAGGGCCTGCACTCGGTGGAAGGAAGCAATAAGGGTGATGGGTAGGAAACCATCAGCATCCATTTTCCTTCGCAGGAAGAAGTCTCGCTCTAAATTGTCCACGCTGAAGTAGTATTCACTAAGTGGAGGGAAGAAGTAGTTATCACCGAGGGATTGGTGCATCAGTTTTATGAGTATGCCTTCCTTGTTCTGCTACACACCCCAGCAATCTCACACAGCCTCTGACCTACCCCATCCTTATCCTATATACCAACAGTGTTGAGGGCTGAAAAGAAATGATGTGATCCCTTCATGACACCCTACCTTGCTTGGGTCAAATCACTCCCTCTGCCCTAAGCCCCTCGACATGCCTGTCAAACTCCTCATCCTCCTTTAAATTCCAGTCCAAATATTGTTGGTCACTTTCTCTTCTGCTCCTAAAACACTTATAAACACTCTATTGCAACCATTTATTTTCTTGTATGACTTCCTTACTGGACTGAGAGACAATATATCAGAGTGGTTAAGAACAAAGGTTCTATAATAGGACAGAAAAGGATTTAAATCTGTGCTTTGTTACTTACTAGCTGTGAGATTCTGTGCAAATTACTGGGCCGGTTTGCTTGTCTATAAACTGGGGCTAAAAGACTCAGCTCATAGGAATTCAACAGATAAGAACTGCAGGACTAAGATAATGCCTCTACAACAATAAACACTGAGCCTGGCCGATACTAAGGATTCAATAAATGTTAGTATTCTGTCAATGTTGTCATTACAAATGGAAGAACAGAAGGGGGTAGATTCTAAATATTTTCCTTCCTTTTTGTAATGGTATAGTTTCTAACTTTCTTAAGGTAAATGTTGTACCACTTCTGTAATAAACAATGAGAATGTGGTATCACTTCTTTAATAAACAATGAGAAAAGCTATCTTTTCAGCCTGAGGCTGAAACTGCTGCTAAGCACCAGAAGGGCCTGCCCAGCTATGACACTCTAGCAACCCCTAACCTCTCACTCATTTCTCCAGGGTAAGAAGGCTTCCGCACACTCACATCTGGCGCTTGATGTAGTCTTTGAGCAGTTCCTGATCCACACTGTAAAGCTCGGTGCTGCTGACATTGTCAAAGTAGTAGGTGATGTTGTTCATGTACTTGGGCGTACGAGGCCCCTCCACACCATCAAACTTTCGGTAGCCAAACTGGTAGTCAAAATGGGCTATGGGGGAAACGGGTGCCATGAGGGAGAGGAGATTCCTGCCCACCACCCCTGCTGCACACCCTTGGACATCCCGGAGCCCAAAGGGGCCTCACGTACTTCGAGTGCCACCCCGGCCGCGTCCCCGGCCGCGACCACGCCCCCGTCCACGGCCACGGAAGGAAGCCCGCGCCCCACCAGCCCCATCACTCTTCACACTCGATGTCTCATCCTGGTCGTGCCAGGCAGGCTCCGGTTTGATCTCTGGTTGCCAGGCTGGGGTGGGGGGGGCCACGGGCACGTAGGTGGCAGACTCAGACCCTATGGGGAGAGGGGTACCAGGTCAGGCCTGAGGGTGTCTCCCAAGTCCAGGCCCTCCATAGTGGGTAGTGCATACCTTTGATCTCTCCGCGATTGGCAGGTATGTGTCTAGGCTCCGGTGGGCGAGTGGGGCGTGAAGCCAGTTTCTCTCTGGGCACTTCAGGCTTCATGTCTATTTGTAATGGAACCCACTTGTGTTTGTTTCCTGGGAGACAGCATGGGTACATGAGAAAGGCTTGAGGGAGAGGCCACTCCTAGCCAGCTCTACCCAACTCCTCTTCTTCTGCCCTGGACTTGGGCCCAAATCACAATCTGGTTACCTTGGGCAGATCCCTTTCCCACACATTAGCCCTCTTTTTCATCTCTAAAATAAGCTGGTCAGTGGCCGTCAGTGTGTTAGAGACTCCTCGTTAACTCCCAAGATCAGTGTCTCCATGGCCACAGAATCCCCTTCTGGAGTCAGACACATGGCAGCCCAGGATGAAGACCATGCTTTCCAGAGTCCCTATAGACAGGTGCCAAAACACTGCCTACGAGAGCTAAGCTGAAGTAACCAACTCCAGGTTGAGTCCCTAAAAGGAAAGGGGCCACCCTTCCCTCTTCCTTTCCTCCTAGCTAGAAGAAGAAGGAAATAGGAAGCCATCAGTGATGATATGAAGAACCGGTGTACCACAGCAAGCTGAAGGGATTCAGGAGTTGCCATACCAGGCCTGGTGTATTTACACCAAGCTGTTACATCAAAGAAAGAAAGTTTTATCTTGTTTAAACCATGGTTACTCTAGATCAGCATTAGAGAAGCCAAAATTTCAGCAGGTTTTTTGAAAGGAGGGACTGATTAATGACAGATGGTTGAAGACTGCTATCTCACCAGCCTACATCCATCAGTTTCCCCATTGACTTTTCAGAGGTGGCACCTAAAGCTCCTCCAGCAGTCCCCTGGAGTCCTGACATTTCACAGTTCTACCCTGCCACCTTCTCCCAAGTCCTGCTCCCAGTCACTCACCTTTCTTCTTCTGCCCGCCTCGCTGGCAATCCTCATCTCCATTCTTTTCCTCCCCTGATTCATCTGATTTGGTTTTTGGACTCTCCTTACTATCACTCCCTTCTCCTTTCTCCTGTTCCTTCATGTCCTTCTTGGGTGGCAGTTTACGGGTAGGCTGAGGCTTGTGGGACTGTGGCTATAGCAGGAAGTAAAGTAACAGTGAGGTGAGTGTGAGTGCCTCATGGTATAGGAGGGAAGGCACTCCCTGTCACTAGAAGGGCAGGCAGGAGCCACAGCATGCAATGGCAGGCTGGATGGGATGTATTCTAAGGTCATTTTCACACCTGAGATGGTTTCAGTGGGAAGCATGGTCAAATAGGCCAGAAGGTGGGAAGGCAACTTATCTCTCCAGCTTCCAAGTCTAAGTGACAGAGACAACCTTCAGGACAGCGGTGCTGAGGCTCACAGGGGCAAAATTATTCCCTGCAACAGGGCCATGTTGTCTAGGTAGTCTGTGGGAAGGAAGAGATGCCCCCTGGCCTATCAACAACAACTCTGTCTGTGAAGTAAAAGCGGCCACAGCCAGTGAGTAAAGACTCTAAGCCACTGGCCAGAACAAAAGTGCTGGGAAGAAGAGAACTGACTAGGAGTCCTCTCTTTGCTAGGCCCCAAGAGAATTTTATAAGCTTCCCCAAGACATGTGGTCTGGAGGTCGGTGCTTGGCCTAATGACCACTCTCCTACTTCACTCAGAAAACCCAAGCGTAGTGATGGAGAACACAGGCTGGGGAATAATACAACACACCTGACTTCCAATCCCCACTTGGCCATCAAGGGCTAGTAATTAACCTCTGCAAGTCTCAGCAGCTTCATCTGTAAAATGGGGATTATAAAAGGACCTATCTCAGAGTCACTGTGAGGGTTAGATGAGATGATGAACAGGCAATTCAGCTGACCCTTGAATAAAATGGCTTTGAACTGTGTGGGTCCACTTATACACAGGACTTTAAAAAACCGAATGCAGAACAAAAATACAGTATTAGCAGGATGTGAAACCTGCATACACGGAAGGCCAACTTTTCATATATGTAGGTCCTGCAGGGCCAACTACAGGACTTGAGTATGCAAAGATTCTGGTATGCACAGAGGTCCCAGAACCAACACCTGCCACCAGCCCCGCCATGTATAACACAGGAAAACTGTACTTGGCAGTCTCTAACAAAGCAAAGGTTTAAATGATGACAGTTCTTAGCTATTTCAATGTTGCTCAGATTCTATTAACCACTAAGTTTAGAAAACAGAGGCTAGGGGGCTGGGGACAGTGGCTCACACCTATAATCCCAGCACTTTGGGAGGCCGAGGCGGGCAGATCACCTGAGGTCAGTTCAAGCCCAGCCTGGCCAACATGGTAAAACCTCGTCTCTAAAATATACAAAAATTAGCCAGGCATGATGGTGGGTGCCTGTAATCCCAGCTACTCAGGAGGCTGAGGCGGGAGAATCACTTGAACCTGGGAGGTGGAGGTTGCAGTAAGCTGAGATTACACCATTGCACTCCAGCCTGGGTGACAGAGTGAGAATTGCTTGAACCTGGGAGGCGGAGGTTGCAGTGAGCCGAGATCACACCATTGCACTCCAGCCTGGGTGACTGAGCGAGACTCCATCTCAAAAAAAAAAAAAAAAAACAACAAAAAACACTGAGAGGCCGGGCACGGTGGCTCATGCCTGTAATCCCAGCACTTTGGGAGGCTGAGGCAGGCAGATCACTTGAGGTCAGGAGTTCGAGACCAGCCTGGCCAACATGGTGAAACCTTGTCTCTACTAAAAATACACAATTAGCCGGTCATGGTGGTGAGCGCCTGTAATCACAGCTACTCGGGAGGCTGGGGGAGGAGAATCACTTGAACCCAGGAGGTGGAGGTTGCAGTGAGCTGAGATTGTACCATGGCACTCCAACCTGGGCAAAAAGAGTGAAACTCTGTTGGGGGGAAAAAAAAGAAAGAATGAAAACTGAGAAAGGTAAGAGCTGAGGCTCTCTGGAAGCTTGAGGAGCTAAATGTGTGTATGTCAAGAGACTTCAAACCTGCCTATTCTTCCACACAGACTCACCTGAACACTCTTGTGGGCTATCTCTCCAGGTGTGGGCCAATTGATTGCATCTCCAAAGTCACCAACCTGCAGGGAACATACACTATGAGGGCCCCAGGAGTGACCCTGTCTTTGCTATTCAGCCCCCGACCCAAGCTTCACCAAGAGATCAGAGGCCAAATCAGTCTGTTCACCAGGACCATTCACACTGGATACCTAGAAGGGGCTCCCCTGCAATTCACAGACAATCCAGAACTAGTTGGCAGTCCAGGAGCATTCACTAAAACAGGAAAGAGGCCACCAACTCCAGAAAGTCCCCTTGGGTTGCCCACTGTTATTCTTTACCTTGCTGCCTTTGCGCTGTTTAGGAACAGCTGCCCTCACCACCTTGGCTGGAGCAGAGTGTTCTGTGGGAACAAGAAGGGAGAGTTAGTAATGCAAAGCCCATGTGAGGGGGCTACTGCCAGCTCCTCACCCTCATCACCGTCCCCACTCCACCTAGCAACCTGCAAGTTCCCAAAGGAGAAAGACACAGTAGAGAGGGGAAAGACACGTGCTCAAACACCAATAACAATTTTACCAGCCCACTCCTGAAGAAGTCACAGAAAGCGCGATCATGCAAAGAGCCAGGAGCCAGCAGCCAGCAGCCAAAACCCAAGAAGTCCAGACTCAGGTGGGAGGCCCTCAGAGAGTACAGTTCCGTAACAGAGACTGAGGCCTGGAGAAAGAAGTCCATGCCACCAGAGTCAGGACTATAGCTCAGGGCTCCTGAATCATGGCAGATGTCTGATAGATCATTTCTGGCCCTAACATTCTAGAAGTTTGATGTGAGCAGACCAGGACTAGTGATCATTGGGAAGGCAAAGTAAAAACTCTAAGTGAGCCATCAAAAAATCTAGGGACCACACCAGGGCCAGCTGCTCAGGAAACATTTTTGTCTGCCTTCTCAGCTTCCAAAGAAAAAGTGGGCTCCCACTTGACTCAACAGTCCTACCTCTAAGAATTTATCCTAATGATACAAATTAGACAAGAGTTATGTACAGAGATGTCCTACTAAAATATTATTTATAACTTCAAAAAATGGAAAACAAACTATATACCCCAAAATAGGGGACTGACTAAAGTTCATCCATTTTTAGAAAAGTTATGAAAAAGATAATGATCTCTACTAATATAAAATGACGGACACAATAAATGAAAACTTTGTTTGTGGCCAGGCGCAGTGGCTCACGCCTGTAATCCCAGCACTTTGGGGGGCCAAGGCAGGTGGATCACCCGAGGTCAGGAGTTTGAGACCAGCCTGGCCAACATGGCGAAACCCTGTCTCTATTAAAAATACAACAAATTAGCTGGGCGTGGTGGTGGGCGCCCGTAATCCCAGCTACTTGGGAGGCTGAGGCAGGAGAATCACTTGAACCCGGGAGGCGGGGGTTGCAGTGAGCCGAGATAACGTCATTGCACTCCAGCCTGGGCGACGGAGCAAGACTGTCTCAAAAAAAAAAAAAAAAAAAAGTTTGTTTTGAGACAGAGTCTCGCTCTGTCACCCAGGCTGGAGTGCAGTGGCGCCATCTCGGCTCACTGCAACACCTGCCTCCCGGGTTCAAGTGATTCTCCTGCCTCAGCCTCCCAAGTAGCTGGGACTGCAAGTGCGCGCCACCATGCCCAGCTCATTTTTGTATTTTTAGTAGAGATGGGTTTCACCATGTTGGCCAGGCTGGTGTCAAATGCCTGACCTCAAGTAACCTACCTGCCTCAGCCTCCCAAAGTGCTGGGATTACAGGCGTCAGCCACTACGCCTGGCTAAAGTTTTTTAAAAATCCTTCTTGTAAAACAAAAATGTGCACATGCACACACATACAGTACAAACTCTAGAACGACATGTAAGAACTATCAGAAATTAAACATAACATTTACAGGGACTTCAGTTTTTCAACAAAGACAGACATGGGCTTTTATCAAAAACAAATGTCTTAATTTTTTTTTTTTTTAAGGAAGTTGTTCTAGTAGGTCCAGTCCCTTCTACATCCACACTTCTTTTCCCAACACCATTCTGAAAAACAAGAATTTCTGTGCCCCTTCCTCCCCCAGAAACCCACAGGAAAAGATACATCCTGTGGCTCTGCTCACCGACTTCTCCCCTATCACTTTGCCTGTACTGTTGGCCAGCCATGCCAGGGCGAGAGCTGCCCCCAAACCCCGAGCAGCAGAGAAATTTGCCCGGCTGGCTTGGAAAGGAATGTTCTAACTCCTTGATCAGACCCATGTTCCCTTAATGAGTAGAGAGTGTCCTTGCCTGACTCCTCACTGTGAGGCCACTGCTCTCCTGGCTTCCACCCCCTACCGGAGCCACTACCCCCTCAAGATACCCCACATGCCTTTGAGAGCTGGAGCTGTGGAACCCAGCCAACAGCATCCCACACCCCCAGTGCAGGGCAATGGTGAACCAGAAAATCTCAATCCCAAGAGGATAGAGTTCTTAGGCCCAAGGGGCCATTCTGCACCCATACTCCTGGGACTCCTGGGTTAGCCTGGATGAGCCTAATACCATCTAGTCCCCTGACAAAATCTTCTTCTGTGTCAAACCAGGACCAGGTTCATATATACCTACACTATGGCTGGTAATCACTTCTCCCAGTACCCAGCAACACTGTGTGCAAGCTACCAGGAGAGCAGGCCAAAGGGCCTGTGTACCACCAACGCCAACTTCACTAACAGGATGTTATAAAGAGAAATCAGGTAGAGGGCAAGGTATTCCTGAAGACTTTTCCTTAAAAAGGTGAGGCAAAGTCAGATCATTGTTTGATCACAAAAGGAGATGGTAAAGTATTGAAAGCTCAGTCTCCAATCAAAGTGCCATGAAAAGACCTCACTGATTCCCTAGTCTGCCACCAATCCCAAGCTGATGAGAATACAAACAGTCTGAGCATACACATGAATATTCTTAAATTAGTCCTGTGTGAGTTTGTTGAAAAAGGTCCATCCCCAGGTTCCTCTGTCCTGAAAACCCACGGTGCCCTGCTCTTTCTCTGCTCCCAGGTAGGGCTTCAGGTTGCCCCTGACAAGGAGAAAAAAACCCCCAGAAAGGCAGAAAAAGCCAATGGGGAGCAAGAGCCACTTCTGCCTTTAAAATCTAAAATTCATAGATTTGTTAAAATACTACTGGGCTTCAAGGAAACCCAGAATGGCTCAGATGAGCTGCTGTCAGGCCCTGCAAGAGACCAGAAAGACGACTAGGCTTTCTGATGAATTCAATTATCCATCTCAGCCACCAACCCTCACCAGGTAACCACTGGAGCACGTGTGCACACGTGCACACAGGTACACACAAGCACACACAGAATATACAGGTTCAGCTGGGCCTGGCATCTGTAATGGCCGCCAATGCAAACCAATCCTTTGCACAGGCACCAATCCCCATGTCCAGCACCATCCCAGCCAAATCAGGGGATAATTCTCCTCCTTCTACCCCTGCATTCTGAAACCTGCATGCCTGCTGCCACTGACCCAACGCCCAGTCAGGAAACACCATTCACTTGGTCAAGAAAACAGTTATAGCCAGACACGGTGGCTCACGCCTGTAATCCCAGCACTTTGGGAGGCCGAGGTGGGTGGATCACCTGAGGTTCGGAGTTTGAGACCAGCCTGAGCAACATGGAGAAACCCCATCTCTACTAAAATTACAAAATTAGCTAGGTGTGGTGGCACATGCCTGTAATTCCAGCTACTTGGGAGGCTGAGGTGGGAGAATCACTTGAACCCAGGAGGCAGGAGGTTGTGGTGAGCAGAGATTGCACCATTGTGCTCCAGCCTGGGCAACAAGAGCAAAATTCCATCCCAAAAAAAAAAAAAAGAAAACAATCATAGAATGAAGGGACCATAGTTCTAATCCACTCAACTTGTAGACAGGGAACTGAGGCCAGAAAAAGGGAAGGGGCTTCCTCAAGACTAGCTGCAGAGCCAGGATGAAAGCTGTAGGTCTTGACTCCCTTGCCAGAGCTCCTCAACAGCTCACCAGAAATTCCATGGAGCCCAATGGTTTCCATGTGTCTACTGGCGAGGAATGGGTCAAAAGCCTTCTTAGTGTAATCTTAGAGCACTTCCCTTGTTTTTCTGAGTAAACAGTTACTGATGACTGGGCCCAGCAGCTTATCTGTCCACAGGTCTCCGAGGCCCAGACTGTAGCAGGGTGGATGGCAGACAGAGTCCCTAGGAGGGTCTTCTTCCTCAACTAAGGCAAACCAGCCCTAAAGGGTATCTGGAAGAGAAGGAAAACCACCTTCTGTCCCAGAGGACCATAGCCAGGAGCCAGTACTAATTCTGGTAATTCTAGTTCCAGGGGGTCCGGGGGCTTCTTAAATACACACAAGCCTTTGTTAAAAATGAAGCATACCAGCCGGGTGCAGTGGCTCATGCCTGTAATCCCAGCATTTTGGGAGGCCGAGGCGGGCAGATTACCTGAGGTCAGGAGTTAGAGACCAGCCTGGCCAACATGGTGAAACTCTGTCTATACTAAAAATACAAAAAATTAGCCGGGTGTGGTGGGCGCCTGTATTCCCAGCTACTCAGGAGGCTGAGGCAGGACAGTCGCTTGAACCCGGGAGGCGGAGGTTGCAGTGAGCTGAGATCGCGCCACTGCACTCCAGCTTGGGTGACAAGAGTGAAACTCCATCTCAAAAAAAAAAGTGAAGCATACCAAAATTGCTATGTGCAAGAAGCAATCTGAATATGGTGGTGTTGAGAACACTAGAGGACTTTTCTGGCAACTATCTGCATGGCAAACCCACTATTTTCACTTGGATTACTTAAGGTTATTTTGAGTGTCAAGGAGCAGGGAGCTGATGCTACTACTGCTAATGAAGGATGAAGAGAAATGAGGGGTAGAAGGTGGGTGCTGAGGAATGGCAGGGCAGAGAGGAATTACTAACTGGGATGGTTGGAATAGGGATGGCGGCTCCTCTGTAAAGTGGAGTGGTTAATGACCACACGACCTCGAATGTCTAACCCCGAGATTCTTTAAGCCTCTATTTTCAAGTGTGTCTAACACCCCCTCATTCAAAGACCACCTAGGAAAGTCAGAGGGCCCCATTAAGCACATGGACTTTGCTATGGGATGGACTTAGGGTGGAGTCCCTACCTACTCTGCTCCTCACAGGGTCCCTCTGAACTTCACCTTCCTCTGTAAAATTGAAGTCATAGTTACATGGCTGCTGGAACAGTTAAACAAACAGAGCATACTAAGAGTACCTAGCACACAATAAATGCCCAACAAATGCTAATATTACAATTCACAAAGGAAGCTTACTATTTCCAAGCAATCGCCACCCTCACTCTGAGATAGAGATGGGGATGGGGGGAGATACACCAAATCATCTCTCAAAATGAAAGAATCAGAATGTACGGGAAAAACTCTTGGGGTGATTAATTGGTTCAATTCATACAGTCCAGACTGCAAATGAGGCCACCCACCTCACCTGGCTCTTCTGAGCGGTAATCCATGCCCACTGGATGGGGATACCACACCACCACATTGCCCTTCAGAGACAGGAGGCACCTGGGCCCCAGGGCAAGTTTCCCCAGGAAAGAGGAAGGCTTCCAAACTTTGTAGTTTAAAATGAGGAAAGACAGATGGGGGAATTTATCACAGGTCCCCCAGGGGTGCTTTGACATAAAGCCCTGCTTTGTTAGGGAGGAAGGAAGAACATGGCGAAGGCTGACAAGAGTTCCCTTTCAGTTGAAATTCAGTCATTCCACTTTTTACTCAGAACAGAAAAGGAAAACAGGCCAGGCTCAAGGAGTCTCTCTCAGCCTACTAAACCCATAACCCTGGCCAGTACACAGCCAGATAAAAAGATTTAAAAGTGTTTTCACTATTGTCTTCTTCTCAAAAGATCCTAAGGCTGCCGACCTTTGAAACAAAAACTACCCAGAGGTTCCAGATGTGAAGGTCTGAGGAGCAAGAACTTGGTTCAACCAACAGGTAGAAAGCACATGGGTGATTCAAACTCATCAGGTCACAGTAAAAAGATCTGGTAAGAGGCAGAGAGAAGCTAGAATTAAAACTGAGGGACCTGTGCATGAAAGGTGAGAAAAGGCTGAGCTATTCAAAGAAAGCCTTCAGGACCCAGAGTGGGTGACTAGAAGGACTACCAGATTTCAGGCCTGAACACTGCCAGGAAAATTAGGAAGACCAAATGCTTATTTGGGGACTGGTATCATCTCCTGGAGATTGGCATCTGAAAAGGCTGTTTACCAGAGAGCTAAGAACTACTACCTTGAGAACAAGGTAATCTGTTGGGTTTAGGGGCTGTATTACATTCACACTCACCCATCTGCTACCATACACTTGGCCGTTAGGTCGACCTCCTTCGGGTAGACCTCCCAGACCTCAAGTGTGGTGAAGCACCCTGCTATGTGCTCCCACGGTATTGTAAATGTTAAATGGGCTGGTTACTTATCTGCCCCTCCCCTGGGGGCAGGGACCACAGGGCTGCTTTCACAGCAGTACCCCAGTGTCTAGCTCAGGGCCTGGCAACACAGCAGACACTTGTTTAATGAATAGCGACTTCACACCAGAAGAGGCTTTGCTTGTCAAGTGCTAATTCCTGAGGTTATAGCCTCAACCCTTAGCCTTCAGCTGGGGCCCTCCCAAATACAGAGAAATTGCTAGTGTCCTAGAAACTGCTGGCTCCCAGAGGAACGCAGGCCCTAGCCCAGCTTTGACTCACAGGCAACCCAACTGCCTGATATCAGTGCTGCGCCTCAGTCCAGAATGCAACACTCACCAGTTGTATAACCCTTGGGAGCATTACCTACCATTCTACCCCAGCGTCACCCTCCTTACTAATATTGGGTCTACAGGTGTGAGAACAGAAAGACAGATCTCAACCACTGAGATTTCTCACCAAAGCACAAGAAATGCTAGCAGCAAATCGCAGATGCACGAATTACACGTGTAAATAATATGTAGTGAGCATTTACTAGATACCACACACTGTTCTAAACTCTGGGCATGGATTCTCTTAATCTTGATCGTGTTGAATTAGTTTCTTTCATTGGTCCCATTTTAAAACGAGGAACCCAAGACACATGGTGGAAAGGTTATTTGCCAAGATAACAGCCAGCAAAGAGAGGAACAGGATTTGGAGCCAAGCAGTCTGACTCTAAAACCTGTGCTCTTAACCACTAAAAGGAGGTGGAAGAGAAGCTAAGGGGTATAAGTTACAACCTTATTGTAGCCAACAGGACAGTTTCTCAATAGCAGGGATGCCTGGGCATCATTCTACATACTGGGGAAAACCAAAGCCTGTTGCAGGGAAGCCTAAGCTAACAGCTGGACAAGTGGCACCTCGGTGGTTGGAAGTGCCTAGTTTCCCTACCCAGAGAGGCAAGGGAAACTACCACCAAGCACACCCAGTTTGAGTCTAACTCCAGCACTCTGGCACTGGCAGCACTATGAAGAAAGAGACATTCCTTCCAGACCCACCTCCCAGTTCCTCTCAGTTCTCCCAGAGGCTGCTCAGGGGGATCCAGCTGACATGGATTGTGCCCCACCCTCAGCCCCCAGATATAAGGAAGGCCACCACTATCTCCCTAAGCCTGTGTCCAGGGACCCTGACTGTGGAAGGCAGCAATACCATCTGAAGGGAGGGTGAGGCAGGCAGGAAAGAGTGCCTGGGTTATACTACCCACCTGTGCCTGTCCCTCCCAGGCCAGCCTGGGGACAGATTAACTGAAAAGCCTGGCTACTTTCAGCTGTCATTCATCCTGGGGATGGGGTGGAGTCATAGAGGGGAGCCTGGAGACCCACAGGCCTTTCCTCCCATACTGACTGACCCCAGGACCCCCTAAGCAGGAACATTCTTCTATGGAGTAAAGAGAATGCCATGTTAGCCCTCCTCACCTTGGTCACCAGCTGCTGCTGTCGGTACCATCTCTCAGAGGCCTCTCTGCCCAGTCCTCCCACCCAAATTTCCCTAGACCTGCGGATGAAATGCAGGAGGGGCTGGAAGGGCATTCTTAGGGAGAGGAGTGGGCAGAGAAAGGGAAGGAGAGAAATGTTCAGGTCAGATCATCTTGAGTTCCCACTGAAAGGAAGCTGCAGACCACCAGTCAGCTCAGGAATGCAGAGTCTGCATCCCCTTGGCCCGGGAGGAGGAGCAAGGGTGGGCCAGGCTCCAGTCACATGATGCTGGCCAGCCTGGCCCAGCCCAGGCCCAGCCCCAGCTGACTATCTTTAGCCTGTGGTGACCCAGGTGGCCCAGTGCTCCCACTCTCCCCGCCCAGATGTGGACCCAGCCACCCTCGGGTGGCTGTGGCCACTCCCACTGCTGGTACCAGTCCCTGAAATCTTGCTTCAAAGCTGATCAATAATCAACACAGCTGAAATATATCAGCGGCCACTAAAGCTCCTGGCCTCCAAGTGCCAGCTCCCTAACCCAGCCTTTTCTAAAGAGCACATTTGGTTCTAGTTAGAACAGTAATAATAATCACCTTTTACTGCATAAAGACTAGGTACCAAAAACTGACCTAAGTTGCTGTGTATGATTTTACTTAATTATCTCAAAAAGACACAATTATTCCAGTTGTCCAGAAAATGAAACTGAAGGAAGGGACTCGCCCAAGGTCACAATGTTGAAGAGCAAGATGACTGACTCCTCAGATCTAGTCATAGATCTCAATATAAATTCTCCTCAGGAGGCTTCCTGACTGCCCAATGTAAAGTGCCACAAAACCAGCAACTCTGGATCAAGTTCTAACTCAGTCTACAATTTAAGATCTTCAGGGTACTCACTACCGCCTGAAATGGTTGCATCTGTGTGTATCTCAACTCCACTAGACTGCAATCAATTACTGAGAGCTTACTACAGAGGTGTCCAATCTTTTGCCTTCCCTGAGCCACAATGGAAGAATTAATGTCTTGGGCCACACGTAAAACACACTAACACTAATGATAGCTGATGAACCTAAAAAACAAAAATTGCAAGAAAATCTCAATGTTTTAAGAAAGTACAAATTTGTGTCAGGACGCATTCAAAGCCGTCCTTTGGACAAGCTTGCCTTACAATGTCTTTGCATGATGCCAAAGTTTTTTACATGTAGTAGCTCATTTATTTTTCCGTTTTTTTTTTCCTTTTTTTTGAGACGGAGTCTCACTCTTGTCACCCAGGCTGGAGTGCAATGGCGCCATCTCGGCTCACTGCAAGCTCCGCCTCCCAGGATCACGCCATTCTCCTGCCTCAGCCTCCCGAGTAGCTGGGATTACAGGTGTGTGTCACCATGCCCAGCTAATTTTTTTGTATTTTTAGTAGAGACAGGGTTTCACCATATTAGCCAGGATGGTCTCGATCTCCTGACTCGTGATCCGCCCGCCTCGGCCTCCCAAAGTGCTGGGATTACAGGCGTGAGCCCAGAAGGTAGGTATGATGATGATTCCCAGTTAAACAAATGAGCTATGCACAATCAGCTTGCGGGGCTCCCTTGGGCTTTCCTAGGCCCTGGACTTCAGAAGCCAATCGTCTCAGACAGGTTGCTAGGCACACACAACTACACGCACACCTGACTCCATTACCCTGATGTGGGAGGCTGCCAAGCTCAGAGGTTTTCTTCCTGTCCTTGGTGGTCAGCCACCACCTCAGGTAACACAAACTCATTTTTTTATTTTTTGAGACGGAGTCTCACTCTGTCACCTAGGCTGGAGTGCAGTGGGTGTGGCACAATCTAGGCTCACTGCCACCTCCACCTCCCAAGTTCAAGCAATTCTCCTGCCTCAGCCTCCCGAGTAGCTGGGACTACAGGCGCGAGCCACCAAGCCTGTCTAATTTTTTGTATTTTCAGTAGAGATGGGGTTTCACCATGTTGGCCAGGCTGGTCTTGAACTCCTGACCTCAAGTGATCCACCCGCCTCAGCCTCCCAAGGTACTGGGATTACAGGTATGGGCCACCGTGGCCGGCCCACAAACTCATTTTTATTGTCCTTCCAATCTTAGGGCATCCTTTGTTGGAAGAGGCTTCTGAATCCCCAAAAAATTACTTTGGATTATTCCCATTATTGGAGTGGAGAGGGTGATCCCAGACCAAGTCAGGGCTGGAAAGACTTGAGAATCTCATTGTACATACAGAAAAACTGAGGACCAGGAGAGGCCAAAGTCACCAGTGATTTGCTGTAGAGCTGGCACTGGAACATCAAGTTCTTGTCTCCCAATCTAGAGCTCTTTGGCAAACCAGGAAGCCAATATCTGCTCCTCAACAAAATACACTCTGTGCCCAACTATATCCACTCACAGGGTCAGGGCAGGGCCTTAGGGACCCAAAGTGTCACAGGAACTGTTCCCCAAAATTACCGATACTGTCAAGAAAAACTACTCACATGGAACTGAAACACATGACCACAGGGGAGGGTGCTTTGAAGTGGCTCTGAGAGGGGCCCCATTTCCAATCCCTTTTTTCCTCTTTGAGCCCTGCCAGGGAAGGCTGAATGTCTCAGCTCCCTCTGGAAGACTTAGTGGGCCCTGGAGATCTTTTTCTCACTGTCTGTCTGTCCTGAGAGGCAGGCTGGGCACATTTGGTAGCCTGAAAATTCCACAGCAGTGGGAGGGACTTTCCAGGGAGGGTCATCCCAAAAGCAGATAGGAAGCTGGAGTTCTCGAGTAGCAACTAGTTCCCCCAATCCAGGCCAGCCTGGCCAGGCAGCCTTGCTTCCCAGGAGCTGCTAATTTGCCTCTCTCGGTGAGTTCAGGATGGCCTACAGGCTCCTTCAGTGTCATATGCTACAACCCAACTGGGAAAGAGTTAAGCCCTGGGATGCTATGAACATGGAGACAGGACAGGCTCAGCAGCCAGGGTGCTGCCCCACCTGCAGACTCCCCACCCCTGCACACGGATGCTCTCAAGGCACCAGCACACCCCTTTAGAGAATGTAGAGGGGGGCTGGGCACAGTGGCTCATGCCTGTAATCTCAGCACTTTGGGAGGCCGAGGCAGGCGGATCACCTGAGGTCAGGAGTCCGAGACCAGACTGACCAACATGGAGAAACCCCGTCTCTACTAAAAATACAAAATTAGCCAGGTGTGGTGGCGCATGCCTGTAATCCCAGTTACTCGGGAGGCTTAGGCAGGAGAATCGCTTGAATCCGGGAGGTGGAGGTTGCGGTGAGCCGAGATTGCGCCACTGCACTCCAGTCTGGGCAACAACAGCAAAACTCTATCTCAAAAAAAAAAAAAAAAAAAAGAGAGAATGTAGAGGGGGTCCGACCCCTACCCCAAAGCCACCCTACCAACAATTTACTATGCCACGGAGTTAAGAGACAGGTTAGAGCAGCAGTTAACAGCGTGGACTTTGGAGTCCATTCTTGGATGTACTAACCAAGAGCCATCATCAATTAAGTAACTCACAAGGCCAGGGGCAGATGAGTCAAAACTGAGCAATCTCTCATGTAGCTTGTAACTTGATAGGCATTAACTGGGCCACACATCAATGAGAGCCAAGCAACTAGGTTCATGAGGAGGCAAAATGACAGCTTACCGAGATGATCCCAGGAGTCAGACTTAACCTCTCACTTTCCTGAACTATTAATGGGGTCCATGACAGCTAGCTCACAGGATTAACAGATTAAATGAAGTAATAGTACCATAAATGCATGGTAATTATTTTTCATTTCTTTGGGGCAATTCTTGAACCTGACTGGTGCCCAAAAAAAGGTGGGGTAAGCGGGGAGAGAATATGGTTGCCAGATTTAGCAAATAGCAATTCAGGACACTCTGTTAAATCTAAATTTCAGATAAACAGTAATTTTATAGACTAAATATGTCCCATGCAATACTGGGACATACTTATACTAAATATTTGATTTATCTAAAATTCAAATTTAACTGGGTGTCCCCTGTATTTTTAGTTTGTTAGAACTGGACACCATAGTTAGGAAAGACTATTGCCCCATGTTCCAAACTGAAAGTGGAAGAGTGACCAGAGCCCTGGGCTAGAAGTCAAGAGACTGGTTGACAGTCCTGGCGCAGACACCAGAGCTCTTGCTATGGATGCTTGGCAAGAACTACCCTCCAGTGTCTTCAGTCTCTCTATTCAGAGGCCTGTGGTAGGGGTGGGCAGAATCCTATCATCCACAGTCCTTCCAGTTCTAACATCTTGTGATTTTGTCCTTATACCCATTGATCTCCATAAATGCAGCCGGCTTTCCAGGATAAGCTATTAAGATTTTTGGCATGCATTCGAATTATCATGTGAGGAGCTTGTCAAAACGTAGATTCCTGGGTCCCATCCTTCAGAGATTTTTTGCTCAGCAATGGTGGAGTCAGGAATCTGCTAGGTAATTCTAAGGTAGGTTTTCTCTGTACATACTTAACAGTTATTTTGATGTAACCTAATGAGTTTCAACTGTTAAACTGACAGGGGTACCCAAAACCACAATACCATATTTAATATTTTTAAATCAGAGCTGCACTTTTTTTTTTTTTTTTTTTAGACGGAGTCTCGCTCTGTGGCCCAGGCTAGAGTGCAGCAGCGCGATCTCGGCTCACTGCAAGCTCTAACTCCTGGGTTCACGCCATTCTCCTGCCTCAGCCTCCCGAGTAGCTGGGACTACAGGCGCCCACCACCACGCCCAGCTAATTTTTGTATTTTTAATAGAGACGGGGTTTCACCGTGTTAGCCAGGATGGTCTCGATCTCCTGAACTTGTGATCCGCCTGCCTCGGCCTCCCAAAGTGCTGGGATTACAGGCGTGAGTCACCGCACCCATCCTGCACTTCTTAAACCAGCAGTAAGTATAGTCATGAGCCAAATAATGACATCTCCATCCACAAATATGACAGTTGGTCCCGTAAGATTATAATAGAGCTGCCCTATACCAGTGTGCCACTTTATTATATATATTTTTTTAATTTTTAATTTGTGTAGGTACATAGTAGGTTTACATATTTATGGGGTAGTTGAGATACTTTGATACGGTATAATAATCACATCAGGGTAAATGGGGTATCCATCATCTCCAGCATTTATCCTTTCTTTGTGTTACAAACAATTCAGTTACACTTTGTTATTTTTAAATGTACAATAAATTATTGCTGACTATAGTCAGTGTGCCATTTTAAAAAATCTTTAAAAATATTTTAAGGCTAGTAAAGTGAAGCAGGGGGTATGAAGAAGGAACACTTTTTATTCCATATTTTATACCATATTTTTACAGTACTTTTTCTTTTTGATACAGAGTCTCGCTCTGTCACCCAGGCTGGAGTGCAGTGGCGTGATCTCTGCTCACTGCAACCTCTGTCTCCTGGATTCAGTTGATTCTCCCACCTCAGCCTCCCCAGTAGCTGGGATTACAGGTGTCCGTCACCATGCCCAGCTAATTTTTGCATTTTTTTTTTTTTTTAGCAGAGATGGGGTTTCACCACGTTGGCCAGGCTGCTCTTGAACTCCTGACCTCAGGCGATCTACCCGCCTCAACCTCCCAAAGTGCTGGGAAGTGCTGGGATTACAGGCATGAGCCACCGCGGCCGACCTACAATACTTTTTCTATGTTTAGATACACAAATACTTACCATTGTATTACAACTCCTACAGTATTCAGTATAGGAACATGCTACACAGGTTTGTAGCCCAGGAGCAACAGGCTATACTATACAACCTAAGTCCATAGTACGTTGTGCCATTTGTTTGTGTACGTACACTCTAGGTTCATACGATGACAAAATCAACTAATGACACATTTCTCGGAATGTATCCCTGTTAAGTGACACGAGACTGTACTTGGGTTGTTTTGATATTTATTTTAGATTTATATTCCTTAGTATGTATTAAACACTTAAATTACTTGAAAAGAAAAATAGCAGAGCTGTTCCAAAAGAAATGTTACTAAACTGAGTGACTCCCATTCAGCAGGAGTTCCTGAGCAGAAGGTAGTTTGAAAAACACTCACTTCACATTTGTAGAAACTGTAGATCAGTGAGCTAGCAGGCTTGCAATACCACTTCTGTGGTCTACAGAGCATCTGGGAAGAGGGGCTGGCTTGGGAGAAATGCAGATTCTTGACTCCCTCTATAAACTCCAGAAATTAATTTAAGAAGGTGGGCATAAATTGAACACCTGCAGTTGTATGCTTCCTGTGCAATTGCTCATGGCAGATTAATGTTTAAGAACTGAGCTGCCAATGAGTGAGACTGCCAGGAAGGAACCCAGGTCTCCAAACCCCAGTGCAGGGTCTCACTTGTATAGACAGGACTTAATTGGTTTACAAGAGCAGGTAGTTTCAATTACACACACAAACAGCAGCCAGAAGAGAGGTGCAGGAGGTACTCTCCCTTTACCCACCAGTCTAATCTCCAGCACCAGGAACCAACAGTGATCCAAGAAGCCACATGATGAGTGTCCTGACAGATATGAGGTCACAAGGGATCAGTCTGGGCTGGGGTTTAAGTTTTGTAACAAGCTCCAAAACTTGGCTTTGCCAGAAGAATGAAGGTTCTGAAGGGAATTGTCCACCTGCTTTTGCCTCACAGCCGAACAGCTTCTCTTACCCTAAAAATCTTACTGTTTGCTCACCCAATGCTCTGTCTCTATACAAAATAAAATAAAATAGATACTGGGTCTTGCTATGCCGCCTAGGCTGGTCTTGAATTCCTGGGCTCAAGGGATACTCTCACCTTAACCTCCCAAAGTGCTGGGGTTACAGGAGTTAAGCCACCAAGCCCGGCCATATTTACTTTAAAATACTAATAATAGTAATAATGGCCACCACTTACTAGGCATTTACCTCAGGAAGCCAGGCCTCCTGCCGTGCCCCTTTTGTGCATTTAAGTTTTTTAGTCCTCACAATGGAGGGACTATTATCCCAGTTTTAGAAGACTCAAGGCAGCTAAGTGGTTAGCCGAAGGTTATCCAGTGAGAAGGTATCTGACTCCAAGGATATGAAATCCCAGGCTACCCCAAACCCCTCTCAGCACTGCAGGAAACAAACATTAGGTTCTTGTCCCCAAAAGGCTCCAGATCAAGCCTGTAGGCCCTACAGGGGACTGAGGCCACCAGAATCCACTCCTCTTGAGCCCGTTAGTTCACCTGCCAGGTGGGGATAATGCAACTCAGAAAAGGGAATGATGTGAGTAAAAACAGTCAAGAATCAAAAACACTGTTTATTGCAAAGGCAATGCTCTAGAACCATCTGCAACCTGAAGGCCTGGGCTCCAGCAAGCACCAAAGCCGCAGGGGAGTCGCCTTTTTTTTTTTTTTTTGAGGGAGGGTCTCACTTTGTTACCCAGACTGGAATGCAGTGGCATGATCACAGTTCACTGCAGCTTCGACCTCCCCGGGTTCAGGTGATCCTCCCACCTTAGTCCCCTGAGTAGCTGGGACTATAGGTGCTTGCCACCACACCCAACTAATTTTTGTATTTGAAGTTCTTGTTTTTATTCACTTACGTTTTTTAGATACGAGGTCTCACTCTGTTACCCAGGCTGGAGTGCAGTGGCACAATCCTAGCTCACCGCAGCCTCAAGCTCCTGAACTCACACGATCTTCCTGGATCAGCCACCCAAGTAGCTGTGACTAAATTAGCTGGGACACCCAGCTAATTTTAATTTTTGTAGAGACAGTCTTGCCATCTTGTCCAAGCTAGACTGAAACTCCTAGGCTCAAGTGATCCTCTTGCCCTGGCTTCCCAAAGCGCTGGGATTACAGGTGTGAGCCACTATATCCAGCCCTAGTCCTCTTCTGATCTCCCCCTGGCAGCACCGACCATTCAAAGGGCCTCCTGTTTTTCTTTTTTTCCCTGAAATTACTGAGTTTCAACTGTTTCTTTCCTCAAGGAAACAAAGCCTACAAATCCTAATGCAGGCACTGTGATCCCCCCTGGTGCCACCTGAGAGACTTTGGTCAAAATACAGACTTGGTTTTCTGTAAAAGAAGTGACCAGACGGCTTCTTAGTGACCAAAGCCCTTTTAGATTCTGACCTGCTTCAAGTCTAGGATCTCCAAAGAGCTGGCACCTCAGAGGGGCAATGGCAGTGATGATATGTGGGCAGAAAAGGCCTGGGGCAGGGACAGCAGAGAACATCCCAGAGCAACTACAAGCCCAGCAACAGCCAATAGGGACCTTTACTGCCTCTCCAATCCCACCTCAGAGGAAATGCAAGAGATTAAGTCTTCCCAAAGGTAGTACCAACCCGTTATATCCAAGGGTTTGAGTAATAAGACTAGACCCCAGGAGAAATGAAAAGATGGTGCCTTAGACTCCTCAGCTCTGGCAAATGCCATCTTGAGCAATATCCTACCTCGAGGGAATTTGGCTCCCAGAGTGCAAACCAAGGCACCCCCTCACTCCCTGGAGCAGACCCTCCCCAGCCTGGAGACTTGGCACAGGGCTGCTGGGTGCCATAGCTGCTACTCCCTGCAGTGCAAACAAGCATGGGGCAGGGATGCAGTGATGCAGAGAAAGGCTGGCTTCCCTGGATCCATCCAGTATTTAAACTCCATCCAGTCTTTAAACCCCCAATCATCAGTACTCTGGTCCCTTTCATCTGAGGGCTAACCCAAGTCAGCTGCTCATCCTCAGCCCTCCTCCAAAGGGACGGAGGAGGCCAGCAGCAAGCCAATGGCATATCTAAGAAGCAGCCCAATTTTACAGGCTGAAAAACTGAGGCACCGGTTTAGGTGTGGAGAAACAAAAAAAAAAAAAAATGAAGCCAGGCTTCTACAAATCTCAAACCTGCATGACGTTCTTGTCACAAAGTGGCCTAGTGTGAGGCACTTGTGCCCACACTAGGGGTGCAGGATTGTTGGACAAACCAATTATTTAGAGATTTCTATGTCCCAACCTGACTCAGGCCAACCCATGTCCCCTTCTGCAACTACTCTGGCCCAACTGGTCTTTTTCCCACTGCCTATCCACATTTGTTCTCCCCAAGAGACAGGCCAGTGCTGGCCTGCTTCCATCAGCGGGGTAGGCTGTAGACTTGAGGGTACTCCCAGACAAACCAAGTGGAAGGCCTTTGCCCACCCTCCATTAGTTTCCTCTTTGTACTTCAAGTAGTTCCAAAACCAGGCAGGAAGCTCTCAGAATCTGGCAGATGAGTGGAAAGAACACTGGACTGGGAGTTCAGGGTGCTTGTGTTTTAAATATCCTATCCCTGCGTGGCAGCTCGGTTAAGTATCTTCCCCTATCTGTGCCTGCTTCCCCCAGCACAGTGCTGTGGGGGAACATGCACTTACACATGTGTGCATGTGATTTGTGGCCCAGGCTCAGAGGCCTCAACCCCAGCGTGCCTGCAGAGGGCAGGGAAAGAGTGGAGGGCTCACAGGTAGCAGCTGGGTATGTGCCTTCACAGCCACAGTTCCTTAACCTTTCTCTCAACAGCAAACTGTTACCTTCCTTCCTAAGGTGGCTTTGAGGGTTACAAAAAGATTAAGTCCCCTTGAAAGCCTATGTTTCTAAATGGAAAAAATATATAGCTTACAATACAGTGGATCCCTGCCCCCCTAGCCATAGTTTGTAACCCATGGTCAACTGAGACCCCAAAATACGTGAGTACAGTATAAGATATTCTGAGGTGACAGAAGCCCCCATTCGTACGTTTTCTTAATGAAATCAGCAATAAGCCCTTCCAGTACAAAAACTGGGCGGACTAAACTTCCAGTCATGGAGCCTTCCTTGTTCTTTATCGCAACTCTTCCCTCTTCCCAGTTGTCCCAACAGTAACTCAAAGGATAGAACAGCAAGGTCTTTTAAAAAAAAAAAAAAAAAAAAAAAGGCCAGGTGCGGTGGCTCATGCCTGTAATCCCAGCACTTTGGGAGGCAGGTGGATCACCTGAGGTCAGGAGTTCGAGACCAGACTGACCGACACGGAAAAACCCCGTCTCTACTAAAAATACAAAATTAGCAGGGTGTGGCAGCACATGCCTATAATCCCAGCTACTCCAGAGGCTGAGGCAGGAGAATTGTTTGAACCTGGGAGGCGGAGGTTGTGGTGAGCTGAGATCATGCCATTGCACTCCAGCCCGGGCAACAAGAGCAAAACTCCATCTCAAAAAACAAAACAAAACAAAAGATATTTTGAGAAGGAGACCACATTCACATAACTTTTATTACAATATATTGTTATAATTGTTGTATTTTGTTGTTGTTAATCTCTTACTGCGCCTAATTTACAAATTAACCTTTATCACAGTTACATATGTATAGGAAAAAACATATAGAGGGTTTAGTACTAGCTGAAGTTTCAAGCATCTACTGGAGGGTCTTGAAATGTATCCCCCATAGACAACGGGAAGGCTACTATACTATGACCCCATTTTGTCTTTTTATTAAAAAGGTGTATATATATGTATACTCTTACACACACTTGAAATACGCTATCCAATGCCATAGTCACGAGCCACAATATGTGGATACTGAGCACTTGAAATGTTCCTAGCCCAAATCAAGAAGTGTGAAAGACATCAAATTTCAAAAACTTAGTAAGAAGAATGTACATTTCATTATTTTTACATTATGTTAAAACAGCATTTTGAATATATTAGATTATTAAAACTGATTTCCCCTGTTTTGGCTACTAGAAAATTTTAATTTACGTGGCTAGCACTGGTCTAGAAAGATACACAATCTCATCAATGCTTATTATATTTATATGTGTATTTATGTTCATGTGCGTTGTATATTTGCTGGTTAGTGGGACAGATTACCAAGGGGTTGTTTTTCTTTTTGCTAAAATATATTTGGACATTTTTCTACAATGAATTGGTGTTGCCTGAGCAACCTGAAGATTTCCCCTTCGAAAGAAGTTAAAAGGCCCAACACATAGGGTATTTTCCGTCCTCTTTGGTAACACAAAGCCAGACAGCCTTCCAAAGCCTGTAGAGAACCCCACCCCCAACCTTTCCTACTGACCCTAAGGCCATTCGTGAAAAACTACAAGGTCTTTCCAGCAGGCCTGCATGTGGCCCGGCAGAGCTGAAGAGGAACATCTCTAGGGGAATAAGAGCCAGAGCTCCCCAGCAGGATCAGTGCCTGGCTTATACCCACTTGGCTTATGTCCCCAGAGCCCACCCTGCCAGCGGAGGCAGAGTTGAGGCGTCTAGGCTGGGCCGTAACAGCCCTATACAGATATCAGCAGCTCAAGATCTGTGCGAGTCCTCTCTCCCCGCCAACAGTTTTCCTGGCAGGATATGTACAATTCTGTGGTCTGGGAGAATGCAAAGCCAGATGATGTGTACGGCATGAACTCTGGAGTCAGTCTGCCATGGGCTCAAACCCCAGCTACTTACTAACTACTGTGAAGCCTTCAGCAAATTAGTGAACCTCTACGAGCACCTGTTTTGTCATCCGTAAAATGAGGATTGTCACTGTAGCTAGATCCCACAGGGTTACTGTGAAAATGAATGGTGACAGTGAATAGGAGTGTGTGGTAGCTTGAAAGTTCAATAATCATGAGATTAGCAGAGGGTCTCCAGGAACTCCGGCCTGGGTTCCTGGGGCATCTGTCCTCACCAAGGCAAGCTACCCATGAGGCAGATTTTAGGACACCTGGCCAAGCCCAAGGACATGATAAAGGCTATTACTCACTGATAAGCACTGCACTTGACAGCACAGGATCCAATCCTTTTTTTTTTTTTTTCTTTTGAGACACAGTCTCGCTCTGCTGCCCAGGCTGGAGGGCAGTGGCGCGATCTTGGCTCACAGCAACCTCCACCTCCTGCGTTCAAGCGACTCTCTCACCTCAGCCACCCGAGTAGCTGGGATTACGGGCGCCTGCTGCCACGCCTGGCTAATTTTTGTATTTTTGTAGAGACGGGGTTTCACCACATTGGGCAGGCTGGTCTTGAACTCCTCACCTCAGGTGATCCACCTGCCTCGGCCTCCCAAAGCGCTGGGATTACAGGCATGAGCCACCGTGCCCGGCCAGGATCCAATCCCTTTATAAAAGTTGTGAGAAATGAAGTTCTAGCCAGGAGAAACTAGAGAGTGGGACTAAAATCAGAACTCCAGTCTGGATTCCCAGACTGTGCTCCAGCAGCTTGCTCTGACTCTGCCCTAAGGATCTTACCTGAAATCAAAAACCCACAGCAGTTCCTGACAAGAAGTCAGGAAGAAAAAACCATGACATACAGACTCAGGGTCAAGATCAGTCCCAACCTCCTGGACTGCCCTCCCAACCATGCCCTTGCCTGTGTCTCAGGCTATTCTCTCATACCCTCATTCCACCTCTACCCTGGGGCAGGGAGAGAGCCAGGGATGGGCAGGGAGGGAGCCAGGGACAGGCCGGGAGAGGTAGCCTAGGCAGGGAAGCACCTGTCCTCAGCATGGCTTTGGGGCCAAGAGATCCAAAACCAGGGGGAAAATGCCTGCCTAAACTACCCTTCTGATCAGGGGATAGTGCAACTAATTCAGCTTCTAGACAGTGTGAGAAGTGAGGAGGAAATACGAAATAGCAATCAGAAAGCTTCCTCTTTAAGTGGTCTAGTCTCAGGACAAAACAGCTAGTTAAAAAAAAAAAAAAAATCAGGCCCAAGTCACTATGCCATCATCCCCCTCCTCTCCATCTTTTTCCTGGACTACTACAGAAGTAGTCTCCTAAGCAGTCTCCTTGCTTCCACCTTGCCTCCTCCCCCTACCTCCTCTGTCCATTTTCCACAGAACTGGGTAATCCTAAAGCAGAAATCAGGTGATATCACCTCTTCCAATGCTTTCAGAACAGGATCCAGACTCCCTAAGCTGGCCTCCAAAGGCCTCCTGTTTCTGATTCTTTGTGTCTCTCTCCCCTCATTCATACAGGCCTTGTCTCTGCTCCTTGGAGAACTCTAAACTCATTACCACCTGGTACTTGTTATTCCTCCAGGTTAGAAGGTTCACCACCAGTCTCCTTATCAATCCTATCTTGGCTCACCGTGAGAGGCACTCCCCAACACTTTGACTGAAGCTGCCCCCAGCTACTGCCACAAGGCCTCTAGCCACATCTTTCTCCTTTATACTCTGAGACTGATCACACAGGGTGTTTGTGCTTAACAGAGCCTTAGAGATTGACATCCAAGATGCTATATCCATTTCGCAGATGAGGGGAGGGAAGCAAAGTCTCACTGGGGCCTAACATAACTCAGTTTCACCTGGCAAGCCCATCCCTTAACTCTCAGAGAGCTTTCTATTGCTGCTCCAGGGCCTCTGGCCACAAAGCTAGGTGAGTCCTATCTCTCCATCACACTCACTCCCCCTACCTCACCTCTATTGAGTGCAACTCCTACCCTAAGACCTTAAAGTCGTCCCCACGTCCCCCACCGCCTCCTCTCATTCTTCTCCCATGAGGATGTTCCTCTGTGAGCTAGGCAGTCTGCTGTCCTTTCTCATTTTTATGATGAAATACACAAAGTCTGGGCCCATAGACCTCATGTTGGAAGGAAGCCTGGATAAAAGATGGCAAACTCAAGGGCCTACAAGAGCCAAGCTGTGGCACTCTTCACCTAAAGGGAGGCTGGGCCCTGCCATCAGACAGCAGTCATGAGAGGTCCAGAGCGGCTAGGCCTTCTCATTTTTACCCCTATAACAGCTTTATTCACATAATTTACATACCATGCAACCCATCCATTTAAAGTACACAATTTGGCCAGGGGCAGTGGCTCATACCTTTAACTCCTGCACTTTGAGAGGCCGAGGTGGGCGAATCACCTGAGGTCAGGAGTTCAAGACCAGCCTGGCCAGTGTGGCAAAACCCAGTCTCTACTAAAAATACAAAAAATTAGCCAGGCGTGATAGGCACCTGTAATCCCACTACTTGGGAGGCTGACACAGGAGAATTGCTTGAACTCAGCAGGCGGAGGTTGCAGTGAGCTGAGATCACGCAAAAAAATAAAGTAAAATACAGCTGGGCAAGGTGGTTCATGCCTGTAATCACAGCACTTTGGGAGGCCAAGGCGGGTGGATCACGAAGTCAGAAGTTCCAAGACCAGCCTGGCCAACATAGTGAAACCCCATCTCTACTAAAAATACAAAAATTAGCCGGGCATGGTGGCGCGTGCCTGTAGTCCCAGCTACTCAGGAGGCTGAGGCAGGAGAATCACTTGAACCCAGGAGGTGGAGGTTGCAGTGAGCCAAGATCGCGCCACTGCACTCCAGCTTGGGCAACAGAGTGAGACTTCGTCTCAAATAAATAAATAAATAAATAAAAATAAATAAATAAAAAATAGGGTACATAATTCAGTGGTTGCTTATTGACTCTGATTTCTTTTTAAAGCTAGAATTCCCTAGGTTTCCAGATAATTTTCTTGATTTTTAAATACAGATGATTAAAGTGTTTTTACATGCAAGTCAATCAAAACTTGTCAGTGGGCTGGACTGACAGGTGACTTCTGCCTTTCAGAATATAAGCCCCACCATGGCCGCAATGTGTCTTGTTTACAACTCTGAATCTCAGGGCCTGACACCTAACAGATACAGTATTCACAACTTTCTGAATGAATGAATCTGAAAAGTATTTTGCCAACTTGTAGCTGCAGAACCCTACAACAAATCATGCTCTAAACTACTGTCCCAAATATTACCATGTCAAGGAACTCAGTATCCCCTGTGACAACTGAATCCATTTAGGGGCACTGTTAAAAGTTACTACTTGACTACAGGCAAAACCTACTAACCCTTCATCTCTCACCTGCCATCAGAGCTTTAGGCCAAGTGGAAAAGATCTATCAAAATTCTGTATTTCAAGACAAGCAGCATTTCCCACCGCACCCCCAAGCTTTGATTCCCTGGGCAAAATAACCCTAGTTCTTCAACCATTCCTTCTTCATAGAAGGATGCATGCAGCCCAGTGAGCCAATTCTTCCAGGTGTTCCTGATTTCCTGTCTCCCACATTTCCTAGAAGCAGCATCCAGCCTCCCATACCCAACCTTGCACTCACCATTTCCAAACCCCACCCCTACACTGGGCTCCAAAACTAGGCTATTCCATCCATGTAATTGGTGTCTCTTCCTCCTACCACTGTTAATACACACGCAGAACAGGAAATACATATACAGAACAGAAAAATCAGAGAGAGCTCTGCTTCTTCAAACAACCTCAAAGCTGCAGAAAGCCATGAAAGAGAGTGGGAGAGTTTTACTGCAAAACGCCTGAACTCATCTCTGACATTCTAACACTAGGGCATTCTCAAGCACCACAATTTGAGCTTCTCACTGTCAAGATTATGGTCCCCAGTGAGTCCTTAAATTCCACTTCAATATGGAGTTGCTTGAGCCAGCCTAGGGCAAGGTCAGAAAAACTGGCTCTGAGAGTTCACGTAGGCTACCTTCCTGTGTATACTCAGGACCAAACTGCAGCAATCAAGGGGAAGAGGACCCAGGACAACAGAGGAAGGCCAGCTATAGCACCTGACTTCTGTTAAGCAAATTGAAGACCTGGGCCAAAGTCAGGGCCTCAAAAGAAGAACATTCAACATTCTTACCATTACCACGTATTACTATGTGCCAGGCTCCAGTTGAGTATTTTTATATATTCACCTAGCTCACATTCATCAATGATCCTAGTACGTGGGCACTCCAGCTATAGCCCCATTTACTGAAGCCCAGAAGTTAGCAACCTATCCAAGGGCACTCAGTGGGTAAATGGCTGCGCTAACTGTGACTGACTGTCCCAAGTTCATGCTCAACTACCCCATTTTACTTCTTCCTCCAGAGGTAGAGTTAAAACAGAACTGTAGTGGGAGCAGTTTCAAGTCTCAGCCTCACTTTGAATTGACTGGAATCCTGAACAACTCCTATTTCCTTTCTGGGCTTGAAGTTCCTAACCTGTAAATGAGAGGTTTAGATTGAATGACCTCTGAGTCCCTTCCAGTTCCAAATATTCCCTCTTCTCTGAAAGGAGGAAGGGAAAACCAAGGCCCTGAGGGCACAGCAATGGAGACAGTGCTGACAACTAGGAAACTGGGCTGGGTAAGCCTAACTATAGCCCAATGTTCTCAAGAACTCAGGGTAGCAGCCTATCTGTAGGCAAATGCAAACCCACTGTTCTCAGCATAGCTGTAAAACCAGCTGATGGTTAGAAGCCTAGCCATGTGGACCACCCCAGGAGAAGGGGGCCGACTGCCACCTGGAAGCCTGCCCCACTGCCCCTTCTACAACTTTCAGGGCCTCTTGTTGTTCCCACCCAGCCAGCTGCAGCAGGGGCAAGCAGGCAAGCATGAGCTCAACCAGTTCATCAGCAACTGTGCCTCTTCCAGCAAATGAGATGCATTCTGGATAATGTAGCCTTCTGAAGGGTCTGAGATATCCCATAAACCTCGGCCACTCTCTACCCCTAAGTGATGACAGTTAATAATTGCCCAAGATCCACATTTCAGGAGTGACTTGGAAATTTGCTCCATTTTGTAATCTGGGAACCTTGCCCTAAAGGATCAAATGGGAAACCCCAAATCACCTATTCTTAACCCAAGACGTTCTGCCATGTGGCCAGAGTCATCTTTCAAAAGGAAAAATCTGACCATGCTACTCCCCTCACATACAATCTTCGATGTCTCTCCACTCCTTCCAGCTAAAATCAGAATTCAGCACAGATTACAAGGCAGGACTGCTTACCTTACTTTCTAATCATCCATACTAAAACCACAAGGAACTCAGTTCCCTGAACACCAGGGCCTTTCCTCAACCAAAACTGAGTTCTCTTTCCAGGCTTCTTCTCAGGTGACTGCTACTCATCCTTCCCATTTCTAGAAGACTTCTCTGACCTATACTGAATTGGGTGCCCCTGCTACACTGCCAAAGAATTCCATACTTTGGGATTCCCTACACAACATATTCCATACTGAATTTTGAGTGCATGTGTTTCTTGCAGAGACTTTTTATTATGCACTGCAGTATCCCCTATGTCTGACACATGGTAAGCACTCAAAATGTAATGAATGAATGCCATTAAAAATACGCAATTCATTCTTTCACTAAATGTTCACCAAGCTGCCTATTACATTGTGCCAGGCACTGCTGCAGGTACTGGGAATACAAACGTAATCAGGTATCGAAGTCCCTGACCCAGTGGTGATAAGAGCTAAGAAGAAAAATAGCCAGGTGCCGTGGCTCATGCTTGTAATCCTGGCACTTTGGGAAACCGAGGTGGGAGGACTGCTTGAGCCTAGGAGTTTAAGACCAGCCTGGGCAACATAGTGAGACCCCATTCCTACAAAAAATTAAAAAACTGGCCAGGCGTGGTGACGTGTGCCTGTAGTCTCAGCTACTACTCTGGAGGCTGAGGTGGAAGGATCACTTGAGCCTGGGAGGTTGAGTCTGCAGTGAGCCGTGATTGCACTGCTGCACTGCAGGCTGGATGACAGACTCAGACCCTGCCTTGGGGCGGCGGGGGGCAGTGGGGAGAACTAAGAAGAAAAATGAAGCAGGGTAAGAGGGATGGAGAGAGGGAATCCAAGGTCAGGACTTGCTAGTCTATATAGGGTGGTCTGGGAAGGCATTTCCACCACAGTGATCTGCGGGAAGAGCACTACAGAACATAAGACCCAAAGCAAAGAGTACATGACATGTTTCAGGAAGTGAGGACTGATGCTGGAAGGGAATGAGTGAAGAAGGGGCAAGTGATGAAAGATGAGGTCAGAGGTTAGGTGGACAGAGACCAGATCAAGTGCGGTCTTAGAGAACACTCTAAGGACTCTGAATTTTACTCTGCTAAGAAGTTACCAGAGGGCTTTAAGTAGGAGTGATAGGAGACCAGTTAAGAGGCTGCTGCAAAAATCTACATGAGAAATGATGATGTATGGTCCAGGCCAGCAAGAGACGAGGCGGTACAAGCATTTAGATCTGGACATAGGTTTTTTTTGTTGTTTCTTTTTTTTTTTTTTTGTGATGGAGTCTTGCTCTGTTGCCCAGGCTGGAGAGCAGTGGCATGATCTCGGCTCACTGCAACCTCTGCCTCCCAGGTTCAAGCGATTCTTGTGCCTCAGCTTCCCAAGTAGCTGGGATTACAGGTGTGCACGATGACGCCCAGCTACTTTTTGTATTTTTGGTAGAGACTGGGTTTCACCATGTTGGCTAGGCTGGTCTCAAACTCCTGACTTCAACTGACCCTCCCGCCTCGGCCTCCCAAAGTGCTGGGATTACAGGTGTGAGCCACTACGCCCAGCCAGTTTTTTTTTTTTTTTTTTTTTTTTTGAGACATGGTCTCACTGCATTGCCTAGGCTGGAGTGCAGTGGCTCTTGCTCAATATAGCCTCGACCTCCTGGGCTCAAGCAATCCTTCCACCTCAGCCTCCAGAGTAGCTCAGACCACAGGAATGCACCACCACACCCAGTTAATTTTTTTTTAAAGAGATGGGGTCTCTCACTATGTTGCCCAGGCTGGTCTTGAACTCCTGCGCTCAAGTGATCCTCCCAAAGTGCTGGGATGACTGGTATAAGCCCCCACACCCAACCTGGATGCAGCTTTTTTTTTTTTTTTGAGATGAAGTCTTGCTCTGTCACCCAGGCTGGAGTGCAATGGTGCAATCTCAGCTCACTGCAACCTCTGCCTCCCAGGTTCAAGCGATTCTCCTGCCTCAGCCTCCCGAGTAGCTGGGGATTACAGGCGCATGCCACCACGCCCAGCTAATTTTTGTATGTTTAGTAGAGGCAGGGTTTCACTGTGTTGGCCAGGCTGGTCTTGAACTCCTGACCTCAGGTGATCCACCTGCCTCGGCCTCCCAAAGTGCTGGGATTACAGGCGTGAACCACCGCACCCAGGCAGCTTTTTCTTTTTGAGACAGTCCTGCTCTGTTGCCCAGGCTGGAGTGCAGTGACACACTCATCTTTCACTGCAGCCTTTACCTCCCAAGGCTCAAGTGATCCTCCCACCTCAGCCTCCCCAGGAGCTGGGATTACAGGCACGCACCACCATGCTCGACTAATTTTTGTACTTTTTTTTTTTTGTAAGAGATGGGGTATCCCTATGTTACCCAGACTGGTCTCAAACTTCCAGGCTCAAGCAATCTGCCCACCTTGGCCTCCCACCCAAAGTGCTGGGGTTACAGGCATGAGGCACTGTGCCCGGCCAGGACACAGTGTTTAATTGTCAAAGGATGTACTAGTACATTACATGTGGGGTCACAAAAAGACATTTACTTTTTAGAGACAGGGTCTCACTCTGTCGCCCAGGCTGGAGTACTGTGGCACAATCACAGCTCACTTGCAGCCTTGAACTCCTGGGCTCACATGATCCTACCATCTCGGTCTCCCAAAGTGCTGGGATTACAGGTGTGAGCCACTGCAACCAGCCAGAAAAAAAAAAACAGAGGTGGCAAGGATGATCTTAAGGTCTTTAGTCTGAGCAATTAGAAGGACAGAGTTGCTAAACGTCTCCTGAGTCTCACTTTCCTCATCTGTGAAGTGGGAATAAAAAGAGCATCTGCTGGGCCAGGCGCGGTGGCTAACATCTGTAATCCCAGCACTTTGGGAGGCCGAAGTGGGCAGATCACCTGAGGTCAGGAGTTCGAGACCAACCCGACCAACATGAAGAAACCCCATCTCTAGTAAAAATACAAAAAATTAGCCAGGCGTGGTGGTGCATGGCTGTAATCCCAGCTACTTGGGAGGCTGAGGCAGGAGAATCGCTTGAACCCAGGAGGCATAGGTTGCGGTGAGCTGAGATCGTGCACTGCACTCCAGCCTGGGCAACGAGAGAAACTCTTTCTCAAAAAAAGAAAAAAAAAAAAAAAAAAGCATCTGCTCAGCAGATCACTTGGGCTAGAACAGGTGAGACACTCAGTAAATGCAGTAAATGGTGACTATTCCAGTACTATTACTTATCTCTGAATTATCAAGAGCCTAAATAAATTAGTTTAAGTGAAAAGCAGAGCAAAAACCATACAGAGCCCTATCTCTATCAGATCATTTATCTAGATGGCTCCTGGCTACTGTGGGACTTAATTTCCTCTGAGAAGCTTGCAACTCCATTCTAAGGCAAAGAAAAAGGCAACTTTGAGTGGCTGGAATGTATGTCTTGAGAGTAAGGTGGTTACCACTAGTTTGGAGAATAATTACAAAGTGGCCTGTAAACAAGGCCTGTCATGGAGGAATCATCTAGGTTTACTAACAGCACATCAAACTGAGATGGAGAAGTCCCATGCCATATATGACAGATCTACCAAGCTGGCTTTACAAAATTCATCTATGAAGACCCACAATCCTCCCCTCCCCACACCTAGGGCTTTGCCAGTCTAAAGGTTCAGCCAAGAAAAAAAAGGTGCCACACTAGGACTGTCCTTGATTCTGGGAACATCCTTCAGGAAGACATCCCAGGCTATTAGCCATGTGAAGTTGGCCACTTGCCCCTGGTAACTACCACAAATAGCCCTTGTTGAAAATTCAGCTAACTCCTGATTATCCACTCAGTTCCGGAAAGGCACAGATAAACCCTCAGAGTGAGTAATTACCAATATCTGGCTTTGGAATGCAATCTTCTGAAATAAAAAAAAAAACTTACATCTTACCTCTGTGTAGGAGGTTTTTTTGGTTTTTTTGTTTTGTTTTGAGATGGAGTCTTGCTCTTGTCACCCAGGCTGGAGTGCAGTGGCACGATCTCAGCTCACTGCAACCTCCGCCTCCCCGGTTCGAGCAATTCTCCTGCCTCAGCCTCCTGAGTAGCTGGGACTACAGGCACACGCCACCATGCCTGGCTAATTTTTTTGTATTTTTAGTAGAGACGAGGTTTCACTATGCTGGCCAGATTGGTCTTAAAACTCCTGACCTCATGATCCGCCCGCCTCGGCCTTCCAAAGTGCTAGGATTACAGGTGTGAACCCCCGCGCCCAGCAGGACTTTTTCAATTCATGAACTGTACTGCCCCATACTCAACAGCAATTTGACGCTCTAAACAACCTCAGCACCGGGATTAGCCCCATTCTGTGAATAAGGAAAACAGGTTAGACAAACAATCTAAGGTCACAAAGTGAGAGCAGAGAGAAGTACCCTGCCCATGTTCTAATTTAAATCCCATCACCTTCTCCCTTCACATTGATGTGCTGTTTCCCATGTTTTCACCAGCGAGGTACCAAAACTTACTTCCTTTCTTGAATCCCAGGCAAGGTAAGGCCATCCTCTCTCCTGGCCACTCCCTTAGATCACTCTGGACCAGCCAGGGAGGTTTTTGAGTCTGGACTGAGGCACCTGCTGAACCTCCAGTGGCCCCAACACCCTAATTACTCCCTTTGAGCTGTCTTGGGTTTTGCAAACAGGGGAACTCCCATCTGCCAAGCTCTCCATCTTAAAGAGGTTTTGTAGTTTCAGGCCGGCTGCTCCTCCTCCTCCTCCCACCCTGCCCACCTCCCAGAAAAGAGAATGGGTGCTCAGTAACAGCTATTAAGATTGCTTACTCCAGTTCAGGTCCCACTATAGACAGTGGGTGGGTCAGCAGAAAGACCCCGACCCTCAGGAGGTTCAGAGTTCAAGAAAGCTTGTGACTACCCTCTACCTCCCAAAGGGCCAAAAACCACTTCCTAAAAACCTTCCCCTACCTGGCAGGCACTCACTTCCGGGTTAGTATGAAACTCAAACTACCTGTGCAAAAGGAAAGGGGCCAGGCCAGCTGAAGGCTCCCGATGAAAGCTGCCTCCCACTCTCCCCTTCAAAGGGTGTCCTAATTGTGACCTTTCCTTAGAAGAAGAGAAAGTGATTCACACTATATTGCTTCTTGGCCTTTTGGCTAAGATCAAGTGCACAATAGGAAAAAGCCTTAAGTCTTATGTAATAGACTAACCTAACAGTTCTTAGGTGGGGGTGCACAATATATCCAGTTACACAGTTAAAAACAATCATAATACCATTATCACCCCTGACAAAATAAGATAATTTCTTAACTTAGTCAATTTCCTCAGTTGTCATCAAAATGTCTTTGGACATTTGGTCAAGAATCAAGATCCAAACAAGATCCACAACAATGCACGACTGATGTCTCAACTTTCTTCATCTGTAACAGTTCTTCCCTTTAAAAAATGCCATTTATTTATTGGAAATAGTGTGTCTTGTAGAATTTCTCACATTTAGAAACTGAATAACTGCCTACCTCATGGCTAATTAGTCTGTTCCTGTAGCCCCATTTCCCTATAAACTGGCAGTTGGATCTATGGTTCTGTTAGATTTAGGTTCAGTTTTTATTTGGTGGAGGAAATTTTCAGGCAGTGCTGTGTGCTTTCAGACACTGTAAGGCACATAATGTCTGGCTGCTCCATTATACACCCCCAAGCCATCGACTTAGGCTCCTGAAGCCAGAAGAGTTTCTCCAGCCTCCAGAGAGCTTGGATTCCTAATCACAACGCAAATACAAAGCTACACATATATAAAGCTCTACTTTGGTTTCTTTCTTTTGTGGGGAGGGAGTTTTAGAAAAAAATTTTTGATACTAGAAAAATTTTAAGACATTTAGACCTAGTCTAATACCCTGATTTTACAGACGAAGAAACAGGCACAGAGAAAGCAAAGCGTTTGCCGGTGTCCACATTGCTGGTCATGAGCAGGATCAGAAGTAGCTCCTAGGGCCGGGCGCGGTGGCTCACGCCTGTAATCCCAACCCAAAACTTTGGGAGGCCAAGGCAGGTGGATCACCTGAGGTCGGGAGTTTGAGACCAGCCTGACCAACATGGAGAAACCCCGTTCTACTAAAAATACAAAATTAGCCGGGCATGGTGGCACATGCCTGTAATCCCAGCTACTCTCAAGGCTGAGGCAGGAGAATCGCTTGAACCCGGGAGGTGGAGGTTGCAGTGGGCCGAGATCACACCACTGCACTCCAATCTGGGCGACAGAGCCAGACTGTCTCCAAAAAAACAAACAAACAAACAAACAAACAAACAAACAAACTTAGCCCAGCCTATCTTAAATGCACTCAGAACACTTATATTAGCCTACGGATGGCCATAGCATCTAACATAAAGCCTATTTTAAGCGTTTAATGTCTCATGTAATTAATTTATTGAATACTGTACTGAAAGTGAAAAACCATGGTTGTATGGGTACCTGAAGTACAGTTTCCAATAAATGTGTATCACTTTCCCAACAACATAAAGTCAAAAAATCATAAATTGAACCATCATAAGTTGGGGACTATCTGTACTCTCAAGTCTCACGGCACTACATGTGCACCAGCCACAGCAAACTTTCAGTCCAGTTAGGCTGGCTTTTCCTCATATCCCTGAGAGCACACGTGCAACTCCCCCCAAAGAAAATCTTTACAAAAGGCAAACTAAAAAGTTAAAACTTATTTTTTTAAAATTCATCTCACCACATTCCAAAGCAAAAAATAGCTAATTCTTAAGAGTCAGCAACCTTTAAATTATCCATCCATGCCCTTCATGTCTGTGGATAAGCAAAAGTCAAGTTTTAAGGAGACAGATCCCATACATTTCACGGAGTACTTATATAACACAAGAAAAGGAAAGATCTGCATTCACCAACCCCATCATATTACAGGTAGAGAAAACCAGAGACCCAGGGAAAAGTCCCACCAAGACCCAGAGTAAGTAACAATGTCTACCTGCCAGGCACTGGGCTAAATACACTTATCATAACAATGAATGCTGGTAATACCCCCATGAGGCAGGTGAATCATAAATACCTATTACACAAATTAAGAAGGTGAGGCATAGAATGGTTAAATAACTTGCCCAAGGAAGCACAGCTAACAAGTGGTACAGTGGCATTTGAACCCACTCAGTTTGACCCCAGAATATTCGCTATGTATCATCTCTTAACTTAGACGTCTTGGATCTTATACTTAAAAGGGGTATGGCTAGGATAAGACAAAAATTTTAAACATTTAAAAATACTCTGGGGAGGGAGGGAGATCTAAAAAACCAAAATGCAAATCCCAAGACTTAAAACTACAAATGTAAGACTTGGACGCTTAAACCAGAATACAGAACCCCACAAGAAAGTAGAGATATCACGAAACATATTTTATTACTAGTTACTGCATGTGTCCCTTAAAGAACTAAAACACCAACATTTGAGCCAAAAGTAAGGCTAAAAATAGGCATTTACAGCAAGCTTTGGAAAGCTTTTAGTTTGCTTATGAGGTACTCATTTCTGTAGACTCCCAAAAACATGTGCATCACAGAACACAAAAATTCCCAAGACCACACAGCCACTCCACTAGTGTCACGTTTAAATTTGTCGAAGCTGTAAATAAAACCAGGGCTGGAAAAGCACTTCAGAGATCCACGTAGGCTCCAGAGAAAGGGTCATCATCTAGCCTTACCAGACTGACAACCCAATCATAGAATTCTCTCTCAAAATGCACACAAACCCTAACAACAGGCTTAGAGAGAGAAGCTACTGGATTAACTTGAGTTAGGCTGTCAAAACCTATTCCAAAGGTTCTAAACCAACAAGTAGACACTCTCTTGCCTTAAGATTCCAAAAAACAATAACAGAGCAAATCTACCCTTACTCAGAATTTTGCTTTGGGCACTTAAAGCAAGTCAGCTTCTCCACTCAGAGGAAAAGGTGAGATGCCAGCCAAGCTGTCTTCTTCCCACGATCAATAACCCCAGTGACGCACACTATCAAGGGCTCCTGGACTTACACAAAATGCCAGCTCAGGCACCCAATACCACCTGATGTCACGGTTGATTTAAAACCCACAAGGTAGGTTCACCATTAGCCAAGCCAGGATGAGTAGCCCCATTTAAAAGGAGTGCTCTCTCCCGGGGATGATTATACCCTTTTGAGTTTAAAGAGGGGAGAAGGACCAAAGAGTGTTTTAAAGTTGTTTTCCTTCACTCTGTGGGTGGATAGGAGGGACTGAAAGAAAACGGAGGTTTCAGCACTGTCTTTTGCATAAAAGGGCTCTGGAAGGGAAAGGGGGGAAGGGGAGGAGGGGGGAAGGGGAGGAAGGGGGAAGGGGAGGAGGGGGGAAGGGGAGCAGGGGGGAAGGGGAGCAGGGGGGAAGGGGAGCAGGGGGGAAGGGGAGCAGGGGGGAAGGGGAGCAGGGGGGAAGGAAGAGAACACAGTATGAAGGACTGTTAGTAAACCCCAAATGTCCCCTCCTCCAAATGAAGCAACCTGAAAAGAAATAAAAATTGCAACATGCTGTTTTCAGGACTGGCTATTCTGGCTTCCCTAGGACTAGCAGTGCTTCTACTCCTTTGACGGTGAAGACATTAAGCTCCCCCTTTATTTTTGATGGTTTAAACCAGTTAGCCTCAACCAGCTACGGCAGGTGAGTTTTTTAAAAGCACCAGGGCTACGACCAGAGGCCATCATTCCAACTGCAAGACAATTTTAAAACCGACCCACCACAAACGGACCCAAAACCAAAGAATGGAGACCCGCCCTATACGCCGGCCGAGAGAGGAGAGTGGGCGCGCCCCCCCCACCCAAGCCGACGATCTATTCTCGGCAAAGGCAATGCAAGAGCAGACTCCATATTCTGCACCGCCTCTCCCCCCACGCTGACACGGCTCTGCTGGGATTTCCTGCACCCCTTACCTCCCCCCGGAAAGGGGCACGGTCCAAAAGGACCAAAACGCGGAGGAGGGAGAGGGAGGACTCGCGGAGCGCCGGTCGGCAGTCACATGCCGCTCCCCGCGCGGGGAGGCACCACGTTGTCCCGGCTGCAGAGGAATGCTGGGAAGGGGGGACGCGCACACACCCGCGCCGCGCACACGCACACTCGGGCCGCGCCGCGGGCCCGCACCCTCCTGCCACCCCCAGCGCCGCGGCCCGCACCGAACGCCGAGGCCGAGCGGCCCGCGGGCCGCCGGCGCGGCGCATGGCGCCCAACTGTCACCCGCCCGCCCAGGCCGGCCACTCCCTCCCCCGCCGCCACACGCCCCTCAAGTCGCCGCAGGCCCCTCACCCGCCTCACATTTTCCGCCAACCTCCTAACTGGCTCCCCCAGCACACTCGCCATCGGGCTCCTTCTTAAGGCGGAAGGTGCCCGGGATCGGGGAGGGAAACCACCGAATTCGATGACACGATGGGTTTCTTCTCCCCACAACTGACCCCTCAACCCGTCTCCAAATGGCGATTCTAAAGCCCAATTTCATCTCCCCGAGAACAAAACTTGTTAACTTTTAATCCCCGCATCCGTGCGGCCAGCATGTACTCCGCGCCGGGCACTGGGTTGCCCGTGACATATGCTCATTAAACATTTACAACATGGGGACGCTCGCAACGCTACCAAAACGGGGAGCGCCGGGCGGGGTGGGAAGAGGGGCTTCCAGAGGAAGGTTCAAACCAGAAACCGTCTCTTACACCAGCATGCGGTGGGGATCGTTTCACTGAAACCAGCGCCCACCCTCTGCCGACGAGGTAGGCCCGAACCACACCGTTGCCCACTAACCGCTGCGGCCCAGGCGGTGGCCGTAGCCTCCCGGAGGCCGGGCCCTCGGGCAGGGGCAGGTCCCTGAGTGTACGGTGGGGGGGAGGGCGCGGCGACCAGGATCAACCAGGAGGCAATTTTAAAAAGTCCCGAGTCACCATGACCGGTAGCAGACCCCGGGGCCCTGGAGGTGCTGGGGGAGGGGACTCCCATGTCCCCGGAAGAGGCCCCCGGACCCAGGAGGGCAAGGAGGGAGACCCACCTGGGGGGGACTGTCCGTTCACGGTGGTCAGGACCGGCGGCAATGCGTTCTTAGTCCACGGGTTCACCTTGGGCGGGGGGGCTTCCACGAAGTCCCGGCGCCCCGCGCCCGCGGCTCCGGCAGCTCCTCCGCCAGCGCCTGGCTCGCCGCCGCCCTCCTCCCCGTCGCTGATGGCCGGGCCTTCGGCGCCGGGCAGCTGCAGCGGCCGCGGGCTCTCGCGCTCCTGCTGCCCGGTGCCCTCCTTGTGCGGCTTGGCGCAGGGCGGCCGGGGTCTCCGAGCGCTGCCGTCCGGCTCCCCCCCGCGGACGTCGTTTGGCCCGGGCTCGCCCTTGCCCTCGGGCGCCGGCGGCGGCTTCTTCCTCACCAGCCCCCCGTGCTCTTCGGCCTGCAAGAGCGTGGCGCCCCCAGGCAGCAGCGGCTCCACCTGAGTGGCCATCTGCGCGCCCGCCCCCCCGGAGAAGCCGGGCGCGCCCGAGGCTGCCTCCCCCGCCTCGAACTTGGCTAGCAGAGCGCCCGCGACGCCTTCCTCCGGGGCGCTGGGCCCCAGTCCCTGCAGAGAAGGGTCGGGGTTCACGCGAGGTGCGGCCCCCTCCCAGTTAGATGCAGCCGCCGTAAATCCGAGGCCCACTAGCGGGGCGGGGGGGGAGGAAGGCCCCCCACTCTGCAGTCCAGGCCTCCTAGGCGTGCGTCCCCCCCCGCCCGTTCCTCGCAAGACGCCCCCACCCCGAGCCCGGCAGGCTTCTAGTCCCGTCCCTCCCTCCCCCCCGCCCCCGGGGCGGCCCGGGCTTCCCGGCTCGGGGGCTGCAGCAATATGGACGGACGGGGGAGAGGCGCGGCGAGCCAAGCAGACCACGCGATCCGCGGCAGGCGGCGGGCGGGCGCGCGCCTCACGACGCGGCGGGCGAGGGGAGGGGACGGCGCAGCGGGGGCGCGCCGCTGGCCGGGCCCTGGGCGACGGGCGGGCAGGAGGCGGCGGGACGGCGCGCGCACGGCTACGCGGTCCTGCCCCTCGCCCCGCCCCTCGTCTCCGATTCCTCAGAGCACCTCCCGGGCTGGGGGTAGGGACGCTCAGACCGGACGGGGGCGAGCACGTGCCTGATGCAATTCGGGAGTTGTCGGTGGGGGCGCTGACGGGGATAGGAGAGAAGGCTGGGCGAGGAGGGGAGGTATCTTAAAGGGCCAGCGCGTGAGAGCGGCCTCAGGTGGAGCACATGGGACCCGGCCACGCGGCCTGCCGGGCCTGCTCGTGCTCTTTAGGCTGGGTGTCAGATTCAGGGGAAGGAGCCATTAGTGTCATTCCTGACTTCTAGGAGGCCGAAGGGAGGACCCTCATCCGCCCCGAGGACGCGCCAACGCCGCCCCCTCCCCTGTGCCCGGCGGGCCTGGCCCCTTCGGTCCCCGCCCGGGTGACCTTGGTTGGGTGAGCCGTCCGCACCTCAGTGGGTTGTGCTCCGCGCCTCGCCGCCGCTGGGCCTGGCCTCGACACTACCCGGAGATGGGTTCAACTCCGGGCCTGGAAAGCGAGTCTTTAGCCCTTGCGGGCAGCCGGCGCCTAGGAAGTGGGAACGGAATTACTAAAGCCCTCACCCAGGCCAGGCCCTTCTCCCCGCCGCGAAACCTTGTATTTATGGGCAGGAAATGTCTTTTCTTTCAAGTGGATGTCGTTTTTTTTCTAAAGAATTGCTTTGGGCGGAGTTGAACCGTCCCTGGATTGGGACTTCTGAGATCTGAGATTTTATCCTGGCCCTGCCCCCTTACCATCTCTGCAGCAGTGACTTCCAGCTTCGTGGGCCTCAGTTTCTCTATTGTAAAATGAAGGAGCAGTGTATGACAGCAGTTTCAAACTTCAGTGTACATTCGATTCAATACTTACTGACCTCGTACTGTGGGGGCCTTGCAGGGTTCTAGGAAACGGGTTTGGTATAAACTAGGCTAACAAAGTCCCTATCCTCATGGAATTTATTCTAAGGTGGGGAAAGAGACAATAAACAAGTAATAAATTATTGTCTAGTATCTATGAAGACAATAGTTAAACTGTGGTAATCAGTTAGACTAGATGGGCTACTTTTGTTTGGGTGATAAGGGAAGACTTCTTTGAACGCAGATGCCAAAGTATTAGGAATCAGGCTCGGTCTGGGACTGGACCCAGAAATCTGCGTGTCTAGCAAGATCCCTTTGGTGCTTATGACTTCACTTGGAGAAGTCCTGGCTTCTGACTGGCTGTGATCCCACGTGCTCACATAACATAACAGCCTGGAATGTTGGCCATCTCCAAAACAAGAATTAGAGCACACGACCTGCTGGATCTAGGAGAAGACTGAATGAAAAGCCTCTTGGAACTGCCCCAGCCAGCAAAGCTGAGCTGTAGGATTGTTGTAACCAGTATGGGGGAGAAGTACTGGTAGGGATAGCCAGGTAATGCCATGTCTACTTCCAACTCTTGGGTTATTCAGCCTCCAAGCCTTGGCCAGCTAGCCGCACTTCCCTGGACCCCTCTCCTGGTGGAAAAATGGGGGTAAATAATGCCTGACTTGCTTCCACCCTCTGAGCTCATGTGAAGGTCAAGTGAGACAATGTTAGTCAAGGTGCTGTGTAAATTTTATAGACAAGCCAGTACGTCAAAAGAGCTACCAAGGAAGGTAATGTTACTCAATGAATTAAACCAGGAATCTACTAAGTTCATTACATGTACTCTTAATCAGAAGGTAAATTATTGCACATTGCCACTGAAATGCACTATTTATTTATTTGAAGAGATGAGGTCTGTCACCCAGGCTGGAGTGCAGTCATTGTGATCATGGCTCACTGCAGCTTCAAACTCCTGGGCTCAAGCCATCCTCCTACCTCAGCCTTCGAAGTAGCTAGGACCACTGGCACGTGCCACCATGCACAGCTTTATTTTTACAAATTTATTGATAAGTAATCCCTGAAGAGATTATTCACTCTAGACCCTCTCTAAACTTTGTTAATAGGGGACATAATTATTATTGTTAGTTGTTCTTTTTGTAATTGGAGGTAGAGAAGTACCCTCCCCTGACCCCTGAGAACTCGTGAGGGTACGAGGGCACTGTGTGGACAAGAAACTCGTTCATGCTACTCAGCAGTCAGAAACAGGGTTGAACAAGCATGGCCAGGCCCTGCTGTGTAGAGGGTGGAGGGGTACTGAGATCTGCCTACCCTGGGCCTGCTCTGCCCCAGAGAGAGACAAACTAGGGCCAGAGAAAGTAAGAGACCTGTGTGAAACAACATCTTTTTTTTTTTGACTCTTACTCTGTCGCCCAGGCTGGAGTGCAGTGGTGGGATCTCAGCTCACTGCAACCTCCGCCTCCCGGGTTCAAGCAATTCTTCTGCCTCAGCCTCCTGAGTAGCTGGAATTACAGGCGCCCGCCACCATGCCCAGCTAATTTTTGTATTTTTAGTAGTGATGGGGTTTCACCATAATGGCCAGGCTAGTCTCAAACTCCTGACCTCAGGTGATCTGCCCACCTCAGCTTCCCAAAGTGCTGGGATTACAAGTGTTAGCCACCATGCCCGGCCGAGACAACATCTTAGGCTTAGAAGCTGTTAGAACTGGAAAAAGGAATCATAATGATTACTCATTCTCCTTGTTTTGCAGATGAAGAAACCAAAGTTCAGAAAAGTGAAGTCCAAGGCCGGGCACAGTGGCTCAAACCTGTAATCCCGGCACTTTGGGAGGCTGAGGCAGGCAGATCACCTGAGGTCATGAGTTCAAGACCAGCCTGGCCAACATGGCGAAACACTGTCTGTACTAAAAATACAAAAATTAGCTGGGCATGGTGGCGCACACCTGTAATCCAAGCTACTCAGGAGGCTGAGGCATGAAAATTGCTTGAACCCAGGTGGCGGAGGTTGCAGTAAGCCGAGATCACCCCACTGCACTCCATCCTAGGTGACAGAGCAAAACTCCATCTCAAAAAAAGAAAAGAAAAGAAAAAGGAAGAAAAAGAAAAGTAAAGTTCCTTATCCAAAGTCACACAGCAGAGCCAGACAGAGCTAGGTCTCATACCTGAATCTCTTTATCCTAAATCCAGTAGTTTTTTCTACATTAAAATAATGAAACTGGGGCTGGGCATAGTGACTCACACCTGTAATCCTAACACTTTGAAAGGCCAAAGCAGGAGGATCACTTGAACCTAGGAGTTAGAGATCAGCCTGGACAACACAGTGAGACCCTGTCTCTATTTTTTTTAAGTTTTAATAAAAAAATGATGGAATTGGGATTTGAATTCAGGTTTTTTTGATTCCTAACCAACTATGGTATTTTATATGCATATATTTCTAAATACAGTCATCCTCCCTTATCCCAGTGCATGCCTGAAACCCCAAATAGTACCAAACTCTATATATACTATGTTTTTCCTATATATACTTACCTATAATAAAGTTTAATATATAAATTAGGCACAGTAAGAGATAAACAACAATAAATAATAAAATAGAACAATTATAACCATAGACAGTAATAAAATTTATGTGACTGTGCTCTTTCTCTCTCAAAACATCTTATTGTATGTAATATTTTCTGACCACAGTTGGCCACAGGTAACTGAAACATCAGGAAGCAAAACCACAGATAAGAGGGGACTAGTAATGACCAAATAGTCAGTAATGACCATTTAGTAATGACCAAATAGTCAGGAGTAATGACCAAATAGTCAGGAGTAGCTACTTTTATTGGGTAACTAGTGTACGCTAGGTTCTATGGGAAATACTTGATATTCATTATCTCATTTAATCTTCATAATAACCCAGTGGGATAGTTATTATTTCCTTAAATGTCTACTGAGCCCCTACTATGTGCCAGGCACTACAGGCTAGGTCCTGGAATGGTTATTGTCTTCAAATTACAAAGGAAGGCAATTGAAATTCAGAAAAGAAAGTAAGGTGGGTACTCAGCATCATAGGCAGCAGCTAACTATCAGAGTGGGGTTTTTCAGGGTGTTCTATATCGCCAGGCCTTATTCTTACTCACTGCACCACTCTGTACAGCCTACTTCTCTTCCCTCCATTGCCATATCCATAAGTATTTATGGAGAATCCCTCAAATACTTAGGCCTCAGGAAGATACCAAACAAGTTGAATCCTATCTTTCTAAAGGGTAAACTCTAATTAGAGGAACCAAATAATTGAGCAATATTTAACCTGTGGCCAAAAAAAAAGAGAGGCCAAAAAAAGAGACAAAATATGCTTTAGGCAGAAAGTGACAAGGATCAGGCTAACTTGTGCCTAGAGTTTAAACACATCATGTGCTTAAACACTAGGCCAGGTGCTATGGCTCACACCTGTAATCCCGGCACTTTGGGAGGCCAAGGTGGGAGAATTGCTTGAGCCCGGGAATTTGAGACCCACCTGGGCAACACAGTGAGACCCTGTCTCTACAAATAAATAAATAAATAAATTAGCCAGGTGTGGTGGCACATTCCTGTAGTCCCAGCTACTCAGGAGGCTGAGGTGGAAGGATTGCTTGAGCCTGGGAGGTGGAGGCTGCAGTGAGCTGTGATTGCATCACTGCACCCTAGCCTGGGCAACAAAGTGAGACGAGACCTTGTCTCAAAAAATAAAACTCACCAAATTAATAAAATGGGTCCAAATACCTATTTGGGCTGGGCATGGTGGCTCACACCTGTAATCCCAACACTTTGGGAGGCCGAGGCATGTGGACCTCTTGAGCCCAGGAGTTCAAGATCAGTCTGGGCAACATGACAAAACACCATCTCTACAAAATAATACAAAGCATTATCCGGGCATGGTGGCACACACCTGTAGTCCCAGCTGCTGGGGAGGTTGAGGTGGGAAGATCACCTGAGAGTGGGAAGTTGAGACTGCAGTGAGCCATGATTGCACCACTGCACCCCAGCCTGGGGAACAGAGTGAGACCCTCACCTGAGAGTGGGAAGTTGAGACTGCAGTGAGCCATGATTGCACCACTGCACCCCAGCCTGGGGAATAGAGTGAGACCCCGTCTCAAAAACAAAACAAAACAAAACAAAAACCTATTTGTAATTAATTATGTGCTTGTTTGCTCCTTGTGCTGACAACTTCCTAAAGAGAGACACAGCAGGCTGCATGAGAGACTAGAGAGCTGGGAGAATTGGTTTATAACCTGGGTCCCATCTCCGAGTTTGCTGAATGACTTTGGGCAGCCTCCTGAGCCTTCCATCCATGAAACAGGAAGCATACCTGCCCATCTGGCTTACAGGCAGGAAGAAAATACAAAGTTTACATGAAATTTTATTCTATTGGAGGGGGAGCAGTGAATAGGTAAAGGAAGGAGGAATGGTTCCTTGAGTTATCTGTGCTTATTATGAAGGAAAATTTAATATGCCTGGATATGTGCTAGTTTTATTCCTCCTTGGATTGGGTTTTCCAAAGAGCCTTGTGTTCCTGGAAGAGCTTGCACTAATCACTTACTTCTGCTATGGGGCCCCTTGGGTATGAAGACTCTTATACTGACACAAAGTGAGTGGGGTTAGCAAAGGGAGGGGCCTTGGCCAAAAAAAACAGTGCCAGCTGAGGAGTGTTTTTCAAGACCCTGAAGACTCTTGGGCCTTCTGGCACATGTCACGTAATTATTTCAGTTCTTGGGAAGAGGCTCAGCCAGGATCTCCTCCTGTGAAGGAGATGTAAATGGCAATAGCTAACATACAAGGAGGAGGTGGGGTGGGGACTGACTGTTTCCACAATTCCTCGTTTAACCCCCAGGCCGATCCTTTTCCATGACTATCCCCACTTTACAGATGAGAAAGGAGGCTCAGAGGAAGAGGGGTGGTCAAGGAGGAGGACGGTTTGCAGTGAAGAAGGTCTGATAAATAACTTTTAACACACTCACCCCTCTGAGTCGGAAACAAGCACCATCCCAGCCTCTTCTCATCAGTTCTACCTATGCAGCCTCTTCTCCCATCCCCACTACCCTCCCTGGAGTTTTGTACTTCCCAAGTTGTCCCGTGATGGGCTTCCTCACTAACTGTACTCCCACTGTGATCCAGTCTACCACACTTGCCTGTGTCAGCTCTCTGGCTCTATGATGGACTCAGGCCCTGCCTCTACTTTGAATCTCCACATTCACACCCAGCACAGCCTGACCCTAACTAACCTTCCTGTCTTACTGCCTTCCAGCACAGACCCTACACTCCAGCAACAGTGGACCAATCACTTCTTTAACTCAGTAAATATGTATTGAGCATCTGCAATGCACCAGATACTGCTAGGCCCTAGACATAGAAAAGTGAGCAAAACAGACATGTTCCCTACTTCCCAGAAGTTTCCCATGTAAACCCCTGTGGGCCCCATGTTTTCCTGCCTCCATTCATATAACATAGCTATTAATAGTGAGGTCATGACTGTGAATCCTGGCTCAACTATCTTGTGACTTTAGGAAAATATTTAACTTCTCTCTAAGCCTCAGTTTCCCCATCTGTAAATTGGAGATGATAATTCTACTTATCTCATAGAGCTTCAGTGAGCCTTAAGTGAGATGTATATAATAGCACAATGACATGTATAGCAGAGTATATGCTAAGTAATATTCCCTTTCATTACTTTTATTATTACCGATAATGCCTTTCCACTTCCACTTGTCCTGAATTCTACTTGTCCTTCAAGGCTCAGCACCAAATGTCAACTTCTTCACAAAATCTTATTTAATCTCCATAGTTAAAGTAGATTTCTCTGAACTCTTATCTCCTAGTGGCAGTTTTCCTAAAACATATATTTTTCATTTTCTCTACTCAGTTATGGTTACTTATGAGAATGCCTTATTCATAAGTAACCATAAGGCAGGGATTATACCTTATTCATCTTAGTGTTCCTTGGAGTACTTATCAATGGTGACTTAAACAGAACAAGCCCTCAGTCTTTTCTGAACAAAGGAATAAATGAGTGAATACAGGATCACTTCTGATTGCAGCAATGTTGTGGCAACCAGAGCAACACTGTCAAAGGCCAAGTGCTAAATTATATTTATATATACATCTTTTGAAAATGATAAAATAGGCTAACTTTAGCAAACTGGAAAATTTTTTTAGGCTGAGCACAGTGGCTCACAACTATAATCACAGCACTTTGGGAGGCCAAGGAAGGAGAATCCCTTGAGGCCAGGAGTTCAGGACAAGCGTGGCCAATATACTAAGACCCCGTCTGTAAGAAAAATAAAAAAGAAATTAGCTGGGTGTGGTGCCGCATACCTGTAGGGCAAGACTGAGACAGAAGGATGGCTTGAGCCCAGGAGTTTGAAGTTGCAGTGAGCTATTGATCATGCCATTGCACTCCAACCTGGGTGACAAAGGGAGACACTGTGTCTTTTTTTTTTTGAGATGGAGTCTCACTCTGTCGCCCAGGCTGGAGTGCAGTGGCACAATCTTGGCTCACTGCAGTCTCCGCCTCCCTGGTTCAAGCGATTCTCCTGCCTCAGCCTCCCAAGTAGCTGGGATTACAGGCATGCGTAACCATGCCTGGCTAATTTTTGCTTTTTTTGAGACGGATTTTCGCTTTTGTTGCCCAGGCTGGAGTGCAATGGCACAATCTCGGCTCACTGCCGCAACCTCCGCCTCCCAGGTTCAAGCGATTCTCCTGCCTCAGCCTCCCAAATTACAGGTGCCCGCCACCACATCCGGCTAATTTTATATTTTTAGTAGAGATGGGGTTTAGCCATGTTGGTCAGGCTGGTCTCCAACTCCCGACCTCAGGTGATCCACCCGCCTCAGCCTCCCAAAGTGCTGGGATTACTACAGGCATGAGCCACCGCACCTGGCCTAATTTTTGTATTTTTAGTAGAGACGAGGTTTCGCCATGTTGGCCAGGCTGGTCTCGAACTCCTGACCTCAGGTGATCCACAGCAGCCTTTTTTCTTTTTCTTTTTTTTTTTTTTTGGGACAGAGTCTTGCTCTGTCACCCAGGCTAGAGTGCAATGGCACCATGTCAACTCACTGCAACCTCCGTCTCCCGTGTTCAAATGATTCTCCTGCTTTAGCCTCCCAAGTAGCTGGGATTACAGGTGCCCGCCACCTCACCCGGCTAATGTTTGGTTTTTCTGTTTGCTTGTTTTGAGACAGAGTCTCGCCCTGTCGCCCAGGCTGGAGTGCAGTGGCACGATCTCGGCTCACTGCACCCTCCGCCTCCCGGGTTCAAGCAATTCTCTGCCTCAGCCTCCCGAGCCGCTGAGATTACAGGTGCCCAAATGCCTGGCTAATTTTTGTATTTTTAGTAGAGACGGAGTTTCACCATGTTGGTCAGGCTGGTCTCAACCTCCTGACCTCAAGTGGTCTGCCCACCACAGCTTCCCAAAGTGCTGGGATTACAGGTATGAGCCACCGCATCTGGCCCATTTTTTAATTTCAGTTTTTTAGTAGAGACACTCTATTTTGTCCAGGCTGGACTTGAACTCCTGGCCTTGAGTAATTCTCATACCTTGGCTTCCCAAAGTGCTGGGCTTACAGGCATGAGCCACAGTGCCCAGCCAGTGACCCACTTTCTATTTGGATCACCCTGCATTTTCCAAAGGGCTTTCATGGAGAGAGGATAGACATGATTGTCTTTGGTTGGCAGCTGAAGAACTGAGGCCTATAGAAGTTAAGTGACTTGCTCCAGGGTGCCAGGGCAGCAGAATCAAGATCAGAACCCAGGTCTCACTCCTCCCATTCTAGATCGTGACACCACATCACAAGAGACACAGATAGTATTCATAGAAAATGCAAAAACCACACAGTTGGACAAACTCAGGTAACCATGTTTAAGCATTCCATGGTCAAGAAACATCCAAATTCATGGAGACGAGTGGAAATCAGAAGGCAAAATTGGGGCAAAAGGAAATTTCTTGGCAACATGACCATAACTAGTCACACGGTGAGACTGGCCAAAAGAACCGTCGCTCAGTCAAACACAGGAGCCAAGCTCCAAGACAGAAGGGCCCAGCCCTAGAGACTAGTGTGGAAACAATAAGGGACAAGACATGGTCCCTCCCGCTGGGAACAAAACTCCCTACACTAGCACATTGTTCTCTTCTCAGACCATTTGCCTGTCCTTCACACATGGCACAGAAAAAAGGGGAAAGGGTTTGATGTCAAAAGAGTTGGGTTTAGGCCAGGTGCGGTGGCTCACGCCTGTAATCCAGGCACTCTGGGAGTCCAAGGCGGGTAGATCACGAGGTCAGGAGATTGAGACTATCCTGGCCGGCCAACATGGTGAAACCCTGTCTCTACTAAAAATACAAAAGTTAACTGGGCGTGGTGGCGCGTACCTGTAATCCCAGGTACTCGGAAGGCTAAGGCAAGAGAATCGCTTGAACCAGGGATTCGGAGGTTGCAGTGATCTGAAATCGCACCATTGCACTCCAGCCTGGCAACAGAGTGAGACTTCGTCTCAAGAAAAAAAAAAAAAAAAACAGTTGGGTTTAGGCCCAGCTTTGCCCACTTCCTAGCTGCGTGACCTCAGGCAAGTCACTTTCTTTCTCTGAGTTTCAGTGTCTCCATCTGTAAAATGTCAGAAAGGGAATGGCTGGGTAAAATTCATTATGTCTTTGAGAGGATTAAATGAGCCAATATTTGTGAAAGTGTTCGATAGTCTCAGCTCTGCCACCTACCAGCTCTGTAACCTTGGGCAAATTCCTCTGTGTCTCTCTGCCTCAGTTTTCTTGTGTGTAAAATGGGGATGATAATAGCACCTACCCCTGAGGATTATTGTAGGGATTGAATTAATACACCCAAAGTACTTAGAACAGTGCTTGATATACAGTGAGTACTGAATAAATGTTTGCTATTATCATAAAGGGGGTAGTGGTCACTGGCATAGAGTTAGGAGAAGCATTCTTCAAATCCCACAAAGAAGGTGGAACAAGTGTCACCTCATTTTAAAGATGAGGACACTGAGGCTCAGAAAGATGAGGTGTTTTATCTGAAGTCACACTGCTAGTTGGTGGAAACTCCAGGGCTTCTAAAGATTGCATATCCAAAAGGCCAGGCGCGGTGGCTCACATCTGTAATCCCAGCACTTTGGGAGGCCGAGGCGGGCGGATCACGAGGTCAAGAGATCGAGACCATCCTGGCTAACATGGTGAAACCATGTCTCCATTAAAAATACAGAAATTAGCTGGGTGTGGTGGCATGCCACCTGTAGTCCCAGCTATGCGGGAGGCTGAGGCAGGAAGATCGCTTCAACCCGGGAGGTGGAAGTTGCAGTGAGCAGAGATGGTGCCACTGGACTCCAGTCTGGTGACAGAGCGAGACTCCATCTCAAAAAAAGCGGCCGGGCGCGGTGGCTCACGCCTGTAATCCCAGCACTTTGGGAGGCCGAGGCGGGCGGATCACGAGGTCAGGAGATCGAGACCATCCCGGCTAAAACGGTGAAACCCCGTCTCTACTAAAAATACAAAAAATTAGCCGGGCGTAGTGGCGGGCGCCTGTAGTCCCAGCTACTTGGGAGGCTGAGGCAGGAGAATGGCGTGAACCCGGGAGGCGGAGCTTGCAGTGAGCCGAGATCCCGCCACTGCACTCCAGCCTGGGCGACAGAGCGAGACTCCGTCTCAAAAAAAAAAAAAAAAAAAAAAAAAAAAAAAAAAAAAAATTGCATATCCAATGCCCTTTCCCCTGCAGATAATATTCCAGCTGTTGCAACCTGTCAGTCCTCTGGCCAATTTCAGCCCACAGACACATTTTGTTTGGTCCACACAGTATTTTTTAAATTGAATTTAAATGTGATTAGATGAGCCCAGCAAATACTAGTGAGCCTCAGGCCCCATCCCTCCCCTGGTGTTACTCCCAGCACACTACTCTCATTTAGATACCTGCACAAACTAATGCCATACCAGTCATTAATATATGGTACAGACAAGTTCAGGAGACTAAAGGAGAGGCAGAGAGTGTCATAGGTGAGAGTGGGAGGAATGAGGTAGTCAGGGAAGCCTTCCTGGAGGTACCTGGACTTCAATTAGGACTTAAAACTGGGAAGTAGGATTTGCTGAGATTAAAAAGGAGGGCAGGAGATAGGGCAGATTGTTTTAGCATTTGGTGACCTTCGCATATGTTTATGATCCTCCCCTGCCAAGGCTTCCCCCAGGCCTTTCCTTTGGTAGAGGACAGAAAATGAATGAGCTGCCCTTTATCTCGGTTGCGGTCATGTGACCCAGGAGATCCAGAGTCAATACAAACTGTCATAGTTTGTTGATTAATTGGTCTGTGCCATCATCTCTGAGGACTCAGCACTGTGCAAGGCACTTGGAGAAAGCGGAAATCACTTGAGCCAAAGTATACACTATAGCCCTGGCCGGGTGTGGTGGCCCACGCTTGTAATCCCAGCACTTTGGGAGGCCAAGGCAGGCGATTCACTTGAGGTGGGGAGTTGGAGACCAGCCTGGCCAACATGGTGAAACCCCATCTCTATTAAAAATACAAATATTAACTGAGTGTCATGGCGGGTGCCTGTAATCCCAACTACTTGAAAGGCTGAGGCAGGAGAATCGCTTGAACTCGGGAGGCAGAGGTTGCAGTAAGTCCAGATCGTGCCACTATACTCCAGCCTGGGCAACAGAGCGAGACTCTGTCTCTAAACAAACAAACAAACAAACAAACTATAGGCCAGAAGCAGTGGCTCACTCTTGTAATCCCAGCACTTTGGGAGGCCAAGGCGGGTGGATCACCTGAGGTCAGGAGTTCGAGACCAGCCTGGACAATCTGGTGAAACCCCATCTCTACTAAAAATACAAAAATTAGCTGGGCATGGTGGCGGGCACCTGTAATCCCAGCTACTCGGGAGGCTGAGGCAGGAGAATCGCTTGAACCCGGGAGACAGAGGTTGCAGTGAGCCGAGATCACGACACTGCACTCCAGCCTGGGCAACAAGAGCGAAATTCCATTTCAAAAAAAAATAAATAAATAAGAATAATAAACTATAGCCCTTGCGGTTAATAATAAAAGTAATAATGATAATGACAATAGCTAGCATTTATTACACCATTATGAACCAGGGGCTGTGGATAGCGGATTTTTTTGCTAAGGGTGGGACTTCTCAAGGAGTGTTTCCCAGAATATGAATTAATATACACCAAGATGTAGTCCATCATCAAATCATTTTGGGAAATATTGGGTTAAGCAATGTTAAATGAGTGTTTGGCTGTAGGTCATCTCCAAGACTTTAACATTCATAGTCAATCTCTAAGAAAGGTGTAATGATTTGCAGCATTCCCCAAACTCATGTGACGTGGAACAAGAAACATTGGCTCAGGTTTGTCACACTGCTTCCCTTTCTGCTGGGGCAGTAGCAGGCTGTGAGATGTAGGAAAAGGGCTGCTTTCCAGTTCTGGCTCTATTGCTACTTCCTAGGAGACCAAGAAAAGTTCCTTTTCTTGTTGGGACCTCAATTTTCCTATTTCTGAAAAAGCCTAATATTCTGGAAGTTTCTTCCCATCCTAGAAACTATTTTTTTCTTTTTTCTTTTTTCTTTTTTTTTTTTTTTGAGACAGGGTCTGACTCTGTTGCCCAGGCTGGAGTACAGTGGCATGATCATGGCTCACTGTAGCCTCAACTTCCTTGACTCAAGCAATTATCTCACCTCAGACTCCCGAATAGCTGGAACTACAGGTGCAAGGCACCTCACCCAGCTAATTTTTTGTATATATACATTTTTTTTGAGACAGGGTCTTCCTCTGTTCCAACAACAGTGCAGTGGCATGATCATGGCTCACTGCAACCTCCGCCTCCCAGGTTCAAGAGATTTTCATGCCTCAGCCTCCTGAATACCTGGGATTACAGGCATGTGCCACCATGCCTGACTAATTTTATTTTTAATAGAGATGGGGTTTCGCCATGTTGGCCAGGCTGGTCTCGAACCCCTGGCCTCAAGTGATCCACCTGCCTTGGCCTCCCAATGTGCTGGGATTACAGGTGTGAGCCACCATGCCCAGCCACTTTTTTGTATTTTTTGTAGAGAAAGGGTTTCGTCATGTTGCCCAGCCTTGTCTTGTGCCCAGGCCCCAATTCTAGCAATCTTGATAGTTTCTAACGTTTCCTACCTCTATGGAAAAAAGGATGATCACAGGAGTGAAGTGCAGAAAAGCTGTGGCAAGTTGATGGGGCTGCCTAACTGCCTGTCCCAACAACAGGCATGGATCAGAGAGGTTGGCCAATTTCCACAGTACTTGGATCTTTAGGTCTATTTGAGACATATCTCTAGGTTCATTAGAAGGAACATGAATGGCCTAATTACCTAATGTGAATAAAATACACAGAGACTCCAGATAAAGACAAGGAAAAGCTGGGCTGGGCTCATTTTGCATAGGTATCATTGCCTGGTGTGTTTTTTGTAAACCTCCCAGGAGTCCCTCATTTAGGAAAAGCAGGAAATGTTACAGTATGTCTGCCACTCTCTTAAAAACAAACAAACAAACAACCCTCCATAACTGCCTATTACAAGAATAAACTCTAGACCTCTCACTTTGGCCCACATACCCTCTATGCTCCAGAACCCATTTACCTCCAGATTTTCCCCCCGTTTCTTGCACCTGGCCTTGCTCTGTGCCAGCCCCAGAAACACACGGAAACTCATCCCAGCCTGCGGGCCCCTAGGGCATGGTGTTCCCACTGCATTCCCACTCCCCCCACCCACACACAAACACCCGATACTTTGCATCCTTCAAGCCTCAGCTTAAATGGCCCCTTCTCAGAGGGACCACCCTTGATCAGCCTGGTTGAAATACTCCATGTTCTCCATAGCACAGATCACAACCTCTGATTTTGTGTGTTTATCTGCTTTTTGCCCATTGCCTCCACTAACGTGCAAGCTCCATGACCCTGGAGCACGTGGCTATTTTATTCACCTTTAGTATCCCTCAGTAGGCACTCAGTATGTGTTGAAAGAATGCTGCGTGGCCTCTGACAAGCTGCTTCCCCTCTCTGGGCTTCTGTAGGCCTATGAGTGAAATGAAGCATTTAAAAGAGGTGTTACTGAGAGCCCTTGGCGTTCTGACTGCAGCTCTATGATTAACATCTGGGCCTCAAGCCCAGGAGTGAGCCTGGCGTGTTGCATCTCCACCGCGCTGCACTGAGTGCACTGATTTAATCAAGCAACAAACACCCTGTAATTTAGTGTTCTGCTGTTCCTCTTCCCCAGTCCCTGGACTGGGGACCATGCTGTCAGATTTCCAGGATGATCCATGCACAGCCACCTGTTCTCCCAGCTCACTTGATCCCAGTGCCCCTGAGGAGAGGATGGTGGGCAGGCTGGGAAAACATTTTCAATCTGGAAGCCCAGGGGCAAGGAGGACTTGTCACTGTCCTGACCTGAAAGGCTAGAATCTGCAAGAGATTTCATCAAATCCCCTCATTTCTGGATTAAAAGGGATGCTTGGCCCAGTCCTTTGCCTTAAACCTAACTGTCTTCCAAAGATGCCTCCACCATGATTCCACTTGAAGTGCTCAGAATAGGGGCCCTCAGTGCCTTTCAGAGCTGCTCATCTCACCAATGAATGGCTTTGTTTAGAAAGTTCTTTAATCAGCAGTATGGTGTAACACAAGGCAGTGTAGCATAGGGGTGAAAGGCCTGGGCTTCCGGCCAGGCTGCCTGGGTGGAATTCCAGCTCTGCAGCGGACTTGCTGTGTGAGCTTGAGCAAGCCATAAAACCTCTCTGTGTCTCTGCTTCCTCTAGTGTAAAACAGGGAGAATCCTCATTAGGCTGTTGGGAGAATTACAAACTGTTAATTGATAATGGGAGAGCAATAAATGTAGATTACTGTTAACTGCCACCTACTGAGTGTTGGTGGTGGTAATTTAATCTTTTTTTTTTTTTTTTTTTTGAGACAGAGTTTCACTCTTGTTGCCCAGGCTGGAGTGCAATGGCACGATTTCGGCTCATCGCAACCTCCGCCTCCCAGATTCAAGCGATTCTCCTGCCTCAGCCTCCCCAGTAGCTGGGATTACACGCATGTGCCACCACGCCTGGCTAATTTTGTATTTTTTTAGTAGAGATGGGGTTCCTCTGTGTTGGTCAGGCTGGTCTCGAACCCCTGACCTCAGGTGATCCACCCGCCTCGGCCTCCCAAGGTGCTGGGATTACAGGCATGAGCCACCGCGCCCAGCTATTTTTTTTTTTTTTTTTTTAATGTTTGTGTGTGTGGTGTGTTTTTTCTTGGGACCAGGGCGGGCTTGGCATTTTTAGAGACAAGGTCTCACTATGTTGCCTGGTCTGGTCTCCAACTCCTGGCCTCAGGCTATCCTCCTGCCTCAGCCTCCTGAAGTGCTGGGATTACAGGCATGAGCCACCACACCTTGCTTGCTAGTGGTTTTAAAACCTCTTAGACTCAGGTTCTCTGGAATGGTTTGTTTGCGAAGGAGACAGTGGATCCCAGCCCAAACTCAGGGCTGGAAATTCAGAGGGGTGGCTCACTGTTGACTGTGAGAACATTCACTTTGTCTTTCCGAGTCTTAGAATCCTCATCTGAATAAAGAGAAAGAATATTTCCTGTCCTGCTTCCTGTCATTCAGCCAACGTAGCTGGGTATGGTGGCTCACGCCTGTAATTCCAGCATTTTGAGAGGCTGAGGTAGGAGGATTACTTGAGGCCAGGAGTGTGAGATCAGCCTGGTCAACATAGCAAGACCCTGTGTCTACAAAAAAAAATTTAATGTCTTCATAGAACCAATGAGTAGATCAAATGAGTGATGGACAAGAAAAGAAGGCTTTGAAAAGTGAAAAATACTACATAAATGTGAGGAATTAATCTCATTTTGTTGGAGAAGCCCTTACCGCTTTTAGCAAGGCAAGTCAGCTTCCACACAACAAAAATAGCTAAACTCAACCTACTTGGCAGATCATGTGCTTTTGGTACTTGCTGTGAATTTGAAGCAAATCCCTTTAGAATCTTCTTTTAGGGCCGGGTGAGGTGGCTCACGCCTGTAATCCCAGCACTTTGGGAGGCCGAGGTGGGCGGATCACGAGGTCAGGAGATCGAGACCATCCTGGCTAACACGGTGAAACCCCGTCTCTACTAAAAAAAAAATACAAAAAATTAGCTGGGCGTGTTGGCGGGTGCCTGTAGTCCCAGCTACTTGGGAGGTTGAGGCAGAAGAATTGCTTGAACCCGGGAGGCAGAGGTTGCAGTGAACACAGATTGCACCACTGCACTCCAGCCTGGGTGACAGAGCAAGACTCTGTCTCAAACAAACAAACAAACAAACAAAAACTGTCCAGTATATTGTTGTAAATTTAGCTCAATTTTTTATTTTAAATTTTTTATTTATTTTTGTTTTGTTTTATGTTTCTGTTTTCTAAGATAGAGTCTTTCTTTCTTGTCCAGGCTGGAGTGCAGTGGCACGATCATAGCTTATTGTATCCTTGACCTCCTGGGCTCAAGAAATCCTCCCACCTCAGCGTCCCAAAGTGCTGGGATTACAGGCATGAGCCACTATGCCTGGCTAACTCCATTTTTTTAAATGGTAAAATGGTACATCTGTGTCCTATCTCATAAGGGGGTCAGCATTTTGGATCAAAAATAATGTATGGTCTAAAGCCTCAAGAAAAGCCCTCAGAAAGTCATCATATTGGAGCCAGCAGTCTATGGGCATTGCTGTAACAGCTGCTGTTTCTTCTTTTTTTTTTTGAGACGGAGTCTCGCTCTGTCCCCCAGTCTGGAGTGCGGTGGCCCGATCTCGGCTCACTGCAACATCCGCCTCTCAGGTTCAAGCGATTCTCCTGCCTCAGCCTCCAGAGTAGCTGGGATTACAGGCATGTGCTGCCAAACCTGGCTAATTTTTGTGTTTTTAGTAGAGACAAGGTTTCGCCATGTTGGCCAGGCTGGTCTCGAACTCCTGACCTCAGGCGATCCACCCACCTCTCAGCCTCCCAAAGTTACAGGCATGAGCCACCGCACCTGGCTTTGCTGTTTCTTCTGAGGGTCCAGATTAAGATGTTGGCTGGCATGTAGGGCTCAGGTTGTGAGAAAAGGAATGTACAGCTAGCTCTACAATAAGGTGATATTCAGTGTGGTGAGATGCACCTCTGGGATCCAAGACTGCTTAGGGAATGGCAGCAAACAGTATCCCACACACGCATGGTTTACCTACTGTGTCTGTGTCCATCAGATCGTGGAGCTGAGGGCGTGTGACTTAGATGTGTCTGTGCTGTGCTTCTGACCCATTCTGTTTGTCTTAGGGAGGCCCACAGAACCTAAGGGGCCTCCCATTGTCCCTTAGGTTCCTGGAGGAGGTTAACTGAGGGCCCGGAGATGAAGACAAGATCTGAGAGTTCTCCAGACCCAGCAGTGTGAGTGAAGCAAGGGGAATGTTCAGGGACTATGAAGGGGAGGGCTGAGGAGGGGTGGTTAGAGCAGAGCTGGAAAGCTGGAACAATGAGGATAGCTCATTCACAAGGAGGGGCAGGGGCGGGGAACCGGGAATATCAGAGGAGATCAAAGAGAGAGAGAGACTTGGCAGAAGCTTGGGGAAGAGAGTTTTGAGGAGAAAACAAGTACCAAGGGTTGACCTGCTGCAGCATTACAGAACTAATCACTGTCTTTCAAATTAGGAGTTCGAGACCAGTCGGACCAACAAGGTGAAATCCCGTCTCTACTAAAAATACAAAAAAATTAGCCGGCGTGGTGGCATGTGCCTGTAGTCCCAGCTACTCGGGAGACTGAGACAGGAGAATTGCTTGAACCCGGGAGGCGGAGGTTGCAGTGAGCTGAGATCTCACCGCTGCACTCCAGCCTGGGTGACGAAGCAAGACTCCATCTCAAAAAAAAAAAAAAAAAAAAAAAGAGAAAAATTCCATGCTTCTAGATTACCAAAAAGGAAGTTTAGTTCCTTTGAGTACTTTAAACATTCCCCCTAGAATTGCATTAAAACAACACATTGGCCAGGCACGGTGGCTCACACCTGTAATCCCAGCACTTTGGGAGGCCAAGGCAAGCAGATCACTTGAGGTCAGGAGTTTGAGACCATCCTGGCCAACATGGTGAAACCCCGTCTCTACTAAAAATACAAAAATTAGCACGGTGTGGTGGTGCACGCCTGTAATCCCAGCTACTTGGGAAGCTGAGGGAGGAAAATCACTTGAACCTGGGAGGCAGAGGTTGCAGTGAGCTGAGATTGTGCCATTGCACTCCAGCCTGGGTGATAGAGGGAGACTCTGTCTTGAAAAACCAAAAAAACAACACATTTATTCACCTCACACACATTAGGATGGCTACTATCAAAACAAACCAGAAAATAACAAGAGTTAGCAAGGATGTGTAGAAACTGGAAGCTTTGTGTACTGTTGGTGGAAATGTAAAATGGTGCAGCCACCATGGAAAACCATATGGAAGTTCCTCAGAAAATTAAAAATAGGGCCAGGGATGGTGGCTCACATCTGTAATCCCAGCACTTTGGGAGGCTGAGGCGGGCTGATCACATGAGGACAGGAGTTTGAAACCAGCCTGGCCAACATGGTAAAACCCTGTCTCTACTAAAAATACAAAAATTAGCCAGACGTGATGGCACATACCTGTAATCCCAGCTACTCAGCAGTCTAAGGGAGAAAAATCACTTGAACCCAGGAGGCAGAGGTTGCAGTGAGGCAAGATCATGCTACTGCACTCCAGCTTGGGCAACAGAGTGAGACTCTGTCTAAAATAAATAAATAAATAAATAAATAAATAAATAAATAAATAAATAAAAATAGGCCAGGCAGGGTGTGGCTCAAGCTTGTAATCTAAGCACTTTGGGAGGCCAAAGTAGGAGGATCCCTTGAGGCCAGGAGTTGGAGACCAGCCTCAGCAACATAGTGAGACCCCATTTCTACAAAAAATTTAAAAACTTGCTGGGCACAGTGGCTCATGCCTGTAATCCCAGCACTTTGGGAGGCTGAGGGAGGTGGATTACCTGATATCAGGCACTCGAGACCAGCCTGGCCAACATAGTGAAACCCCGTGTCCACTAAAACTACAAAAATTAGCCAGGTGTGGTGGCACACGCCTGTAATCCCAGCTACTCGGGAGGCTGAAGCAGGAGAATCACTTGAACTGGGAGGTAGAGGTTACAGTGAGCCGAGATCACGCCATTGCACTCCAGCTTGGGCAACAAAAGCAAGACTCCATCTCAAAAAAAAAAAAAGAAAATTAAAAAACTTAGCTGGGTATGGTGGCGAACACCTGTAGTCCCAGCTACTTGAGAGGCTGAGGCAGAAGGATCACTTAAGCCCAAGAATTAAAGGCTGCAGTGAGCTAAGATGGTGCCACTGCACTCTTGCCTGGGTAGACAGAGTGATGACTCCCATTTCTAGAAATAATAATAAAGTCAAAAAATGTAAAACTTTTTAAAATAATTAAAAATGGAACTACCTTGGCCAGGTGCAGTGCCTCATGCCTGTAATCCCAGCACTTTAGGAGGCCAAGGCGGGCAGATCACCTGAGGTCAGGAGTTTGAGACCAGCCTGGCCAACATGGCGAAACCTGTCTCTACTAAAAATACAAAAAAAATTAGCTGGGCATGGTGGCACGTGCCTGTAATCCCAGCTACTCAGGAGGCTGAGGCAGGAGAATTGCTTGAACCTTGGAGGTGGAGGTTTCAATGAGCCGAGATCACGCCACTACAATCCAGCCTGGACAACAAGAGCGAAACTCCATCTCAGAAAAAATAAATAAATAAATAAATAAATAAATAAATAAAAATAAAAATAAAAATGGAACTACCATATGATCCAGCAATCCCACTTCTGTGTGTATATCCAAAAGATTTGAAAGCAGGGTCTCTTTTTTTTTTGAGACAGAGTCTCGCTCTGTCACCCAGGCTTGGAGGAGAGTGGTGCGATCTCAGCTCACTGCAACCTCCGCCTCCCAGGTTCAAGCAGTTCTACTGCCTTAGTCTCCCGAGTAGCTGGGATTACAGGCACCCATCACGCCTGGCTAATGTTTGTATTTTTAGTAGAGACGGGGTTTCACCATGTTGGCCAGGCTGGTCTTGAACTCCTGACCTCAGGTGACCTGCCCGCCTTGGCCTCCCAAAGTGCTGGGATAACAGGCATGAGCCACCACGTTTGACCTGAAAGCAGGGTCCTAAAGAGCCACTTGTACACCTATGTTCATAGCAGTACTATTCACAATAGCTAAGAGATGGAAACAACCCAAATGTCTATTGATGGATACACGGACAAGCAAAATGTGGTATATATTATATATACCATGGAATATTATTCAGCTTTAAAAAGGAAGGAAATCATGTTATATGTTGCAACATGAATGAAACTTGAAGACATTATGCTAAATGAAATAAGCCAGTCACAAAACAACAAATACTGTATGATGCCACTTATATGAGATATCTAAAGTCAGCAAATTCATAGAAACAGAAAGTGGAATGCTGGTTACCAGGGCCTGGAGGGAGCGGGAAAAGGGAAGTTGTTTTTTAATGGGTGCAGAGTTTCAGTTTAGCAAGATAAAAAAGTTCTGGAAATCTGTTTCCAACAACGTGAATATACTTAACGCTACTGAATGTACACTTAAAGATGGTTAACATGGTAAATTTTATGTATCTCTTACCAGAAAAGGAATTTTTTTAATTAAAAAAACCCAAAACCAAAACAATACATTTGCCTGTATACGCCCCCTTTACTCACTGAAAAACAGCTGGTTTCAAAACAGCCTGTTCAGTGTGATACTATTTTTGTCAAATGTCCTTTTCTATTCTAATATATGTAAATTATTATCATTAGGACATAAACCAAAAGATTACCAGTGGTTATTTCTGAGTGCTGATTTTGTCCCTTTTGCTAATCTGTACTCTGTAACTTTTTTTAGGGAACATTTTGTTACTTATTAAAACAATTAAAATTCATCCTATTTCAGCCTCTGTCTTGATGTCCACAAAACTGACATAAGTTGACTTCATGTTTTTGAAGCTTTATTTTGTATATAATTTGAAATCAATGCTAATAATTAATCTCAATATAATAATAGTAATACTTCCTATGTAGTGCAAGATACTTGTGCTCGTCATGAATTATCTCACATATTAACCTTTTGAGGTAGGTACTATTTTTTTTTTTTTTGAGAGGGAGTTTCACTTTTGTTGCCCAGGCTGGAGTACAATAGCGTGATCTCGGCTCACTGCAACCTCTGCCTCCCAGGTTCAAGTGATTCTCCTGCCTCAGCCTCCCAAGAAGCTGGGATTACAGGCATGTGCCACCATGCCTGGCTAATTTTTTATATTTTTAGTAGAGACAGGGTTTCACCATGTTAGCCAGGATGGTCTCGATCTCCCGAACTCAGGTGATCCACCCGCCTCCGCCTCCCAAAGTGCTGAGTTAGGTACTATTATTAAAACTCTTTCTACAGACAAAAAAATAGAGGTTATGGCCAGGCACGGTGGCTCACATCTGTAATCCCACCACTTTAAGAGGCCGAGGTGGGCGAATCATCTGAGGTCAAGAGTTCCTCACCAGCCTGGCCAACGTGGCAAAATCTCGTCTCTACTAAAAATACAAAAATTAGCCAGGCATTGTGGCAGGCACCTGTAATCCCAGCTACGCAGGAGGCTAAGGCAGGAGAATAGCTTGAACCTGGAAGGCAGAGGTTGCAGTAAGCCAAGATGGCACCACTGCACTCCAGCCTGGGCAACAGAGTGAGACTCCGTCTCCAAAAAAAAAAAAGAAAGAAAGAAAAGATAAAAGAAAAAACAGAGGTTATATAGCTTGTGCAAACTCATTTGGAAATGTCAAAGCTGGCCAGGCATAGTGGCTCATAGCTGTAATCCCAGCATTTTGGTAGGCTGAGGCAGGAAGATCACTTAAAGCCAGGAGTTTGAGACCACCTTGGGCAACATAGCCAGACCCCCATTTCTACACAAAAATAAAAAATAGAAATGTCAGAGCTATGTCCGATTTCAGAGCAGTCTGATGCCAAAGCCTGTGTTATTGACAGCCTGGCTATGCTGCTAGACCAACACGGTGTCGTAACTTGTCAACCAGTTCATGGCTTCCTTCAATAGCCACGAATTTATAATGTATGTGTTACTTAAATTGGTCAAACAATACCCCTACCACTCTCCTGGTGGCTATAGTATATTTGTTTCAAAGATAAGACAAGGGTCAACCTTAGTCCAGAAATCCCAAGCCACATAACATTCCAGGTGGGTCCAGACGGAGCCAATGAATGAGACAATCCTGGGGACCCTGAGACTGGGATTTTATGAGACACTCACCTTTTTCGCCTTACTTACTAACTCCACCACCCATTACAGCCAACCAGGACACATACCCTCCTCCCAGGACCAACTTCAATCTGAGGGTAGGGCAATGTGCAGACAGGGAAGGATGTCAAACATGGTAATTTTAATGATATAATTTATCTCAAAAGAATGATTATGGTGGTATAATTAACACTTCATATGCAGACATTTCCATCTCCAAGGAGCTCTGAGAGCCTTAAGGATGATTATTTAAATATATATCACATCCATTGCTGGAGACAAGGTCTATTGTTTTAAAAGATAATTAAAATTCCTTCCCCTTTGGAATTAAGAAGATTTCCTATAGGATGAATATTTTGCCCACCAGACACATGAATAGATCTAAATCTGGGAATTCCAAACACAGGGCTGGAAAAGATCTTGAAGAGCAATCTGTCCAGGAAAGACCAATATCTAACAAATATAACATCAATTTCAGATTCCCTGCTCATGGCAGAAATTATTAATCACAGCAATTTTTCCCATGAAGGCTGCATGTGTCTTCAGAATCTTTCCCCCTGTAGTACTCAAGGTAGCCACCATTAGTTCATCAGAGTTGGATCCTATTTGCTATTCTGGTTATTAGTTCACTGTTATCCCTTCAATGAGTCAGATAGAAGACTGAAGTTCAGAAAGGTAAATAAGCTCACTCAAAATTACAGAGCTGGTAATACAAAGGCCACGTTACCAAATTTTTGCTTTTTCCTTAATCTCCATCCCTGCCTCTTTGCTCTGTTCAGACTATAATTGGTAAATTATATGGTTTGCACCAGATTCACCTTTCTTTTTTTTTTTTTTTTGTTTTGTTTTGTTTTGTTTTGTTTTAGCTAGAGTCTTGCTCTGTCGCCCAGGCTTGAGTGCAGTGGCACCATCTCGGCTCACTGCAACCTCCGCCTCCCGGGTTCAGGTGATCCTCCTGCCTCAGCCTCCCAAGTACCACCACATCTGGCTAATTTTTTTTTTTTTTTTCAGACGGAGTCTCACTCTGTTACCAGGCTGCAGTGCAGTGGCGTGATCTCGGCTCACTGCAACCTCTGCCTGCTGGGTTCAAGCAATTCTCCTGCCTCAGCCTCCCGAGTAGCTGGGACTACAGGCGCGGGCCATCACACCCAGCTAATTTTTGTATTTTCAGTAGCGTTTCACCATGTTGGCCAGGATGGTCTCAAGCTCTTGACCTCGTGATCTGCCCGCCTCAGCCTCCCAAAGTGCTGGGATTACAGACGTGAGCCACCCCGCTGGCTCATCTTTCTTGAATGAGCTATTTTAAATGCCTCTACCAATGATTTGCCGAATGACAGTGGGACTATTACTTAACCTCTTTCAGCATCAGGTGTTTTCAAGTAGAAAATGGAGACAGCAATCCAGCTTCAGATTCCTGCCTGTCTTAGTGGCATGTTGGGGTGCTCTTTTGAGAAATGTGAGCTGCTAATGAAATGTCTATGGTTGCAGGGAAAGGATCAGACATTTTGAGAGCACCTTCTCTAAGAAAGGTACTGTGCTCCTTCTGGAATGTGTTTTTGCTCTAGGGGGTGTATAAATAGAGGAAGGCATTGGCTGGCTACAGCAATACGGTTATGCTAAGGCTCTTGGAGGAAGTGACATTTGAACAGGACTTTAAAGATCAATAGGATTAAATGTTTCTTTTGATTATAAAAGTTACACATGGTCATTACATAATTATTGGGAGAGACAGATTGTCAAGAAGAAAAATCATTTTTATTTCCTTTACCCATCAACCATATCAACTCTTTTTTTTCTTCTAGTATCTTTTTACTCTATGCATGGGTGTGTTTTTTTTCTCCTTTCACACGGTTATGATTGATAGGCATATCATTTTATATTTTGATGTTTAAAAACCTTTAATAGGCCAGGCACAGTGGCTCACGCCTGTAACCCCAACATTGTGGGAGGCCAAGGCAGGCGGATCACCTGAGGTCAGGAGTTGAAGACCAGCCTGGCCAACATGGTGAAACCCCGTCTCCACTAAAAATACAAAAATTAGCCAGGTGTGGTGGTATGCTTGAAACCAGGGAGGTGGAGGTTGCAGTAAGCTGAGATCACGCCACTGCACTCCAGCTTGGGCAACAGAACGCGACTCTGTCTCAAAAAAAAAAAAAAAAAAAAAAGTCAGAATGGTGCTTACCCGTAGGGGCATGGTTAGTGACTAGATGGGAGTATGAGAGGCACCCAGCTATAGACTACGAGAATATAATCACTTGGCTGGGCATGGTGGCTCACACCTGTAATCCCAGCACTTTGGGAGGCCGAGGCAGGCAGATCACAAGGTCAGGAGTTTGAGACCGGCCTGGCCAACATGGTGAAACCTTGTCTCTACTAAAGATACAAAAAACTAGCCAGGCATGGTGGCATGCACCTGTAATTCCAGCTACTCGGGAGGCTGAGGCAGGAGAATGACTTGAACCCGGGAGGCAGAGGTTGCAGTGAGCCGAGATTGCGCCATTGCACCCCAGCCTGGGCGACCACGGCAAGACAACGTCTCGAAAAAAAAAAAAGAATATAAGCACTTGGTGAAAATCTATCAAGCTATACATTTAAGATTTGTGCACTTTTCTACATGTGTGCTATAGGTCAAAAAAAGTTAATTAATCAGTTGCAGGAAAATACATCCATCTGGTAGAGATAATCAAGACTGTTTCCCTGTAATCGCAGCTACTCGGGAGGCTGAGGTGGGAGAATCGTTTGAACCCAGAAGGCAGAGGTTGCAGTGAGCCGAGATCGCACCACTGCACTCCAGCCTGGGCGACAGAGCAAGACTCCACCTCAAAAAAAAATAATAATAATAATGTTTCTTTGGACAGAAGGAACAGCACAAAGAAAGTCATAAAAGTAGGAAACGGACAACAGTCCAGGTTGCTTGCAATATTGGTGTTATAATATTTTGTGTAAGCAAACTACCCCAAAATTTAGGGCTTAAAATTTATGAGCAATTTTATTTGCTCATAATTCTGATCTGTGGCAATTTCGGCTGGGTTCAGCTACACGGTTCTTTCTGCCAGTATCTTACTAAAGTCACTCATGCAGTTGTAGTCATGCAGATTGACTTGGACTAGAGGTCCAAGATGGCCTGTCCTGGTTATTGATTTACTGCCTTAGTTGCAAATTTACTTTTTTGCCTGCTCTATTAAAATGGATCTGGGCCCCTGAAATGCCTTTTTCCTTTGACAGCTGGCAGGATGCCCAGCTTTGTCAGTATAGTGTGCTGGGAATACATTGAAGTTTTTTCTTTGTTTGTCTATTTGCTTTTTACAGTCTAGAGGTATTTTTTAAATACCTATTATGCCACGAATTCATAGGGATAGATTCCAGCAGCTCAGGCTCCTATTCATTGGTTCTCACAAAGTGTGTTTGGGTGGAGTGGCTGGTGCTTCATCTGAACCCAGGTACCTTTCTCTTTGGCTTTCTTCTTTTTCTGATCATTTTCCTTCACACTTTTCAGGAAGCTATGTCAGCTCTTAGAATGCTTAATGTGCTCAATAGGCAGATTAATTCTCTTGGCAAGAATCTTGCTCTTGTTTGTTTACAACAAGGCCAATAGCATGCTAGGTAACACTGTAGACTCTTCAGTTTTGCCATGGTAACATTTGTGGGGTATTCCTTTTTGAACAGTATCCATTCTCTCAATGTCTACAATATCATCTTACAGCTTTGCATGTATGTGGCCAAAGGAACAACTCCAGGTTTCCTAAAAGACCTAGAGAACATGTATTAGGTGCTTCTCTTTCCCTTTGTGTTAGTCATTTTGGTGAATTATTGGAAGGTGGCAGTTTCGGCTGAAAGGAAGAAAAGAGTTTTGTTTCCTGGTTACTGTGTGCTGGCTCGCCAGGCTCCTGCAGTGTTGTGCTTCCCCCATGCCCAACTCTTGCAGCACAAATGGCTTCTTGAGCTTCAGGCTCCTGCAGGGCACCATGGCCAGCAGCATCTGGTAGCTAGCAGCTTCCCCAAGAATCCCTCTCAAGTGCTTATGTAGCAAATGTCGATAAAGAGACATTTCCCTATGAACAACTTTCCCTGGCACCTGAGAGGGCCCATTTCCAGTAAGTTTCATAGGATGATTTCTACCAGATCCACTGACCTGGCAGGGCACCACAGTGACTTCTCTGCCATTTAGTGGGCCCTTTCCAAAAAGATCTAGATCTCAGCCCTGAACGAGCTCTTCCTTGGGTGTTCTATGTCAACCCTAAAGATAGTGGCTGTTCCTCATATCTGCTATTCCTATAGTCTTCAGTGTTCTCTTTCCTTCTTATTAGTCAATCCCGTTACTCTAATCCTCTATTATAATTAATAATTCTTCATACTCAACTTTCCATATTCAAAGTACTGTGTGCTTTCTCTCTCCTGGTTGGACCCAAACAGATCCATGCCTCACTCATATACTGTGTCTGGTGGTTGGTGTTGGCTGTCGGCTCTGCCTCTCTCTCCATTTTCCCAGAAGGATAGGCTCAACTTAATTACATGGCAGCTGAGTTCCAAAAGGGTGAATACCGAAAACGCAAGTCCTCTTGAAGACCAAGGCTCAGATGCCCCATAATATCATGTCAACTGATCTCTATTGGTCAAAGTAAGCCAAAGGATAAGCCGAGATTCAAAAGGAGGAAAAATGGACTCTATCTCTTGATTGAAAGAGTGGCAAAGTCACACTACAAAGGAGTGTGGGTACACGAATGGGAAGAATTGTTGCAACCATCATGGCAGACAATCTACTGTAGACTCATTGCATCGGAATCCGCAGGCTGCTTGTTAAAAGAAGGTTCCTTGGCCCTACACCAGAGGGGCTAAATCTACAGAGTGGGATCTGGGAATCCAAAATTTTAACACCCCCTGCCAAGTGATTCATACTTATATTACAACTTGAGAGCCATTAGCCTATGCTCACACAAGATTTATTTTCTCTTCTTTCTTTTGAGACACAGTTTCACTCTGTTGTCTAGGCTGGAGTGCAGTGGCGTGATCTCAGCTCACTGCAACCTCCACCACCGGGGTTTGAGCGATTCTCCTGCCTCAGCCTGCTGAGTAGCTGGGGTTACAGGCACACACCACCATGCCCGGCTAATTTTTCTATTATTAGTAGAGACAGGGTTTTGCCATGTTGGTCAGGCTGGTCTCAAACTCCTGACCTCAAGTGATCTGCCCACCTTGGCCTCCTAAAGTGCTGGGATTACAGGCAAGATTTCTTTTATTTATTATCATTTTAAAAATTTTACAGATAAAGTTGTATGTATTTATCATGTACAGCATGATGTTTTAAAATATATATACATTGTGGAATAATTAAATCTTGCTAATTAACATTAGCTCACATAGTCATTATTTTTGTGAGAACACAACATTCACTCTCTTAGCATTTTTCTAGGATACAATATGTTGTTGCTAACTTTAGTCACCACATTGTGTAATAGATTCCTTAAACTGAATCCTCCCATCTAACTGAAATTTTGTAGCCTTTGACCAATACCACCCCAATTCTCCCTTCCCCCACAACTACCCTACACCTTGGTAACCACCATTCTACTCTCTAGTTCTAATGGGATATGATTTATTTTCATTTATGACTTTAAACATATCGTTCCCTTGTCTTCTGGCTTTCATTATTTCTGTGGAGACACTATCCGTTTTATTATTGCTCCCTTCAAAAATTTCCCCTTATCTTTTACTATCAGCAGTTATATCATAATAGGCCCTAGTTACGTAGTTCTGTTTTATTTACTTATTCTGTTTAGGGTTTTAAGTGATTCTTAATTATTGACCAACATCAAATATTGCTTCTGGCTTCATTTCTCTTTGCATTGTGTCTCTTCTGTCATCTCTTCTCCCCTCCCCTCCCTCTCTTTCTATGGGACTTCAATTATACATATGTGGAAATTTTAACCACATTTCATATAAAATATGTATTATATGTGCTGAATACTTTTGATATGGTTTGGCTCTGTTTCCCCACCCACATCTCACCTTGAATTATAATGATCCCCACATGTCAAGGGCACGACCAGGTAGAGGTAAGTGAATCATGGAAGCGGTTTCCCCCATGCTGTTCTCGTGATAACGAGTGAGTCTCACAAGATCTGATGATTTTAAAAGTATCTGGCATTTCCCCTGCTGGTTCTCATTCTCTCTCCTGCTGCCCTGTACGGAGGTGACTTCTGCCATGATTGCAAGTTTCCTGAGGCCTCCCCAGCCATGTGGATCTGTGAGTCAATTAAATCTCTTTTCTTTATAAATTACCCAGTCTCAGGTCTTTCTTCATAGCAGCATGAGAACAGACTAATACAACTTTCTACTGGCTTTCTGGTTTACTAATTTTTATTTTCAGCTGTGTTAATATGCTGTTATATCCATCTATTGAGTTCTTAATTTCGGATGCTGTATTTGAGGCTTAAATTTTCATTTGATACTCCGTGATAGATTGTACTTATATGCAGAAATTCTCCATCTTGTCATGTAATTTCTTGACTATATTAATCACATATCTTTTAAAGTCCATGCCTCAAAATGCCAAAATCTGGATCTCCTATGGGCCTATTGCTATTATCTACTTTTTTCTCTTGGTTTTCAGCCATGTGGTTTTGTCTACTGAAATGTCAGGTAAATTTTGATCGAATAGCAGGTATTGTATATGAAAAAATTATAGGAAAACCTGAGGCCCTGGATGGTATTATCTTCCTTCAGAAATATTTTAACTTTTGCTTCTACTAGGCATTTACACCTAAGTACTACAAGGGATTGAATTGATGGGGTGCTGGACTTCAGTTTTGTCAGGGCTGGTCTAATTCTAATTCACCTCTACTCCTAGGGTGTTGCCCTTTGGTAGCTCCAGCTGAAGACTTGAAATGTTGGCCAGGTGCGGTGGCTCACACCTGTAATCCCAGCACTGTGGAAGGCCAAGGTGGGCGGATCACTTGAGGTCAGGAGTTTGAGACCAGCCTGGGCAACATGGAGATAACCCGTCTCTACTAAAAATACAAAAATTAGCTGGTGTGGTGGCGGGAGCCTGTAATCCCAGCTACTCAAGAGGCCGAGGCAGGACAATCACTTGAACCTGGGAGGCAGAGGTTGCAGTGAGCCGAGATTGTACCACTGTACTCCAGCCTGGGTGACAGAGCGAGACTTCAACTCAAAAAAAAAGAAGAAGAAGAAGACCTGAAATATTTATTAGGGACACTCCTTCTTGGTAGATCCTGAAATCCAATTTTTATTCTATTCCCCAGCCTCATAACACTACCAGACTCTCTGCTCAGTTTCTTAGCCTTTTCTTGAGAAAGAGCATATCCCTTGCGCAGGAAAATAGTAAGTAAATATGGGGCTTCTTATCCCTCTGGAATCGTGACCCCTTAGGTCCTTGTTGCTTTGGTAGTTCTCTAATGCCTTCAAATACACAAATGCACACACACATTTATTTTGTTTAGCTTTTTTTTTTCTTCTTTTGAGACATAGTCTCACTCTGTCACCCAGGCTAGAGTGCAGTGGCATAATCATAGCTCACTGCAGCCTCAACCTTCTGAACTCAAGCAACCCTTCTACCTCAGCCTCCCAAGTAGCTGGAACTACAGATGCATGCCATCACACCTTTTTTTTTTTTTTTTTTTGAGACAGAGTCCCACTCTGTCACCCAGGCTGGAGTACAGGGGCACGATTTCAGCTTACTGCAACCTCCGCCTTCTAGGTTCAAGCAATTCTCTGCCTCAGCCTCCCAGGTAGCTGGGATTACAGGCGCCCGCCACCACACCAGGCTAATTTTTGTATTTTTAGTAGAGACGGGGTTTTACCATCTTGGCTAGGCTTGTCTTGAACTCCTGACCTCATGATCCACCCACCTCAGCCTCCCAAAGTGCTGGGATTACAGGTGTGAGCCACCGCATCCAGCCCACACCTGGCTAATTTTAAAGTTTTTTTGTAGAGACAAGGTCTCACTATATTGCCCAGGCTGGCCTCAGCCTCCCAAAGTATTGGGATTACAGGTGTGAGGCAACAGGGCTGGCTGTTTAGCTCTTTTAATAATTCCCAGTGGTGGCCAGGCGAGATGGCTCATGCCTGTAATCCCAGCCTTTGGGAGGCCAAGGTGGGCAGATCACTTGAGCTCAGGAGTTTGAGACCAGCTTGGGCAACATGACGAAACCCCATCTATACACAAAATGCAAAAATTAGCTGGGTATGGTGGCGTGCACCTGTAGTCTCAGCTACTTGGCAGGCTGAGGTGGGAGCATCACCTGAGCCTGGGAAGCTCAAGGCTGCAGTGAGCTATGATTGTGCCACTGCACTCCAGCCTGGGTGAGAGAGTGAGACCTTGTCCTAAAAAAAAAAAAAAAAATTCCCAGTGAAGTTGGGGAGCAGTCTTCTAGTCCATAATTACTGGAAATGGAAAGCCTTGTTTACCTAACATTTATCTTGCATTTTTCCATGGGCAGGATTACGCTTTATTTTTCTCTGTAGTGCCAGGGCCTCTTCCTTGCTTTAAGTTCTCAATAGACACCATTTAAACAAATGGATAACAGCTTGTAAATTGTTTTCACTTTTATAATCCAATGCTCTAGGCAGGGAAGGAATTACTTCTGTAGTCCTAGATATTGGACCCAGAGAAGACTTGCCTAAAAGTCCCTTGACTAAGGTCCACTGAAAAGTCAGCAGTCTAGCTGAGTCAGAGCTTTAGATTCCTCCTCCAGTAAAGAACAGATGATAATAACAGCAGCTACTCAAGATAGGGCTGCTGTAAAAATTCAATGAGGCAATGTGAATAAAGTGCTTGGCAGAGTAACTGGATCTGTAAATAGGAGTTATGGTTTAAGGAAGGATTAGTATAGTAAACAAGGTGCCTTATTCCAGCTTTCTTTCTACCAGTTTTAGGGTATCACAACAACCAGTGAAATCTCACCACCTTTCCCGTTCTGAGGGCTGGACACTCCACTCCTGGAAGATCATGGTTGCCTCTGGCAGGATTCAAAATACTCACTACAGTCTGAGAATGATCTTATACCCATGAAGGCAGGGTTGGGGGATAGCCCTCACTGCTTAGGGGTCCTCTGGACCCTACTGCCCCCTGCTGAAGGCCTCCCTAAAGCCTGGCAATCCAGAGTAGAGGGAGAATCAGTAGCCCTCATGCCAGGGGAGTGGGGCTGAAGGGCCCCATCTCTCTCCCCACTTGTTCCGCAACAAGTCCATATGGCAGAGTAATTAAGAGCACAGAATCCAAATAAAGACAGACCTGGGTTTCAATTCTGGCATACTACTTCCTGGTTGTGGGCTCTTGGCTAAGTCTCTTAATTTCCCTGACTCAGTTTCCTCATCTGTATAATGCAGTTGATAACAGCACCTACTTTTATAGAACTGTTTGAAAGATTAAATGAGACAAAATGGTACCTTTTATTTTTTCTCATTATTTTCCCCCCTAGAATATATGTCAGAAGGAAGTGGTACAGCCAGAACTAGAACCTGTATCTTCAAACTCTCCCTTTCTCCACCTTTGCCTATACCACCCCTAAAATAACTCATGTTTTAGGGTTTACACAGTGCTTCCCAACTTTCCCCATCCCAGTCCATGGTAATACTTGGATACCCGTGGGGCTAAACTTATGTGGAAGCTGTTTGAGGCCTGAAGGTGACTATCCCAGCAGGACCGTGGGCTCTGGCTGCCCCAGTCTCCACCTGGCCACTTATGGCCCAAGGGTTCTATATCTCAGCACACTTGTAACCCATCACTGTTCCCCAGCTGAAAACCTTAGGGTTAAGGCATTGACAACCCCTGTTAGAGCTGGCACTTGCAAATCCCAGCAGTGACACATTAACCCATTGTTGGTAAATCAGTCCTGGATCAGTTACTCAGACTCCTGGTGAGAGTCCAGAGGCCAGAGCCCAGAACATGAAAGTTGGGAAGAAAATCAGATGTTGGCTTTCGTTCAGGCTCTACCTCAACTCACTGTATGACCTTGGCCAAGTCACTTCCCTTCTCTGGACTTTACTTTTTTGTCTGAAGCAGAGAAGAGTTAAAACCTAGGAAAGAGGCTGGGTGTGCTGGCTCACGCCTGTAATCCCAGCACTCTGGGAGGCCGAGGTGGGTGGATCACCTGAGGTCAGGAGTTTGAGACCAGGCTGGCCAACATGATAAAACCCCATCCCTACTAAAAATACAAAAATTAGCTGGGCATGGTGGTACGCACCTGTAGTTCCAGCTACTCAGGAGACTGAGGCAGGAGAATCGCTTGAATCTGGGAGGCAGATGTTGCAGTGAGCTGAGATAGCGCCACTGCACTCCAGCCTGGGCGATAGAGTGAGACTCCGTCTCAAAAAAAAAAAAAAAAAAAACCTAGGAAAGATGCATGAGGTCCCTTTCACCTCTAACATTCTAAGAATGAGGGATTCTATGAATTCTCCACTGCCTGGCTATATCCTGTTCCTGGTGATCTGGTTCCTGTAAGTATAGAAATGGTAGACTCTTCCTGACTGTGCAGGTGACCTCTCCATGTGCTACCGGCTGGTCTCTGAAAATAACCCCTGTCTGGCCCAGAATGAGGGCAGGGTCACACCTGTTCTCTAACCTATCAACAGAACTCCTGAGTCCTGTGTGTGTTCAGTTTCCTCCTGCCCACCCACCAGCCTGGGGAGAGCAATATTCCCAGGCTCCTGAATCTCCTCTTCTCATAGCTCCCTGGTGTTGCACTATTGTCTAGGTAATGAAAAAGGCAGGGAGGGAAGACAGCAAAAGGAGTCCAGCAGCCTCCCTGCAGGAGGAGGTAGGGATGCTGGAAAAAGGGAGAGGGCGGGGAAGCTGAAGGCAGATCATGCGGAGTCTAGGTTGCCATATTCTGCAGGGGCTAGACTTGGCCTTGCACACAGTGAGGGGTCACTAAGGACTTTACAGTAGAAGAAAGACGTGGTCAGAACGTGTTTTGGCTCCATGGAAGGCAGCCTGAGGCACAGAGAGAAATTGGGGGCTGTTAGAGAAATGAAGGCCAAAGATAATGCCATAGCAGTGGAAACAGTGAAGAGGAGATATTTAGGAGGTAAGCTGGTAGACTGAGTGACTGGACGTTCAACCATAAATCTGACTGTGTCATTGTGCTGGGTGAATGGGATGATACTGTCATAGGATACAGGGAATATCTGGTTTGTCAGTATGGAGAGAAAGCATTCCAGGAGCATGGAGAAAAGAGTGCCAGGCCGTGGAGACAAATACATTACAACCCCTTTAACCGCAGCCTTATGTTCCTTACAGCCTTCTCTGGATTGGTTCTCTCAACACTTGTGCATTATCATCTCTGTCTTGCAAATGAGAAACTTGAGATGAGAAACTTTGCAAATGAGAAACCTTAGCAGCAGAACTAGGATGTTGAATTCCAGTTTCCTGACTCTTGGCCCAGCACTCAGCCACACAAGGTGCTTCCCTGCAGTGGCTGGCAGGAAGAGGTACAAGGAAGTTCACCTGTGCCCAGCTGCTTCCCAGCTCCTTTCCCTGGCCTCCCCTACACCCCCAAACCTGCCACCAAATGGTAACGGTAACGTAGGACCCCTTCACTTCTTTCAGCCTCGGCTTTCCTTTATGTCATATGAAGCTGTGGGTGGGGCCACATGAACGTTTTCAACATTCAAACAAACAGAGGAATCCCTGACACTTTTTTTTTTTTTTTTTTTTTTTTTGAGACGGAGTCTCGCTCTGTTGCCCAGGCTGGAGTGTAATGGTGCTATCATAGCTCACTGCAACCTCGACCTCCTAGGCTTAAGGGATCTTCCCACCTCAGCCTCTGGAGTAGCTGGGACTATAGACGTGCACCACCATGCCGGGCTAATCTATAAAATATATATTTTTAGAGACGAGGTTGCACTATGTTGCCCAGGCAAGTCTCCAACCCCTGGGATCTAGTGATCCTCCCACCTCAGCTTCCCAAAGAGCTGGGATTACAAGTGTGAACCACCGTGCCCAGCACCCCTCTTTTTTTTTTCTTTAAGACAATGGAATCATATGAATCACTGAAATGAACTCAAATAGAAAAGAACCTTCTCAAGCTGAAGCAGAGATTATGGATGCAGACTCAGAGGCTCTCTGATTGGATGGTTTTCCTGCTTGCTACCTCAACTCATCCACTGTTTGACAGCTTCCTTGACACTTCCAGAATCTTCAGGGTTCCGTAGCCCGCAGTTTGCAAACCACTGGCCCAGCAGACTCCTGCATGAACCTCCCAAAACAAAGGTTCTCAGCCTGGGTCCACAAATAGAATTCAGGGTATCTCTGAACTTGGAAGGAAAGAATTTTTTCTTCTCTTTTCTTTTTTCCCAAGACACGGTCTCTCTCTGTTGCCCAGGCTGGAGTGCAGTGGCACGATCTCAGCTCACTGCAGCCTCAAGCTCCTGGGCTCAAGTGATTCTCCCACCTCAGCTTCCTGAGCAGCTGGGACTGCAGACATGTGCCACCACACCTGGCTAATTTTTAAATTTTTAGAGATAGAGTTTCCCTATGTTGCTCAGGCTTGTCTCAAACTCTCAGGCTCAAGTGATCCTCCTACCTCAGCCTCCCAAGATGTTGGAATTACAGGTGTGAGCCACTACACCTAGCCTCTGTTTTCCAGTTATGAACCATTACAAACCACTCTATTTTCCCTAACCTGTAACTCAAGTCAGCATTTTGTTTAGTTATAAATGTAGGCAATGACCCACAGCAGTATTGGCAGTTCCTGTGACTGTGTCACCAAAAGAAATCACAGATATTTTAATATCACATTATGGTTGTTGCAGATCTTTCAAAAATACCATCTATGGTTAGTATTATTATTATTATTACTATTATTATTATTATTTTGAGACAGAGTCTCGCTCTGTTGCCCAGGCTGGAATGCAGTGGTGCGATCTCAGCTCACTGCAACCTCCGCCTTCCAGGTTCAAGCAATTCTCCTGCTTCAGTCTCCCAAGTAGCTGGGACTACAGGCACATGCCATCACGCCTGGCTAATTTTTGTATTTTAGTAGAGACGGGGTTTCACCTTGTTGCCCAGGCTGGTCGCAAACTCCTGAGGTCAGGCAATCCACCTGCCTCAGCCTCCCAAAGTGCTGGGATTATAGGCATAAGCCACCATGCCCGGCCAGTGTTACTTTAAAATTACCATAGTTATATCTTTTTTTTTTTTTTTTTGAGACAGAGTCTCACTTTGTCACCCAGGCTGGAGTGCAGTGGCACAATTTCGGCTCACTGCAACCTCTGCCTCCTGGCCTCAAGTGATTCTCATGCCTCAGGCTCCTGTGTAGCTGGGATTACAGGCATGTGCCACCGTGTCCAGCTAATTTTTATATTTTTAGTAGAGATGGGGTTTCACCATGTTGGTCAGGCTGGTCTCAAACTCCTGGCCTCATGTGATCCACCTACCTCGGCCTCCCAAAGTGCTGGAGTTACAGGCGTGAGCCACCACGCCTGGCTACAATAGTTATATCTGCCACTAGACTTCATTTTTAATGTACTAATAAAGAATCATATATTGCTATTGCAATTTCTTTTATTTTGATAGTTGTATTTCAGGATGATTGGTTTCCTTTGTCATCCTATGTATTTTAGGTATTTAAAAATATTCTGAGAAGGAGCCCATAGGTTTCGCAGATTGTCAAGGGATCCATGACATCAATAAGGTTAAAAACCCTTGTCCTAGGACTTCTCTTCCAGAAGAGAGGGAGCTGGGAGCTTGCTGAAGGCTGCCAAAAGAGGGTATGTAGGGCCTAGGATCCCCAGAGGCCCCTCTGCTTCGATGTGCACTCTCTGAACCTGAGGAAAATGAGACAGGAAACTGGGACAGGAGTAAAGGGACTCTGAGAAGTGGAGCAGAGGCCAATAGGCCAGGCTGGCAGGGCTCAGGCTAGGGGCACCGAACTGAATTTCTTAGCCCCTATCCCAGCCAGGCTTCCCAGGACTCCTAGGTCCTAATCTTGCTTCAGTCATTGCCCTTCCCAGCCTCAGTTTTCTTCTCTGAGCTAATACAGTGGGAGCAATCATGGCTTCAAGGTCAAGAGAGACCCTGCTTCTGGATCTACTTCTGCCTTGCCTTGCCACATGACTTTGGGCAAGTCATCACCCCTTCCCACACCAGCTTTCATATCTGTGTAAGAAGGAGATTGGCTGGCTCAAGGATAGCAAATTTCTAATATAGATACTGCCATTCCCCCTTGCCATGCCCACAACAGACATTGTTGAGAGATCTCAGAGTCTGATCATTCCATGCCCGTAGGTAGCTTCCAAGCCTTTTCAACACTCTACTTGTTGACTGGAATTGGCAAATGAAGTGGAGCCTATTTGCTATTACTGTACTAGATGATCTAGCTGGGCACAATGGCCTATGCCTCTGGTCCCAGCTACCTAGGAGGCTTAGGCAGGAGGATCACTTGAGTCCAAGAGTTCTGGGGTATAGCACAATATGCTAATCAGGTGTCTGTATTAAGTTTGGCATCAATGTGGTGACCTCCCTGGAGTGGGGGGCCACCAGGTTGCCTAAGGAGGGGTGAACTGGCCCAGGTTGGAAATGGAGCAGGTCAAAACTCCAGTGCTCCCATGCTGATCAGTAGTGGGATCATACCTGTGAATCGCCACTGCACTCCAGCCTGGGCAAAATAACAAGACCCCATCTCAAACAAATCAATGAACAAAAAAGAAAAGAGAGAAAGACAAAAGAATAGATGATAAGGCACCACCCACATTTCCATCTCTGATATTCTATGGCTTTAAAGATCTGATCTCAGAAACCCAAGTAAGATACTAGTTAGATGCAGAGACCTGTAAAGGTGTCTATTTCTGCTGGTGAGGTGGCTCTGCCTATAATCCCAGCAACTCAGGAGGCTGAGGCAAGAGGTTCATTTGACACGAGGAATTTGAGACCAGGCTGGGCAACAAAGTGAGACCCCGTTTCTACAAAAAAAAAAATTTTAAGTTAGCTGGGCATGGTGGCCTACACCTGTAGTCCCAGCTACTAGGGAGGCTGAGGTGGGAGGATTCCTTGAGCCCAGGATTTTGAGACTGCAGTGAGCTAAGAAGGTGCCACTGCACTGCAGCCTGGGTGACAGAGTGAAACACTGACTCTTAAAAAGAAAAAAGAAAATGAAAGGCTATTTCTAACCCATAGGTGTGTGTGTGTGTGTGTATATGTGTCAGAGAAAGAGAGAACATTCTCACCTGGGCTACACATTTTCTCTCATGTAGCAAAAATGGGGTCAGAATAGGACACCCAGATGCTGAAATCTCAGTAGAGCTCCTCAGGGTTCAATTAGGCCTCCTGGAACAGATGAGTGGAGGCACGTGGAAGTCAGACTTTTTGATCAAAGTATTGGGAATTGGCATCCTACCAGTACTGATATCACCAGGCCTTACCTGTCCCTAAATGTCCTGTGTTACAAAGAATAGCAGTGAAGTGATGGTGACAGAGAGTGAATAACACCAGTCACTTCTGGTATAATTTACATGGACTCAGATTAGCTAGGTAGCCAAGATGTGTTGGAGACTTGTGGTTTCTTGCAAAGCAATGCAGAAAGCCACTTAGGAAGTTATTTCAGAGTATGGCTAGCCCAGGTTACAGCAGAAACCCAAACAGGTGCCATAACTTACCTAATGTCACAGCCAGTTCAAGCCAGCACTAGGACCAGGGCCCAGCTATGTAAGTAAGGAGTAGAGTGCAATGCAGAGGTTGAATAACCACAGGCTTGTGGGGCCAGGCTGGCATCACAAATGAGAAAGTAGGCTGGGTAGAATAGTAGGGAATGGTAGGGACTGTAGCAAACTAGATGTCACAAGCCCTGTTTAAAAGCAGCAGCTCAAGTTGGTTGTTGGCATATGAGAATGTGGACATATAGTGCCAGATCTTTCTTCTGGTTTTTAAAGACATGTTAGACTCTAGATTTTTATATTAAATAGTCTGTCTCTCTCTCTCTCCTTTTTTTTCTTTTTCTTTTTTTTTTTTTGGAGACAGGGTCTCATTCTCTTACCCAGGCTGGAGTACAGCAGCTTGATCTTGGCTATCTGCAACCTCTACCTCCCTGGCTCAAGGAAATCCTCCTGCCTCAGCTCCTGAGTAGCTGGGACAACAGATGCACTCAATGACGCCCGGCTAATTTTTGAATTTTTTGTAGAGATCGGAGTTTGCCATGTCGCCCAGGTCAGTCTCAAACTCCTGGATTCAAGCAAGTTGCCTGCCTTAGCCCCGCAAAGTGCTGGGATTACAGGTGTGAGCTGCTGTGCCTGGCCAAATGATCTCATTTTAAAATGTTGCCATCAGCTGGGTGCAGTGGCTCACACCTGTAATCCCAACACTTTGGGAGGCCAAGGCAGGTGGATCACTTGAGGTCAAAAGTTGGAGACCAGCCTGGGCAACATGGTGAAACCCCATCTCTACTAAAAATACAAAAATTAGCCAGGTGTGGTGGTGCATGCTTGTAATCCCAGTTACTTGGGAGGCTGAGGCAGGAGGATCGCTTGAACCCTGGATGTGGAGGTTGCAGTGAGCCGAGATGGCTCCACTGCACTCCAGCCTGGGTGACAGAGTGATACTCTCTGTCTCAAAACAAAATAAAATGTTGGCATCTAACTTTTTAAACAGTAAAAGGCTGGGCATGGTGGCTTATGCCTGTAATCCTAGCACTTTGGGAGGCTGAGGCGGGCAGATCACCTGAGGTCAGGAATTCGAGACCAGCCTGGCCAACACGGCAAAACCCCATCTCTACTAAAAATACAAAAAAATAGCTGGGCGTGGTGGCGGGCGCCTGTAATCCCAGCTGCTACAGATGTTAAGGCACAAGAATCGCTTGAGCCCGGGAGGCAGAGGGTGCAGGGGGCTGAGATTGCACCATTCCACTTCAACCTGGGCAACAGAGCAAGACTCCATCTCAAAAAGAAACAAAAAATAGTAAAACACCACTGTGTAGGCCAAACAAAACACAACCGAGAACTGCAGTCTAGCCTGATTTGTAACTTCTGGTGGAAGGGGTAAGGGCCCCAGGCTCCAGATTTAGACATATAAAGACCTGATTCGGAGTTCTGCCACTGCTTGTCTGAGTAATTTTATTTAAGATTTGTAGCCTCCCTGAGCTTCAATACTCTCTCCTGTAAAATGGGAATAGTAAAATGGGCTACTGTGAGGATAAATAAGGTAATGACTTCAAAACATCTAGTAAAATTGTTAGCTCATCGTAGGTACGCAATAACTATAGCTACTCCACTAAAGTTCCTAATTGGAGGAATTCCCAATCCCTTCTGCTCCCTAGTCCATTCACTTCAAATCTATTTTTTCCCCAAGGTTTGGTCATTCGGTGTCCCTGGAACTCTAACTCAGATACCCAAGGCACTCAAAAAATATTCGCACACACCCCGCATTCACTCTTGGGAGGATTTTGAGATGCCAAGGCTGGTTACCAAGGAAAACGTTTAGGAGTCTTCCCTGGTGTTCAGCAGCAACGTTTCAGTGTTGGTTAAAAGACAGGCTTGGTCGGGCACGGTGGCTCATGCCTGTAATCCCAGCACTTTGAGAAGCCGAGGCGGGCAGATCACCTGAGGTCGGGAGTTCAAGAGCAGCCTGACCTACTAAAAATACAAAATGAGCTGAGCGTGGTGGCACATGCCTGTAATCCCAGCTACTCAGGAGGCTGAGGCAGGAGAATCGCTTGAACCCGGGAGGCGGAGGTTGCGGTGAGCCGAGATCAAGCCATTGCACTCCAGCCTGGGCAATAAGTGAAACTGACTCAAAAAAAAAAAAAAAAAAAAAGAGAGGCTTGCCCCAGAGCAGGGGACTGGCTAACATGACCCTTCAGGGGCCTTAAAATCTTCAACTTTAATTTCTTCTTTTTTTTGAGACAGAGTCTCGCTCTGTCGCCCAGGCTGGAGTGCAGTGTCGTGATCTCGGCTCACTGCAACCTCTGCCTCCCGGGTTCAAGCGATTCTCCTGCCTCAGCCTCCTGAGTAGCTGGGATTACAGGTGCCCACCACTCCGCCCAGCTAATTTTTTTGTATTTTTAGTAGAGACGGAGTTTCACCATGTTGGCCAAGCTGGTCTCAAACTCCTGACCTCATGATTTGCCTGCCTCAGCCTCCCAAAGTGCTAGGATTATAGGCGTGAGCCACCGCACCCGGCTTCATTTTTAATTTCATTAGCTCCTGTGCACATGCACACATGCGTATACGCACACAACGCTCACACACATTGTTACTCAAATACCTGCCTGAGTTCCCTATTCCTAGAAACTGTTTTGGCTTTCACTTTCACTCCACTCCTTCTACCATAGGCTCTACCCCGAGAGAGGGTGCTGCCACAACCCTTGAAACCAACATTCTCTGAGATTTATTTACTCAGCAGGGAGCTGCAGGAAAGGAGAGAACAGGGTGGCTGAAGCTCAAGTGACTGCACAGAAGGGGCTTTGAAAAGAAAAGTGACTTACACCCAGGGTCATCAGTAGGTCTTACAGTATATATTTGAGCCCAAGATCCTCTACTCCAACATGCCTGTTCTAACCATTGTATTATCCTGCTGCTTCCAATGGGGCCACATTCCAGGACTGGGTTCCCATCCCACGAGTCGTTAGAAAATACCATGACTCAGTGAGCTATTTCCCCTTTCTTTTTGTTTATATGATTGTACATTTCAAAAAGTCCCAGTAAATGGTATTTTTTTAAAGTAAAAGGATTTAAACAAGCAGCCACGATTCCATCATAATCAGTAATTCTTTTATCACATTAATTATTATCACACAGTGATTGGAGAAAATAATTACTACAGAGGCCGCATTTTACAAAACATTCATTACCTTACCTCATCAATCCCAAAATGTATTTTTAAATCTGAATTTATCTTAAAATCTGTGGAATCTAAGCTTCCATGGAACAGACTTTGTTTGGTCATAAGAACAATCCTGGTAGGCAAGCATTGCCCAGATTACAATCCCCATTTTGCAGCTGGGAAAACTGAGTTCAAAGAGGTAAACAATTTGCCTGAGGTCACAGAGCTAGTCAGTGCAGAACCAGAACTGCAGGCCTAGCTCCTGATTTTCAGCACAAGCGGTATCTACCATATATTCCTGGCCTCCAGGCCCTGTGTTCATACCTACCTGTTCCCATCACTCTCCTGGCCACACCCTAACAGAGGGCTGAGGGAGACCTCAGCTCCCCCAACCAGGCTTCCCTAGCCTCAGCCAGCTAGAGGTGGGGTAAACTCACTGTGGGGACTCCTGGGAGCAGTCTCTCCACATAGGAAATTTTTAAGTCCAAAGCTTTCACTTTCAAGAATGAACCCTGTGTGTGAGGCAGCACTGCAGAGACCAAAGCTCAGCTTGGGCGTGAAGGCAGGATTTTGCTGGTGTCCTTATAAACCCCATGCAAACTAGATCTAGGAGTTCCCCACCTGGGGACCCCATTCCCTGGAAATTACTCACAAATGCTCTATTTCTCATATTTCAAAAGGTCAAATGAAAATCAAATATCGACTCTAGATAAGATCTCACAGACAGAATAAAATACTACACTGCTTTTGGCTAAACCTGCATCAATTTAGTGGTTTGTGTCTGCTAACCAAAAAACACTGATTGGCTATTACAGGGCCACAATTCACATAGAAGAGGAAAACCAATTAACAAATTATTATGTAACAGGTGCAGCTGACAGACTTAAATCTTTCAGAACAAGGGGTGTGACAAGGGAAAACAATAGAAGAGGAAAGCTGAGAGTGGAATTTGAGCTCCTCATTTTCCCAGATGGGGAATGTGAGGTTCAGAGAGCTGGAGTGACTCGCTCAGGGTCACACAGCAGGGCTGGAACCAGCACCCAAGGTTTCTGCCCCTAGGGAGAAGGATCTTCCTACCACACCCTGCTGTCCTGAGGTTCAAGAAACGCAGAGTGCTAGGACTCACCAGGGTTGCTGAAGGGGGCCAGGACAGGGAATGGCAATGGCTTCTCCCTGTCACCTGTGGGCTCCTTCCTCGGGGCAGCTGCCAAGGCCACGCTGTTTTTCCTCCCTGGGAGTCTGCCAGGGCAGCTAGGTATGGGAGCCTCTTGGAAATCCAGCTCTGGGTGAGGGAAAGGAGGCCTCTTTGACAAAAGCACCCTCCAAAGCATGGAGTGACCAGGGCCTGGGGTCACTATGTGGCCCTGGAGGGTTTAGGTACATCCAGATCGCACAGCTGCCTCCTGGCTCTGGCCCGGGAGCTCTCCAGGTTGCCAGGCTAGTTTTCCTTCCAGACGCTGGGTGCCTTTAAGAGAGCGACGGCAGCTCATTGGCCGAGCAAGGCTACCCCACCTCTTTACCTTAGCGGGGAGCACAGCTAGGCTAGAGGCAGAGAGACTCAGGTGAGTAAACAAATGGTGGCAACCCGCTGAGTCTCCCCTCCTCCACAGCCCTGGTCCTGGGCTTCCTTCCTCACCTCCACTCTCCACCCTGGAAAACAAGCTGGGGCTAAAGGAAGAGCAAAACACTCTGCAAAGTGCTTAGTGCGGTTCAGACTACATGATCTCACAGTGACCCTGGGGCAGAGTTATTAGTACATCTTCTCTTTTCAGTGGAACAACTGAGTCCTTGGAGGGGTGAAGTGGCTTGTCCAGTTCACACAGCCCTTGCAAGGAAGGTCGACAGAGAGGGATGGTGTGAGGATCCAAACCCGAGTCTCCTGCTTTTGACTTCCCATACGGTTCTGTTGGACCACACCACTTTCCTGTTTGCAAAGCCTTTGGCAAGTCACTCACTGCCTCAGTTTCCACATCTGTAGCATGGTATAGTCATGCTAGTGATCCTCTACTCACTATAATGAGTATATAATCTTGGGTTTAAAGCTGAAAGAGACTTTGGAGATTATATAGCTCATCCAGTCATTTATCAGGCATTCATTATTCAAAAGGCATTATTATTCAGCAGCTATTATGTGTCAGGCTCTGTTTTAGTTCCTAGGGACATATCAATGAACAAGAAAGTCAAGAACCTTACTTTTATTGAGTTTACATTCTGGAGAGAGGGGATCTAGATATAAACAAGCCAATTAGATAAGTAATAGTTCCACAAAAATGAAATAGGTTGATATGATAAAGTAATGGAGGATGGATATTTTCAATGATGTGGTCAGGAGGCCCTCCCTAGGGAGGTGATATTAAAGCTGAGACATGAATGATGACAAGGAACGAGACATTGGAAGAGCTGGAGCAAGAGTGTTCAATGCACAGAGAACCAACCCCAAGTATAAGGTCCCCGAAGCAGGTACGTTTGGAGAACAGAAAGAAAGCTGCTGTCACTACAATATAGTCCAATCCCTGTACCCCCTCTTAATAGATAAGGAATTTTATCTATTCCTTATTTATTCCTGGAAGGTAATTCAAGAATTCAGAAAGATGATTCAACTTGCCCAAGATTCCCTCTTGTAAATTCCTCCTTCCTTTCTTTATCCTCATGTAGAAGACAAGGAAACTGAAGCTTTGGGGTGACCAGCATACTTGGGTTACCAACCCAACAATCATTCTGGTAGCCTACACTGCTATAATCTCATGCTTCTTCCACTCTGTAGACATATGTAAACTCCCAGACAGCAGGAACTATGATTTTAAGAGTGTACCACACTACCGGGTGCGGTGGCTCACGCCTGTAATCCCAACACTTTGGGAGGCTGAGGTGGGCGGATCACGAGGTCAGGAGTTCAAGAACAGCCTGACCAACATAGTGAAACCCCGTCTCTACTAAAAATACAAAAATAAGCCAGGTGTGGTGGCGCATGCCTGTAATCCCAGCTACTCAGGAGGCTGAGGCAGGAGAATCGCTTGAACCCGGGAGCTGGAGGTTGCAGTGAGCCAAGATCACACCACTGCACTCCAACCCAGGCGACAGAGTGAGACTCCATCTTAAAAAAAAAAAAAAAAAAGTACCACACTGAAGAACAAAATCCTGACACTGACGGAATATGTAGTAGTCTTCAAAATTCCAGCAGTAATGCAAACGGCCACACTGTCACATGGGGTCAGCACAGACCCTTCCTGTGGGGTTCCTTTCCACTTTCATTTTCAGAATTTTTTACTCTGATTTTTAAAAAGGGCTGCCTGTTTTCAGTCTCACATTGTTAGTAGTAGCTTTGGTATTATTCTGAGACTGTTGGATATACAGTATGTAATAAAGCAAGTGAGTTTGTTGGTATTGCTGAGAACCAGGACTTTTGGTGTGGGAGAAAAATACAAGTGAAAGACGAAAGGGGTTAAGTAAAAAATGCATAATCCTGTGTTTGTATTAGAGGTTTCAGTATGATTTTTTTTTTTTTTTTTTTTTTGAGATGGAGTCTCACTCTGTCGCCCAGGCTGGAGTGCTGTGCCGCGATCTTGGCTCACTGCAACTTCCACCTCCTGAGTTCAAGCGATTCTCCTGCCTCAGCCTCCTGAGTAGCTGGGATTATAGGTGCACGCCACCATGCCCGGCTAATTTTTTGAATTTTTAGTAGAGACAGGGTTTCACCATGTCGGTCAGGCTGGTCTCGAACTCCTGACCTCATGATCTGCCCACATTGGCCTCCCAAAGTGCTGGGATTACAGGTGTGAGCCACCGTGTCTGGCCTAAATTTTTTTTTTAACAGATAGGGTCTCACTATATTGACCAAGCTGGTTTTCAACTCCTGGGCTTAATCAATCCTCCCACCTCGGCCTTCCAAAGTACTGGGATTACAGGCATAAGCCACTGTGCCTGGCCTCTCAGTATGAATTTTTTATTTAGCCGATCTGAAAACAAATAAACTAAGTGAATTCCCTAGCTCTGTTTACTGTTTTCAGGTCTAGAAACAATGACCAATCCTTTAGTGCAGAGGTCCCCAACTCGCAGGCCATGGACTGGTACCAGTCTGTGGCCTGTTAGAAACTGGGCCCCACAGCAGGAGGTGAGCGGCGGGCAGCCACCAAAGCCTTGTCTGTATTTACAGCGGCTCCCCATCACTTGCATTACCCCCTGAGCTCCACCTCCTGTCAGATCAACGGCAGCATTAGATTCTCATAGAAGCCTGAACCCTATTGTGAACTGCATATGGCAGGGATCTAGGTTGTGCACTCCTTATGAGAACCTAATGCCTGATGATCTGGGGTAGAATTGAGGTGACGATGCTAGCACTGGGGAGCGGCTGCAAATACAGATTAACATTAGCAGAGAGGTTTGATTGCACAGAGACCATAATAAATCAGTTGCTTGCAGACTCATATCAAAACCCTATCAGTGAGTAGCAAGTGACAATTAAGCTGCATCTGGTGGCAGGCTTTAGGTCAGCATCTGACACTTATTTTAGTCCATACGTGGCCCGCTCATTATTTTATTTACTGCTTCCATCTGCGCCTCTTTCCCACACTGCACACTCGCCTTGGTCACAGTTTTGGTGAGCCCACAAGCTAACTCTAGCCAAAATGAGTAAAAAAAAAAAAAAAAAAAAAAAAAAATCTCACTGGAGAGCTTCTTTGAAAAGCCGGAAAGAACCAATGATGACAGAGCAGAAGACTCAGACTGCCACAAAAAGAAAGCTGCACTTAAAAGAAAATACCAAGAGTCCTACTTAAATTATGGGTTCATTGCAACACGTGATTCACATTCTCCAAGCCTGCTTTGTATAATATGTGGCGACTGGCTATCCAATGAAGCCATGAAACCTTCAAAACTGCTTCACCACATGGAGGCCAAGCACCCTGCATCAAAAGACAAGCTTTTGGAGTTTTCAAAAGAAAAGAATGTGAACATGAAGAGCAGAAGCAATTATTGAAGGCCACCACTTCATCAAATGTGTCTGCACTGAGAGCATCATTCTTAGTGGCTAACTGCATTGCTAAAGCTAAGAAGCCTTTACTATTGGTGAAGAGTTGATTCTGCCTGCTGCTAAGGACATTTGTCATGAACTTTTGGGAGAGGCTGCAGTTCAAAAGGTGACACGTGTTCCTCTTTTGGCTAGCACCACAACTGGACAAATTGATGAACTGGCAGAGGATATTGAGACACAATTGTTACAGAGGATTAATGAGTCACCGTGGTACGCAATCCAGGTTGACGAGTCTACCAATGTTGACAACAAGGCAACAATGCTTGTTTTATCCATAGAGAAATGCTGAAATGTCACCTGAACTTAACAACATTGTAGGCCAGGCGCAGTGGTTCACACCTGTAATCACAGCACTTTGGGAGGCTGAGGTGGGTGGATCTCCAGAGGTCGGAAGTTCGAGACCAGCCTGGCCAACATGGGGAAGCCCCGTCTCTATTAAAAATACAAAATTAGCTGGGTGTGGTGGTGCATGCCTATAATCCCAGCTACTCAGGAGGCTGAGGCAGGAGAATCGCTTGAACCCAGGAGGTGGAAGTTGTGGTGAGCCGAGATCACCATTGCACTCCAGCCTGGGCAACAAGAATGAAACTCTGTCTCAAAACAACAACAACAAAAAAAAACATTTTGCAGAACGTAATTAAAATGATCAGCCACATTATAGTACATGCCCTTAACTCACATCTGTTTGTGCAGCTCTGTGAGGAAATGGACACAGAGCACACATGTCTTCTCTTATACACAGATGTGAAATGGCTTTCTAAAGGTAGATCACTGGCCAGAGTTTCTGAGTTACAAGAGATTTCTTTTAGAAAAATAGTCACCACTGGCAGCATATGTCAGTGACACAGAATGGGTTGCAAAACTCGTGTGACATATTCAACCTGCTCAATGAACTCAATCTGTCACTTCAGGGGACAACGACCACTATGTTCAAGTTGGCAGATAAAGTGGCTGCATTCAAAGCCGAACTGGAATTATGGGGGCGACGAGTGAGCATTGGGATTTCTGATAGGTTTCAAGCATTAGCAGAGATTTTTGAAAGAAAGAGACTGAGCCAGTGCCTTCTTTCTCTCAGCTGGTGCATGATCACCTATCTCAGCTTTCAAAAGAGTTTGAGCATTACTTTTCAACCACAAAAGACCCCCGAACTGGGAAGGAATGGATCCGCGACCCATTTGTGAATAAGCCAAGTGACTTGACATTGTCCATGCTAGAAGCGGATCAACTGCTTGAGAGGGCAAATGACGGTGGCCTTAAAAGTATGTTTGGGACTTCAAATCTCCATACGTTCTGGATTAAAGTCAAGGCAGAATATCCTGAGACTGCCACAAAAGCACTGAAAAGCCTGCTTCCTTCTGTTTCCAACAGCATATCCTTGTGAAGCAGGGTTTTCTGCAGTGTCAGCAACCAAAACAAGATTACGGAGTAGACTGGACATAAGCAACCCACTTTGGGTGTCACTATCTCCCATCACCCCCAAATGGGACCGTCTAGTTGCAGAAAATTGAACATATTACAATATAATAATAATAGAAATAAAGTGCACAATAAATGTAATGTGCTTGAATCATCCTGAAACCATGCCCCCCCACCCCAGCTGTGGAAAAATTGTCTTCCACAAAACTGGTCCCTGGTGCCAAAAAGGTTAAGGACTGCTGCTTTAGCAAATAGTGAGCACTTATAGTGCCCAGACTGTGGTCTCTAAATACTATTTTCCACTAAAAGGAACCAAGGTGTCTTTGAAAAAATAAGTAGCCAATTCCAGCTTTGAGGCAGAAAATGTACAATATGTACTTAGACTATTTTCTAGTGTCACAAATCAATGAAGATAGAGTTGTGTCAAAGAGACTCCCATTGGTCACAGTCAGGACTCCTTGAGTATCAGTAAAGAAAATAACTGCAAGGGGTTGAAAAATATCAAACGTATTTAAATCCATGAGTTCTTAATGATATTTTATTTATTTTACATTAAAACATTTTTTTTTAGAGATAGGGTCTGGCTGTATTGCCAAGGCTATTCTCAAACTCCTGGCCTCCCACCTCAGCCTCCCAAAGTGCTGGGATTGCAGGCTCGAGTCACTGCTCCCAGGCCCTACAACTTTTGAGAGCAATTTGGGAATACTCCATGATCCAAAAACTCTATGACTGGATATATACACAAGAGAAACTCTAGCCATTAAGAGACAGACAAAAGCATTTTTTTAAGTTGGAAGAACTGAAAACAACCAAAATGAATAAATTATGGTACTTTTGATTTTGGGACCATAAATGTGGGGGGATGGTGTGAAATAGAGAGATTTATTTCTTTTTTTCAATGACAAAGTGTCAGAGGCAAGTATTTACTGGGAAAATGCAGGAGCAAAATTTAAAAATTATCTGGTTTGTCGCAGTTATAAAATTGCCTCTTTTTTTGTTTGTTTACCTTATAGACAAGTCCCTACTTTATTGGCTACTTCTGTTTCTGATTACTTTAGGTTAAGTTTTTTGTTTTTTTTTTTTCCAACTTTCCAACTTTTATTTTAGGTTCAGGGGATGTGTGTGTGGGTTTGTTATATACGTAAATTGTGAGTCAGAGGGATTTGGTGTACAGATTATTTAATCACCCATGTAACAAGCATAGTACAGGATAGGTAGTTTTTCAATCCTCACCCTCCTCCCACCCTCCACTCTCAAGTAAATCCTCAGTGTCTACCATTTCCATCTTTGAGGCCCTATGTACTCAAAGTTTAGCTCCCACTTACAAGTGAGAACATGTGGTTATTTGGTTTTCTGTTTCTGTATTAACTTGCTTAGGATAATGACCTCCAGCTCCATCCATGTTGCTGCAAAGGACATGATTTCATTCTTTTTGTATGGCTGTGTAGTATTCCATGGTGTATATGTACCACATTTTATTATTATTATTATTATTATTATTATTATTATTATTATTTTGAGACAAAGTCGCACTCTGTCTCCCAGGCTGCAGTGCAGTGGTGCCATCTTGGCTCACTGCAACCTCTGCCTCTCAGGTTCAAGTGATTCTCCTGCCTCAGCCTCCAAGTAGCTGGGATTATAGGTCCCTGCCACCATGCCCAGCTAATTTTTGATTTTTAGTAGAGATGGGGTTTCGCCGTGTTGGCCAGGCTGGTCTGGAACTCCTGACCTCAGGTGATCTGCTCACCTCAGCCTCCCAAAGTGCTGGGATTACAGGCGTGAGCCACCGCGCCCGGCCATATGTACCACATTTTCTTTATCCAGTCCACCGTTGGTGGGCATCTAGGTTGATTCCACGTCTTTGCTATTGTGAATAGTGCTGTGATTAACATGTGAGTGTATATGTCTTTTTGATAAAATGATTTATTTTGTTTTTGATATATAGTTCTGTTTTAAGTTCTTTAAGAAATCCCCAAACTGCTTTCCACAGCGACTGAATTAATTTACATTCCTACCAACAGTGTATAAGCTTTCCCTTTTCTCTGCAACCTCACTAGCATCTGTTATTTTTTTGCCTTTTTTTTTAAAGACAGTCAAGTGCAGTAGTGAGAAGGGGGAAAGAGTAGAACAAGGAGTTTGGCCGGGCGCTGTGGCTTATGGCTGTAATCCCAGCACTTTGGGAGGCCAAGGCAGCCAGATCACCTGAGGTCAGGAGTTCGAGACCAGCCTGACCAACATGGTGAAACCTGGTCTTTATTAGAAAAATACAAACTTTACCCGGTGTGGTGGCAGGTGCCTGTAATCCCACCTACTCGGGAGGCTGAGGCAGGAGAATCCCTTGAACCTGGGAGGCAGAGGTTGCAGTGAGCTGATACTGCACCACTTGCACTCCAGCCTGGGTGACAGAGCGAGACTCCATCTCAAAAAAATAAATAAATAAATAAAAAGAACAAGGAGTTTGATCTGTAACTGGCTGTGAACAATCGAGATAACTCACTATCTTCAGACTAGCCTATTTTTTAACTTTTTAATAACAGCCATTCTGACTGGTGTAAGTTGGTATCTCATCATGGTTTTGATTTGCGTTTCTCTGATTAGTGATGTTGAGCATTTTTTCATATGCTAGTTGGCTGTGTGTATGTTTTCTTTTGAGAAGTGTCTTTTCATGTCCTTTGCCTTTTTTTTTTTTTTTTTGAGACGGAGTCTTGATCTGTCGCCCAGGCTGGAGTGCAGTGGCGTAATCTCAGCTCACTGCAACCTCCGCCTCCTAGGTTCACATAATTCTCCTTCCTCAGCCTCCTGAGTAGCTGGGATTACAGGCGCATGCCACCAGGCCCAGCTAATTTTTGTATTTTTAGTAGAGACAGGGTTTCTCCATGTTGGCCAGGCTGGTCTCAAACTCCTGACCTCAGGTGATTCACCAGCCTCAGCCTCTCAAAGAGCTAGAATTACAGGCGTGAGCCACTATGCCCGGCCCTGTCCTTTGTCCATTTTTTAATGGAGTTGTTTTTTGCTTGTTAATTTATTAAGTCCCCTTATAGATTGTGGATAGTAGCTCTTTTTTCGAATGCATAGTTTACAAATAGTTTCTCCTGTTCTGTAGGTTGTCTATTTATTCTGTTATAGTTTCTGCTGTGCAGAAGCTTTTTTTTTTTTTTTTTTTTGAGACAGGGTTTCATTCCTGTCGCCCAAGCTGGAGTGCAATGGCACGATCTCGGCTTACTGCAGCCTCTGCCTCCCAGGTTCAAGAAATTCTCATGCCTCAGCCTCCCAAGTAGCTGGGATTACAGGCGTGAGCCACCACACCTAGCTAATTTTTGTATTTTTAGTAGGGGCCAGGTTTCACAATGTTGGCCAGGCTGATCTCGAACTCCTGACCTCCAGTGGTCCACCCACCTTGGCCTCCCAAAGTGCTGGGATTACAGGCATGAGCCACCACGCCCAGCCTGTTCCCTATTCTTTGACCAGCACTCACCACCTAACACTGTCCCTAGCCCTGTCAATCAAACATACCTGCCAAATGAAGAAAATTGCTTAGTCTCACAGTCAACGGACTTAGGATACCCATTTGCACACTCCCATTAACACCACGAACTTTTCCTTCTCAGTGCTTATCGTACTTGTAATTAACCCATTTCTCATTTAGAAAAAAAGTGCAGCTTGTTGCCAGTGTTCATTTCTGGGGGTAAATGGGAAATGGGTTAAATAATTGCACATGCAACCATTTGCTTAATGTGTGCCTCTCTGACAAGACCACCAGCTCCCTGGGGGTATACATTGCCCCTAGTGTTGTTCACTGTTGTATCCCCAGTGCTTGAAATGGTACCTAGCATATAGCTGGCACTCAATCAATGCTTGTTGAATGAATATTTATTTATTTAAAAAAATTTTGGCTGGGCGCGGTGGCTCATGCCTGTATTCCCAGCACTTTGGCAGGCTGAGGAGGGCGGATCACCTGAGGTCAGGAGTTCGAGACCAGCCTGGCCAACATAGTGAAACCCCATTTCTACTAAAAATACAAAAATTAGCTGGGCATGGTGGTGGGCGCCTGTAATCCCAGCTACTCCGGAGGCTAAGGCAGGAGAATTGCTTGAGCCCAGGTCACGGAGGTTGCAGTGAGCAGAGATGGTGCCATTGTACTCCAGCCTGGGAGACAGAGCAAGATTCCATCTGAAAATAAACAAAAAAATGTTTTTTAGAGACAAGGTCTCACTTTGTCTCCCAGGTTGGAATGCAGTGGTACAATCATAGCTCACTGCAGCCTTGAACTCCTGGGCTCAAGTGAGTCTCCTGCCTCATTCTCCCAAAGTGCTGGGATTAGAGAGGCCCCCATGCCCAGCCTGTTGAATGAATAAATGAGCATAGATTACAAAAATGGCCACAGTCAAAATGAGTGCAGATGGCAAAGGGGCCCCAGTCAGTTGGTCAGTCCACCTGCCAATCATGAAGGCCTGAGCTACCCTAGGTGCTGACCCATTCCCAGGCCAAAGGCAACTGGCATAAGGTCCTTTATTTCAAGATGCTGAAAGTGTATAGATAGGAGTTTGCTAACGCCCAGCGCAGCTGTTCTTAGAAAGAGTCTGCCTCCTAGAAAAACTATCCGTTTACAAAAGAGACAAAATGAGGGAAAGCAGGCTCATCTGCTGGTTAACCAGTGTCCTCTCTTTTTTTTTTTTTTTTTTTTTTTTTTTGAGACAGCGTCTCACTCTGTTGCCCCGGCTAGAGTGCAGTGGTGCGATCTTGGCTCACTGCAACCTCCACCTCCCGGGTTCAAGCGATTCTCCTGCCTCAGCCTCCTGAGTAGCTGGGACTGCAGGCACGCGCCACCACGCCCGGCTAATTTTTTTTGTATTTATAGTAGAGATGGGGTTTCTCCATGTTGGCCAGGCTGGTCTTGAACTCCTGACCTCGTGATCCGCCCACCTCGGCCTCCCAAAGTGCTGGGATTACAGGCGTGAGCCATCTCGCCCAGCACAACCAGTGTCCTCTCTTTGCCTCTGGTTGGTGATTTGGGACAGTTAGCTTGGGGGTAGATAAACTGTATTTCAGCCTACAAGTAATAGTGTAACCTACTTCACAGAGTTGTTAGAGGACAAATAAGTGGATGTGTAAATATGTATTACAGGACCTGACAATGGCACCAATGCTCAGTCATGCTTTCTAGAGTTGTTGCTATCAATGCCTTTTGCCTTGTAAGGCTGCCCTTGAATGAAGGGTAATTTAAATGCCACCACTTGAAGTTTTTTTTTTTTTTGGAGATGGAGTTTCGTTCGTGTTGCCCAGGCTGGAGTGCAATGGCATGGTCTTGGCTCACTGCAACCTCCGCCTCCTGGGTTCAAGAAATTCCCCTGCCTCAGCATCCCTAGTAGCTGTGATTACAGGTGCCCACCACCACGCCCGGGAAATTTTTGTATTTTTAGTAGAGATGGGGTTTCACCATGTTGGCCAGGCTGGTTTCAAACTCCTGACCTCAGGTGATTCGCCCACCTTGGCCTCCCAAAGCACTGGGATTACAGGCATGAGCCACCGCACCTGGCCACTTGAAGATACTTAGGGCAGAACTCTAGTGATAGGTGCTGGGCTCCACTAAACATCTCCTGGGGCCAACCTGGCCAGAATGCAGGTGAGAGGGAATGAACCATCTAAGTGACAGAGGCGTAACTCAAACCATTTAGGCAAGAGTTGGCCCATGCACCCATTAAGTCCAGAGGGTAGACTTCTTTGTACACAGTAGACCCAGTGGCTCAAGCAGTATCATCAGGATGTCTCCTCCCTGTCTCCATCACTCAATCCTGCTGTGTCTGTGGGAGCTCCTGTCACAAAAAGGCTCAGGTCCACAATGGTGGCTTATATCCTAACTTCTCAGCTACTACAGATAAAAGAGAAAGTTTGGCCGGGTGCAGTGACTCACACCTGTAATCTCAGCACTTTGGAAGGCCGACAGGGGTGGATCACGAGGTCAGGCATTCCAGACCAGCCTGGCCAACATAGTGAAACCCCATCTCTACTAAAAATATAAAAAATTAGCTGGTCATGGTGGCAGGCGCCTATAATCCCAGCTACTCAGGAGGCTGAGGCAGTAGAATAGCTTCAACCTGGGAGGCGGAGGTTGCAGTGAGCTGAGATCACACCACTGCACTCCAGCCCAGGCAACAGTGCGAGACTCTGTCTCAAAAAAAAAAAAAAAAAGAAAGTTTCCCTCCCCAAAGTTCGGACCATATCCCCAGAATTGAGTCTCATTGGCTGTAACTGAGTCACATATCTATTCCTGGCCCATCACTGTGACCAGGGGGTCTGACTGGCAGAGCTGAGTCATGGGCCCACCTTTCCCTATGGGCTGGAGTCAGCTCTGAACATGGGGAGGGGAGGCTTCCCAAGCAACATATGGTTGCTGTTGCCAGAAGGGAGACTTTCGCTGGGTCAGCAAAACAAATATCCACTGTAAAATGCAAACCTCTCTGCAGGTCAGGTGACAAAAGCAATGTCACATTGAGACCAAGTAAACATCAATTCTGTCAGACAAACGAAGTGATAGGATCTGGAGGGATTCCCAGAGGGCAATGGGGCGTTACTTAGCTGTCTGCCAAAAGACCTGTTTTATAGGGCCCAGGTAAGGGTAAGGCAAGTGAGGCACTTGCCATTGGCACTAAATTAAGACAAAAAACAAACAAACAAACAAAAAACAAAAGAAAACACCAACTCAGAGCGAGCACAGTGGCTCACAACTGTAATCCCAACACTTTGGGAGATTGAGGAGGAAGAATATCTTGAGCCCAGGAGTTCAAAACCAATCTAGACAACATAGCGAGATGCTATCTCTACAAATATTTTTTTCTTTTTTTTTTTGAGATGGAGTCTCTCTCTGACACCCAGGCTGGAGTGTGGAGTGCAGTGGCGTGATTTCGGCTCCCACTGCAGTTTCTGCCTCCTGGGTTCAAGCGATTCTCCTGCCTCAGCCTCCCCAGTAGCTGGGATTACAGGCACGTGCCACCACCCCCGGCTAAACAAAAAATCTTAAAAATTAGCCAGGCATTGTGGCATGTACCTGTAATCCCGGCTATTTGGGAGCCTGAGGTGGGAGGATCGCTTGAGCCTGGGAGGTCAAGGCTGCAGTGAGCCAAGATTGCAACACTGCACTCCAGCCTGGGTGATAGAGCGAGACCCTGTCTCAAACAACAACAACAAAGGTGATAGAGCAAGACCCTGTCTCAAACCACAACAACAACATCATCTCAGTAATCTAGATAAATAATACTTTAATGCAATATTTTATTTCATTTGAGACAGGGTCTCACTCTGTTGCCCAGGCTGGAGTGCAGTAGCACGATCATGGCTCACTGCAGCCTCAACCTCCTGGACTCAAGTGATCCTCCCACCTCAGCCTCTCAAAGTGCCAGGATTACAGGTGTGAGCCATTGCGACCAGCCACAATATTTTATAAGATGAAAATTAATATGAAAAAACACACAATGACTCAAATACCCAAATTTTAAATAAAGGCAGGGTGAATAATAGTGCAGAATATAGCCATCTTGGAGCTCAGGGCAAAAGGAAAAATTAGAACTACTGATCCTGCTTTTATTTAAAATTTGGGCATTTTGTTCATCATACCTTTTTGCATTAATTTTGATTTTTAAAATATTGTATTAAAATATTATTTGATTACTGCATTTTTTTGCACCTGTCAAAATTTTGTGCCTGAGGCAGTTACCTCATTCCCCTCACCCTAGTCCAGGCCCTGCTGTCTTATGTGAGATTTGCTGGAGGCAGAGAGGAAAAGCCACCCAAAAATGAATGGATGTATCAAAAACTGGAATTCCCTAATGGGAAGGGTTCTGGATGGGAATAAGAGTCCTGGAATCAGTTCTGGTTCTGCCATCGCCTTGGGAAAACCTGTTTTCCTCTCCGGGCCTCAGTTTCTCCACTTGCATAGGAGGGACAGGGCAGGCTTAGTGGTTTTTAAGCAATAGAACTCAATCTCCAGTATAGAAAATGGATTAAAATGGAGCTGTTGAAGGGGCATGTGCTGGGGTAGACCCATTTGTACCTCGGTCCCTCCACCACTCAACAGTCCCCTCCAGGTGTTCCATGGAGCCCTAAGGAGTTCCTGTGGACACAGTACGAAAACTACTCAATTCAATGGTCTCTAAGATCCCTAAGCAAACCCATTTTTATGCCTGAGATAATGTACATGTTCAATTTCCCCTGTCTATTCTTTAGTTAGGTCGGTGTCTCTCACATGGCCAGTAGTCCCGTTTCAGGAACACTTCAGGTGCTTTATTTATTTATGTTTTAATTATTTAAATTTTTTTTTTTTTTGTAGAAAGAGGGGTCTTGCTATGTTGCCCATGCTGGTCTTGAACTGCTGGCTTCAAGCCATCCTCTCAAAGTGCTGGAATTACAGGCATGAGCCACCACACCTGGCCTAATGCTTTATTTAAAATGCAGAGCCCATGGCCTTATCCTAGTCTTACAAAATTTGAATCTCCAGGAATGGGGCCCAAGAATCTTTATTTTAAACAAGCACTCCTTCCCTGACATGTGATTGACATCCATTGAAGTGTTTGTGTCCTTCACAGTGAAATTATTCCCACAGAACCTCAGGAGTTACTTTATTCTGGAGCTTTAACTACAACAGTCCTTCTGAATGTCCAGGGTGAGGGGAAAAACAGGAATAGTCAGATAAGCCCACATAAATGACTCAAGATTAGCCAAGTGGGAACAGACCACAGTGAGATCTCCAGGGGCCCTTTTCCAGGCAGAACATCCTGGCGGCCCCTCGCTCTGCAATCCCACAGCTTGTATCGAAAGAAATAGTCTGTGCATTTCTCTCTTCTTCCGGAGTGGCACTGACAACCTCAGGAATTATTGACTGAATTATCAGGTTTCTTATTAGTACACTAATGGGTTCCCGAGAGCTAGGCGCAAGCATGCCCCTGAGACAGTCAAGGGAATTCATTTTAGACTTTGGAACTAGGGCATATTTTTGTCAACTGCAAGGGAAACAGCTATTCATTCACTAGTTTTATTTATTTAACTAGCTTGGCAGATTCATTGGTGAATTAGATATTTCCTTTTCTTCAGCTTTACCGAGATATAATCACACACAATATAATTTGCCCATCTAAAATGTAAGTTCAATTGTTTTTAGTATATTAACAGAGTTGTGCAACTGTCACTACAATCAATTTTTATTTATTTATTTATTTATTTTGAGACACAGCCTCGCTCTTGTCGCCCAGGCTGGAGTGCAGTGGTGTGATCTCAGCTCAATGCAACCTCCGCCTCCTGGATTTAAGCAATTCTCCTGCCTCAGCCTCCCTAGTAGCTGGGATTACAGGCGCCTGCCACCACATCCGGCTAATTTTTACATTTTTAGTAGAGACAGTGTTTCACCATGTTGGCCAGGCTGGTCTCGAACTCCTGACCTCAGGTGATCCACCCTCCTCGGCCTCCCAAAGTGCTGGGATTACAGGCGTGAGCCACAGTGCCCCGCCATACAATAGATTTTAGAATATTTTCATCACCTCAAAAAGAATCCCTGTCCCAACACAAAGAAATGATAAATATTTGAAGTGACAGATATGCTAATTACCCTGATTTGATGATTACACATTGTATATATGTATTGAAATATCACGCTGTTTACCATAAAAATGTACAATTATTATGTGTCCATGAAAAATTATAATAAAAGCAAAAATACAAAGTGTACGACTTGCTAAAGGCTCAGATGATTGTTAGCATTTTTGGCAATAAAGTATTTTGTAATTTAAAAAAAAAAACCACCCAACCTCATTTCAACTGAAAATTAAAAAATTAGCCTGGTATAGTGGTACATGACTGCAGTCTCAGCTACTTGGGAGACTGAGGCGAGAGGATCACTTGAGCCCAGGAGTCCGAGGCTGCAGTGAGCCATGATGGCACCACTGCACTCCAGCCTGGAGGATAGAGTGAGAGACTCTGTTTTAAAAACAACAACAACAACAAACAAAAAACAAATCCTTGCGCCTTTTAGCTATTATCCCTTAGTCTTTCTATCCCCCCTGCACCAGCCCCAAGTCCTAAGTAAACACGAATCTAATTTCTGTCTCTATGAATTTGCCTATTCTGGACATTCATATAAATGGAATCATAATATGTGGTCATTTGAGACTGGCTTCTTTCACATAGCATAATGTTTTCAAGGTTCATCGACGTTATAGCATATATCAGAACTTCATTCCCTGTTATGGCTGAATAACATTCCAATGTATGAATCTACCACATTTTGTCTATCCAGTCACCAAGTATGGTTGTTTGGGTTGCTGACACATTTTCGCTATTATGAATAATGCTGCTACAAACATTTGTGCACAAGGTTTTGTGTGGATGTGCTTTCTTCCTTTCACTTTTGAAGGGCTCCTAGTCTAGTAGACACAGGTGCTAAGACAGGTACACGCACATAATTCCTTATGCTGACAGGATGTGTGAAAGGAAAATAAATCTTGGAATCCCAAACTCTCTAAGCCAAAGGGAAAAGTCAAGCTAGGAACTGGGTCATGCAAACCTGCCTCCCCATTTGGTTCATAAATAAGATGGCTACAAAGAGAAGAAAAAAAAAAAAAAAGATAAAAAGCTACATACCTCCCTCACAGTCTGCCCACAAGGAAATTCCTGGCGGGCCCCAAGATCTTTACCCTAAAACAATTCTGTTGAATTTCACCCTGGCAATGTAAATTGACAGCTTATCATCACAGGTGCATGACATAGGACAGAACTCAAAGTCAACTCTCTGCTCCTCTGAAACAAATGCGTATCAGATTGCTTCCTTTGCCCTATTGTTTACATTATCTTATGTAAAAATGCAGATTCACTGATCCAGTCAAGGAATGAAGGACGATTTCCTCTACACCCCTCTCACATGAAAATTGTGCATTCCCCCAATATCCACACTTTCTCTTTTTAAATATTGAAGCCCTCAAAATCATCTTTGGAGAAAGGCATAGATCCTTCTCTCAGGCTTGCGTCCTTAACTTTGGCAAGTAAACCTCTTCCTAAAATGATTGATACCTGCCTTGGTCATTTTCTTTGATTTACAGATGATACAAGAAAGGTACAAGCCAATGGAGTGTGAGGGTGAGAACCAACTGCTTCTTCTGCCATTACTAATGGAATAATGCAGGGGCAAGCTCCTTCACCTCTCTGTGTACCTGTTTTCTCAGGGGTAAAATGAGACTAGTATTTTCTTTACCTTATAGGATCACTGTAAGGATTACATGAGACAATGCATATGAAGGGCTTTGCACCAAGCTTGGGACACAGTAAGGGCTGGAAAAACATTTCCCATTATCATTTTGCATTCAGAGATTCCTAAGAATAAGTTTACTAATGAACCATGCACTCTAGCAATGCAGTCTTCATTCTTTCAATGAGCATTTGCTTTGGTTTTGTTGTTGTTGCTGTTGTTGTTTTTGAGACAGGGTCTCTGTCTGTCACTGAGGCTAGAGAGTAGTGGCACAATATCGGCTCACTGCAGCCTCAACCTCCCAGGCTCAAGCAATTCTCCCACCTCAGCCTCCCAAGTAGCTGGGACTACAGGCACATGCCACCATGCCTGGCTAATTTTTTAATTTTTTGTAGAAAAAGTGTTTCTCCGTGTTACCCTGGCTGGTCTCAAACTCCTGGTCTCAAGCAATCTCCCTGCCTTGGCCTCCCAAAGTGCTAGGATTATAGGAGTGAGCCACCGTGCCCAGCCTCAATGAGTATTTGTTGAATATTTATTATGTACTGGACACTCTGAGATAAATATAGTTGATCTAAACCTAGCTGCTATCCCCAGGAGCCCATAATCTGTCATCTGAATGGCAAGACCTACTAGCGTACATCACCTCCATATATTGTGATTCCGTGTATGGAGGTGATGTATGCCAGCAATATATTGTAATTTTTTTTTTTTCGAGATAGAGTCTTGCTCTGTCGCCCAGGCTGGAGTGCAGCGGCACGATCTTGGCTCACTGTGACCTTTGCCTCCCGGGTTCAAGGGATTCTCCTGCCTCAGCCGCCCAAGTAGCTGGGATTACAGGTATGCGTCACCACGCCTGGCTACTTTTTGTATTTTTAATAGAGACAGGGTTTCACCATGTTGGCCAGGGTAGTCTATAACTCTTTTTTTTGAGACGGAGCCTTGCTCTGTCTTCCAGGCCGGAATGCAGTGGCACGATCTTGGCTCGCTACAACCTCCGCCTCCCAGGTTCAAGTGATTCTCCTGCCTCAGCCTCCTGAGTAGCTGGGTTTACAGGCGCGCGCCACCATGCCCAGCTGATTTTTGTATTTTTAGTAGAGACGGGGTTTCACCATGTTGGTCAGGCTGGTCTCGAGCTCCTGACCTCGTGATCTGCCCGCCTCGGCCTCCCAAAGTACTGGGATTTACATGCATAAGCCATATTGTGATATTAATGAGGGCCCCAAATTTGCTATTAGAGCACTGAAGAAGTGCTTTTTCTTTTTTTTCTTTTTTTGAGACGGAGTCTCACTCTGTCCCCCAGGCTGGAGTGCAGTGAGGCGATCTCTGCTTACTGCAAGCTCCGCCTCCCAGGTTCACGCCATTCTGCCTCAGCCTCCCGAGTAGCTGGGACTACAGGCACCCACCAACACGCCTGGCTAATTTTTTGTATTTTTAGTAGAGACGGGGTTTCACCATGTTAGCCAGATTGGTCTCGATCTGCTGACCTCGTAATCCGCCCATCTCGGCCTCCAAAAGTGCCGGGATTACAGGCGTGAGCCACCGTGCCCAGCCTAGAAGTGTTTTTTAAAAAACTTTTTATTTTGGGCCAGGTGCAGTGGCTCACGCCTGTAATCCCAACACTTTGGGAGGCTGAGGCAGGAAGATTGCTTGAGTCCAGGAGTTGAAACCCTGTCTCAACAACAATAACAAAAAAAAGGGAAAGAAAATTTTTCTTTTGAAAATATCAGAAAAATAAAAAAAAACAATAAACCAAATACCTATACATCAATCACATAGCAACAATTGTCAACATTTTACTGTTTTCTCCATCTCACTATATATAAAATCTGTGGCTAAAGCATTTTAAAGCTAATTACAGATATTCTAACACTTCAACCCTAAACACTTCAGCATGTATTTCCAAAAATTAGATCATTCTCTTCCATAACAATACACTTAACACGTCTCACAAAATTAGCAATAATTTTCTTATATCATCTAATACCAAGTTCATAGTGAAATTTCCCCATTGTCTAAAGCATGGTGGGCCAGGTATAGTCGCTTACACCTGTAATCTCAGTGCTTTGGGAAGTCAAGGTGGGAAGGTGGCTTGAAGCTAGGAGTTCCAGGCCAGCCTGGGCAATGTAGTGAGATGTCATCTCTACTAAAATAAAAAAAAAAAAATGGCCAGGTATGATGTCTTGCACCTATAGTCCCAGCTGTGGGGAGGCTGAAGAGGGAGGATGGCTTGAGTCTAGGAATTTGAGCTTGCAGTGAGCTAGGATCACACCACTGCACTTCGGCCTGGGCAACAGAGTGAGACCCTGTCTCAAAATAAATAAATAAATATGATAAAAATAAAAACGTGGTCCTTATTTTTTTATAGTAATAAATCAAGATATAATCAAGAATCACATCTTATATTTGGCTTGTTAGACTATTAGGTCTCTTTAAATCTAGAACCTCCTCCCCATTACTTTTTTTTGTTTTTACAACATTGGCTTTTAAGAGATTATGGCAGTTGTCTTATAAACTGTTTCACATTCTGGCTTTGTCTGATTGCTTCTTTGTGTGTTGTTTAACGTGTTCCTCTATCCCCTGAACTTTTCGTAACTGAAGCTAGTTCTTATAGGCCTCATTAGATTCAGGCTCAATATTTTTCACAGGAGCCAAAATAGGTGGAGCTATGTAGTCTACTCCATCCTATTAGGGGTGAGAAAAGAACTTTCTTTCTTTTTTTTTTTTTTTTTTAGACGGAGTCTTGCTCTGTCGCCCAGGCTGGAGTGCAGTGGCGCGATCTCGGCTCACTGCAAGCTCCGCCTCTCCAGTTCACGCCGTTCTCCTGCCTCAGCCTCCCGCGTAGCTGGGACTACAGGAGCCCGCCACCACGCCCGGCTAATTTTTTGTATTTTTTAGTAGAGACGGGGTTTCATTGTGTTAGCCAGGATGGTCTTGATCTCCTGACCTCGTGATCCGCCCGCCTCGGCCTCCCAAAGTGCTGGGATTACAGGTGTGAGCCACCGCGCCCAGTCGAGAAAAGAACTTTCATCTGGGCAATTCAAGTCCTTTTAAATTAATAAATGAGACAGTAATCAGTCCTACATCCCACTTTAAGCTATGTATTCATCTCTTAAAACTGCTTGCCAGGCCAATCACGAACCAATGTTATTTCTGTAAACCAATGAGAATTCCTGACACACAACTCTGTAATAGCCCTCTCCCTATTCTTTTTTTGTCTTTAGAAACCTGCTTGTGAGCCTGGGCAACATGGCAAAATCCGTCTCTACAACGAAATAAAAAATTAGCAGGGCGTGGTGGCTCATGCCTGTGGTCCCAGCTACTTAGGAGGCTGAGGTGGGAGGATTGCTTGAGCCCAACAGTTTGAGGCTGCAGTGAGCCGAGATCATGCCACTGCACTCCAGCCTGGGCAACAGAGTGAGACCCCGTCTCAAAACAAAATGAAACAAAGAAACCTGCTTGTGACCAGTCACAGTGGCTCACACCTGTAATCCCAGCACTTTGGGAGGCTGAGGCAGGAGGATCCCTTGAGCCCAGGAGTTCGAGAACAGCCGGGGCAACATAATGAGACTTTGTCTCTACAAAAAAAAAAAAAATAATTAAAAATTAAAATTAGCTGGGTATGGTGGTGCGTGTCTGTAGTCCCTAGCTACTAGGGAGGCTGAGGTGGGAGGAAATATACATATACACACACATATATATGTTTAAACACCTGCTTGTATGTAACAAAGGCCAAATGGAGCTCATATCTGAGGTTACTTGATTCTGAGTCTTCTCAGCAGCTGTCCTCACTTTGACTCAAGTAAACTCTTCAAATTATATTTCGTGCCCCAGCCTCTTCCTTTGAGGTTGGCAGGAGGCACTTAAGGCCAGCTGTCCACCATGTGTGATGCTGAGTGTGGTCCCTAGGTGATGATGAGCAGATAGAGGACGAAGAACTCTTTACCCTGTTGGCAGGAAGGGTAGAAGTCTTCACAGGCAATGGCCTTTGATTTGGGCTTTAAAGGGTGTGTAAGAACCTACAGGGTGGGGAAGAGAAGAGGAAGGGCTTTCCAGGTATGCATGGAGGCACAATGTAGGGAAAGACAATGACAAGCTTGAGGAAGTAGGAGGTGGTAGCCAAATGTGGGCTGAGAATTATAATAACAAGCACTTAGGGTGAGTTGAGTGTGTTCCAGGAACTATGCTAAGTGACTCACTTAATCCTCAGCCTGTCCTGCGGAATGTGTGCTGCCACCCCCATTTTAAGGATGTGGAAATCAAGGTTTAGCAATAAGCAGCAACTGGCCTAAAGTCACATAGCTAGGAACTGGTAGACTCCTGAACCTCTGCTTTAAACATCTCTAAGCACTTCCTTAAGGTGAGGGAAGAACGCGAAACTGGGGAATGATGTTGGGGCAGATGGAGATAGGCCTTCTCCACCGTTCTAAGGGGTTTCAGTGTTATTCCAGGGCACTAGGGAGCCAGCGAAGGTTTCCTTCGAAAGGGACCAGCAGGGCTGGGAGCGGTGGCTCATGCCTGTATTCCCAGCACTTTGGGCGGCGGAGGCGGGTGGATCGCCTGAGGTCAGATGTTCAAGACCAGCCTGGCCAACAAATGGTGAAACCCCGTCTCTGCTAAAAATACAAAAATTAGCCGGGCGTGGTGGCGCAGGCCTGTAGTCCCAGCTACTCAGGTGGCTAAGGCACGAGAATCGCCTAAGCCCCGGAGGGGGAGGTTGCAGTGAGCCGAGATCGCGCCACTTTTTTGAGGCAGAGCCTCAAAAAAGAAAAAGAAAAAAAAAAAAGAACGAAAAGGGTGAGCAGGGCTGTGCCTGACAACGCTCACCCGCGGCCCTATGGGGGATGAACCGAGGGCTGCCGAGGAGCGCTATCAGGTTGGAGGATGGGTGCCCATTCACGTGAGCTGCCCCAGGGAACAGGGACGGAGGGAGGAATGCAAGATCCTCCCTGACCTTGTGCAGACCTTCATGCCGAAGGGCAGTGGGGCGGGGCTGAGTCTCCGCAGGATCCCGGAGCCTTTTCAACGAACGGCACCCCAAGCTGGGCGTCGGGCAGGAGCAGAGTGGGCCGCCACCCGCGGACCCCGCGACCTGCGCGCAGCTCGTGCTTCCCGGCACCCCGAAAGCTCGGCGGCCAGGCGGCCACGTCGCAGGGGGATGTGAGCTGCAGAGACGGGGGAAAGGGCCAGTTTTAACCTCCGCGGCCCAGAGAGGGGAAGCGACTGGCCCAAGGTCACACAGTCAGATAGTGGCAGGGGTAGGACTAGAACTCGGGCTGTATCTCTTGATTGCAAGTCTGATACTTTCTTTCTTTTTTTTTTTTTTGAGACGGAGTCTCCCTCTGTCGCCCAGGCTGGAGGGCAGTGGCGCGATCTCGGCTCACTGCAAGCTCCGCCTCCCGGGTTCACGCCATTCTCCTGCCTCAGCCTCCCGAGTAGCTGGGACTACAGGCGCCCGCCACCACGCCCGGCTAATTTTTTTTTCTTTTTTTAGTAGAGACGCGGTTTCACCGTGTTAGCCAGGATGGTCTCGATCTCCTGACCTCGTGATCCGCCCTCCTCGGCCTCCCAAAGTGCTGGGATTACAGGCATGAGCCACCGTGCCCAGCCCTGATACTCTTTCTTGATGCAATTTATTTCAGAATCAAAGAAGAATCAATATACTGTGGCTGAGGACCGGCGGCTGGGATGCCGAATACTCCGGGGAATCCGGGGTTTTTTTTATATCTATTTTACCTCTTCGGGAATCCTGAGGACTGTGCGGCGGTGGAAACGGGCTCCAGGCGCCCTGTCCCGCCAGGCCGTTGTCGCACAGCCCCCCCGCCCGGGTCATCCCAGCGAGACCTGCGCGTCCTCCGCACACCACCAGTGCGGGCGGGGCCCATCGTGCCTGGGAGTCCCTGCTCTCCGCAGCTGGGGGTACAAAGCCTCCGCCTGCTGCTCAGCCATATCACCCAGGCAGGGAGGGTGCGTGGAGGTAGTGGCGGGTCTCGCTCTGGGGCCGGGCGGACCGAGTTCAAGTCTCTGCCCTGGTACTCACTAGCTGTGCGACCCTGAGATGGTCACTTTCCCTCTCTGTACTTCTGTTTCTTCATTTTAAATCGGTGAAAATAACCGTGCTTCATACAGTTGGGTGTGAGGATTAACTAACATAAGGAGTATTCAAAGCCTTAGTAAGGGGCTTGCCGCACGACAAAGGCCAGTTATTATTATTAGCCCGGGAGTCAGTAGGGTTGGGTGCCTAATGTACCTATGAATTTGACAAACCTTTTCTCGATCCTACATGAAACCTGCTGCTTCCATGAAGTCCACCCAAATTAACTTCATTCAGTTTAAATCCATCTTGATTCTCAGAACTTAAACCACAGCTGGCATTGTCTAACTGCAATGGGGTAGGGGCAGCAGGCTTGTGTGTGTGCCCTCCCCCGCACCACTAACCTAGATTCACAAGGCCTGAGGTGTGTAGTCCTGCCTTCCGAGGGCTGCTAGCTACTTGATTTTGAGTAAATCACTTCATTTTTTTTTAATTTAAATTTTAATTTTTTTGGAGACAGAGTCTGGCTCTGTCACCCAGCCTGGAGTGCAACGGCGCGATCTCTGCTCAGTGCAACCTCCACCTCCCAGGTTCAAGCAGGCGCGTGCCACCACGCCCAGCTAATTTTTTTGTATTTTTAGTGGAGACAGCATTTCACCATGATGGCCAGGCTGGTCTCGAACTCCCGACCTCAGGTGATCCGCCCGCCTTGGCCTCCCAAAGTGCTGGGATTACAGGCGTGAGCCACCACGCCAGGCCCAATCACTCCATTTTTGAGTCTCAACTTCCTCTGTAAAATGGAGGTGATAATATTAATTTTATCCATTTAGGCAAGATGAACAGAATTAGATCTCTGATTATACTTTGAGAATGGAAGGAAACAAACAGGCAAAATGTTTTTTCTTTTCTTTTCTTTCTTTTTTTTTTTTTTTTTTAAACGGAGTCATGGTCTGTAGTCCAGGCTGGAGTAAAATGGCACGATCTCAGCTCACTGCAACCTCTGCCTCCTGGGTTCAAGTGAGTCTCCTGCCTCAGCCTCCAGAGTAGCTGGGATTACAGGTGCCTGCCACCTCGCCAGATTATTTTTTATTTTTTATTTTTTTGAGACAGAGTTTCACACTGTCGTTTGGGCTGGAGTGCAATGGCACGATCTTGGCTCACTGCAACCTCTGCTCCTGGGTTCAAGCAATTCTCCTGCCTCAGCCTCCCAAGTAGCTGGGATTACAAGTGCCGCCACCACGCCTGGCTAATTTTTTGTATTTTTGGTAGAGACGGGGTTTCACTATATTGGCCAGGCTGGTCTCAAACTCCTGACCTCATGATCCACCCGCCTAGGCCTCCCAGAGTGCTGGGATTACAGGCGTGAGCCACCGCACCCAGCCAATTTTTGTATTTTTAGTAGACATGGGGTTTTGCCATGTTGGCGAGGCTGGTCTCGAACTCCTGACCTCAGGTGATCCACCCACCTCGGCCTCCCAAAGCGCTAGGATTACAGATGTGAGCCACTGCGCCCGGCGCAAAATGTTTTCTCAAAACATATTTAATAACTTGGAAAAATGGTGTCAATATATAGTATTTTTCTTTTCTGAATTTAATTTTTTATGTAAAAATTTTATAAAAGGAATGCATTAATACATTCTCACAAAGATTCACCATATAATGTTAAGTGAAAAAGGGCAAATCAAGGGCAAAAGAAATATGCTTCCAATGTTGTTTTATTTCACTTTTGAACCAGGGTCTCATTCTGTCACCCAGGCTGGAATGAAGTGATGCATTCATGGCTCACTGCAGCCTCAACCTTCCAGACTCAAGAGATCCTCCTACCTCAGCCTTCCAAGTAGCTAGGACTACAGGCATGTGCCACTAGCCCTAGCTAATTTTTTTTTTTTTTTTTTTTTTTGAGATGGAGTCTTCCTCTGCCGCCCAGGCTGGAGTGCAGGGGTGTGATCTTGGCTCACTGCAACCTCTGCCTCCTGGGTTCAAGTGATTCTCCTCCTCAGCCTCCCAAGTAGCTAGGATGACCGGCATCCACCACCACACCTGGATAATTTTTGTATTTTTAGCCAGAAAGAGACAGGGTTTCACCATGTTGGCCAGACTGGTTTCAAACTCTTGGCCTCACGTGATCTGCCCACTCAGCCTCCCCAAGTGCAGGCTTGACCCACCTCGCCTGGCCTGCCCAGCTAATTTTTTTTTTAAGATGTGAACTTTTTCATTCTTCAAAAAGAGAATGTATTTTTACATAAATCTATAACAGAATTCAAATGTAGAAAAAATAAACTATATTCAGGGATAGAGTGCTCAGCACAGCACACCCCCTCCCCGGATGAGACTGCAGGAGCCTCGCCACCCCCAGGACACCCAACATCAGGGCAGCCACAGGCTGGCACATAGAGCTCCCTGTGTCTGTCACAACAGGCTGCAAATGCAAGGGGCCCAGACCCGAAGCATCAAAGACAAAAACCAACCCATTTCACTGTGGCAACTCACTTCTTGGCCTAGGTCACTCATTTGTACACCTACTCAGAAAGGGAGGCACAGGGAAACTGAGGGACATGCATCTCCAGATGCCTCGGATAATCCCCTACTCACTTCTGCCACTAGAGGACCCCCAGGAGAGCCCACCTGACAAACCCCAACTTCTTCCCTGGGCCAGTGCAACCAAAAACCTGCAGGATTCACCCAGGACTCCAGGCCCTGACAAGAGGCAGAGCTGGCTGCAGCTCGACTAATTAAAAAATTTTTTTTGTTGAGACAGGTTCTCTCGTGTTATCCTGGCTGGTCTTGAACTCCTAGCCTCAAACTTTCCTGCCACCTTCGCCTTCCAAAGCTCTGGCATGAGTGCCCAGCCTCCCAACTTATATATAAATACAGGCCGGGCGCAGTGGCTCACGCCTGTAATCCCAGCACTTTGGGAGGCCGATGCAGGCAGATCACGAGTTCAGGAGATTGAGATCATCCCGGCTAACACGGTGAAACCCCGTCTCCACTAAAAATACAAAAAATTAGCCGAGTGTGGTGGTGGGTGCCTGTAGTCCCAGCTACTAGGGAGGCTGAGGCAGGAGAATGGTGTGAACCCAGGAGGCGGAGCTTGCAGTGAGCCGAGATCACGCCACTGCACTCCGGCCTAGGTGACAGAGTGAGACTCCGTCTCACAAACACACACACACAACACACAAAAGTATAAATACACTGAAAAAAATAAACATAAGGAAATCCACCAACATGTTAACATGTTACATCTGGGTGGGAAGATTACTACAGATTATTATCTTCATCTTTATTTTTCTATGTTCTCCAATTTTTTTTCAAATGCTGCATTATTTTTATAAACAGAAGCAAGCTACAATATTGTAACAGAAATATTGAAGATTATATTTGAAAATATTCAAGGCTAAACAAAAGCAAGTTAGATATCACCTATGTGTCCGCAATCAGAAACCTTTGAGACTAAAATTTAGCCTTTTGGAAGCACCGTCCATCTTCCCCCAGACCCACCCCTGCCTCTTGGCAAAATCACAGCACCATGCTGTGACTGAGGGGTCGGTCTAAGAGAGACAGAGACTGATTTCTCTCTAGGAAAGGCTCATGCAGAGCTCTCTGCTTCCTTGGTTTCCAGAACTTCACCAGCCTTCTTGGCCTGAAGTTCCTTCTTCTGAAGTCAGGCATGGCTCTGCCAAGGGATACTTGGACAGTGATCCATGGGACTGGAGAAGACCCCTGCAATCCCTGCAGTTACCAGGTTACTTAATTAGCTGGCATTTAAGGGTCTGTAGGATCTGAACCAATCTTCCTTACAACTCCCATGTGTGCCAATCAAACAGTCTGTCGGCCATCTCCAAAGCCAGAAAGGGACAGTAATGAGTGAAGAGAGCTGGGTGTGATGCAATTGGGAAAGGTAAGGACTGTGGCAAACTGGAGTAAGCCCACACCTTCAAAACGAACGGCCACTTCTCAGTGCCAGTCTATTGCTACCTGGTGGGACCTTTCGATTTTTCAAGAGAATTGGAAAATCTGGATCTTTATGTGAAATCTCCTGATTTTAAAATAAATATTGGCAGGTAATTCACAAAACATATTTGGCCACTCTGCTGATCACAATTTGTGACTTGTCTTAGGAACACATTGAACTTTTTTCCCTCTGCACCTTTGCTTTTGCTATTCCCAATGCCAAGAACACTCCCCCACCCATCTAAGTCTAATGAACTCCATCTGTTCCGTCAGACCCAGCCAAAACACCACCTCTTCCGGAGCATCCCCGCAGCCAGAAGTGACATCTCCCTCACTGGGGCTGCACCACACATTTAGCTCTGTGCCTGTCTCATCCTATGCCCACAGTTGTTTCAGTAAGAGTCTTAGCTTTCCTGGTACAGAATGAGCTCCTGAAATATCCAGAAAACATTTGTGGAGCACCTGCTATGGTGCAGGAACCGTACTAAGCACTAGTGATACAGCCTAGAACAAGATGGATATGTCTTTGCCTTGATGCAGTACAGTCTAGTGTAGGGGGCAGATTTTAAATAAATAACTCCCTAGATACCTAATCCCAATTGTGATGAGTTTTATGGGGTTAAGAAAGTTTATAAAAGAGACTTAATCCAGGCAAAGGAGGATTAACCGAATCACGAGGTAGCTTGGGGAAGCATTAGCAGTAGGGCTCCCACTTAGGGCTGTACAGTTTACATGCTGCACAAAGCCTGGCAACAGAGCAAGACCCCGTCTCTAAAATTTAAAAAAAAAAAAATTGTAGAGTTGAGGTCTCGCTATGTTGCCCAGCCTGATCTCAAACTCCCGGCCTCAAGTGTTTCTCCCACTTGGCCTCCCAAAGTGTTGGAATTACAGGTGCGAGCCACTGTGCCCGACCCCTTTTTCTAATCTGCACAAAGGCATCGTATAGACTAGCAGAGGCAGCGTTTAGTTCACCCCTATCCAAAGCTGCTTTAAATAAACTTAGAATCTAAGTAGATACGGTGACTTCCCTATGTACATGCAGCCCAAAGAGATGTTCCCTGCTCCCCACTTTCTACGCTAAACCCTTAGACTTCTGAGATCAGGGAAGGCACCCCAAGGAAGTAACATAGGAGCTGAGACTGAAGGATAAGAAGGGGCCAGCCAGCTTGGAATATGAGGAACAGCATGTGCAAGGCCTCTGAGGGGAGAAGGTACCATGGCCAAAGGACCTAATAGGTGGCCGTTGTGGTGGAAGCATGGACAGAGGTAGGAGAGCATTAAGGGGTAGGCTGGGCAGTGACCACCCTGCATGGCTCAGAAGGCCACATTAAGGAGTGCAATTCTTTTTTTTTTTTTTCTGAGATGTTGTCTCACTCTGTCACCCAGGCTGGAGTGCAGTGGCGCGATCTCAGCTCACTGCAACCTCCACCCTCCGGGTTCAAGTGATTCTCCTGCCTCAGCCTCCTTAGTAGCTGGGATTACAGGTGCGCGTCACCATGCCCAGCTAATTTCTGTATTTTCAGTAGAGACGAAGTTTCACCATGTTGGTCAGGCTGGTGTCGAACTGCTGACCTTGTGATCTGCCCACCTCCACCTCACAAAGTGCTGAGATTACAGGCATGAGCCACCGCGCCCAGCCAAGGGGTACAATTCTTATCCTGAAATACCTTCCATATCCCTTCCATATCCCACTCCCTAACCACGTCATTTCTGGGTTTCACTGCCCATGAGAGAGTGCACAATGGTAGAAACTATCTTTACAGAGGGCCTGCCATGAGGCACAGACTGTGCTGGGGTCATACATTCATTCTGCCTTTTTTATGCTCCTAAGGAAGTATTATTTGATTTCAATGGAACAGATGAAAAAATGGAGGCACAGAGAGGATGAGCAGCTGGCCTAAGGTTAGCTGACTGTTAAGGGGTAGGCTGGGATCCACTGTGAAGTCCACTGTGGGACTTCAAACCCCTTCTCTTGGCCGTCATGCAGCAATGGTACCCATGAATAGACCGGAAGCGCAAGGAGTGCACACCCTTGCTACTCAAAGGCAGGAGGGTCTAGGGGCCTGCAACACTGGCATCACCTGGAAGTTTGTCAGAAATGCAGGATCTTGGGTTCGTTCCATCCAGCCCTACTGAATCAGAATCTACAATTTTTTTGTGTGTGTGTGTGAAAGGGTCTCACTGTGTTGCCCAGGCTAGAGTATAGGGGCACAAACACAGCTTACTATAGTCCCCACCTCCTGAGTTCAAGGGATCCTCCTGCCTAAGCCTCCCAAGTAGCTGGCACAGGCCACCACGCCCAACTAATTTTTAATTTTTTTGTAGAGATAGGGATCTCACCATGTTGCCCAGGCTGGTCTCAAATTTCCTGGGCTCAAGCAATTATCCTGCCTTGGCCTCCCAAAGTGCTGGGATTACAGGTGTGAGCCATCGTGCCACGTCAGAATCTACACTTTACAGGAATCATGTACACATTAGGAGCTGAGAAGCACTAGACTAGAGAATAATCCAAGCAAAGTGGCATATTGCCTTTGTAGCCCTTATGCAACAGTGTCTCATAAGCCAGGTTTCCAATGACCCGAAAACAACTTCTTATAACCAAATATACCAGATTGGCCAACTGTTCCATTCATCTATCCACCCTAGTTTTGTCATCTATTTCCACTCCAAGGGAAAGACTGTGAGAAGCTACCATCAACTCCAAAGACGAGGTGCTGTATGCTCCAAATCATCTCCCATTTGAGGTCTACTCTGATCCCCAGATAATTTTCTGGAACACACTTTTCACAAAAGAATTCCCTATGTTAGCCTGCATACCAAAGGAGTCAGAATGGTTTGGTAGAAAAGATTAGTGGGTGAGGAAAAGCAGGGTTCCCCTTCAGCTTTAAGGCCACATGTGACTTTGGGAAATGCCCTACCCTCACTTCCTAATCCCCATGTAAAATATGAATGGGGTGGACTAGACTAGGAATCATTCCATATGAGGCCTGGCAGGAAACACAAAGGAAGTTCAGTGGCCTAGGTGAAACAGTAGGGAGTAGCGGAGACTGTGGCAAACTAGAGGGCGAGCAGGTAGGGAGGGTGCAATGCCCTGACTACACAAAGGTATCCCCACTCAGAAATAGGCTAGAGTTATCATGGGAAATACGTTGACATATATTCTAATTTTTTGAGTTGGGAATCTGATTTTCCAAGAAATGAGTGATGTTTAAGTATTGGCAACTATTAATAGTTAAAACTTCAGAACAAACAAACACAACACTGTGTGAGCCAAATAAATATCAGGTGCCGGCCAGATCTGTCCGTGGGCCGTCAGTTTGACTTGCCTGGCCCAGATGCCACCCTAATGTTAGGTATTAATTTGCATGTGCGGCTGAGAATGCTGCAAAGCGGCTCCTGTAAGGATGGGGGTTGAGGGGTAAGATCTGTGCCTTTCCGGGGCCCGTCGCCCGTCCCCCACCGCGGCCCGGGCCCCTTTCGGTGCCCCCTCCCCAGGCCTCTCCGGGAAAGGGCCCAGACGGTGGTGCCGGGTCGCACGGCGTCGCTTGCTTCACACCCTCCCTACCTGCTCGCCTGCTCTCCCAGCACGGCCGGCAGCGCCGCAGCAGCGATGACTCAGCCTCTGGCGGCGGAGCTGGAGGGAGGCGGAGGGGGCGAGGGGGAGGACGACTGGCAGGGCGGGGTAAAAGGAGGCGGGTGGAATGGAGGGAGGAGGGGAGAAAGAAAGAGGAAAAGGAGAGAGAAGTGGGATGGGGGAGGAGAAAGAGGAAAGGGGGAGAGGAGACGGGGGAGAGGCGGAGGTGGGAGGGGGCAGTTCGAAGCCCCAGCTCCCGCCTCCTCCCGCGGCCGGCTGAGGTTGGGCTGGGCTGGGGGAGGACAGTGGGGGAACAGCGGAGAGGGTAGGGCAGGGGCGGAGAAAGGAGGGTGGCGTGCTGCGCCCCTTCCCCTCCCCCACTTCGAGAGTCCCGTGGGTACACGTGGTTCATTGCCACACCCACGGACCCACCCCTGCCTCTGTGGGATGGGAGGGGCCGGGGAGGGTGCCCGGGAATGCGGCTTCGGACTCTGAACCTTTAGTGAGCGCCTTCCAGCGGAGGCCTGGGGGACTGGGCAGTCAAAAAGGGACAGAGGGGCCGGGCGCGGTGGCTCACGCCTGCAATCCCAGCACTTTGGGAGGCCGAGGCGGCCGGATCACCTGAGGTCAGGAGTTCAAGACCAGCCTGGCCAACATGGCGAAACCCCGTCTCTACTAAAAATACAAAAATTAGCTGGGCGTGGTGGCGCGCGCCTGAAGTCCCAGCTACTTGGGAGGCTGAGGCAGGAGAATCACTTGAACCTGGGAGGCGGAGGCTACAGTGAGGCAAGATCGTGCCACTGCATTCCAGCCTGGGCAACCCTGTCTCAAAAAAAAAAAGGGGGACAGAGAGAGGTGAGGGCTTGCAGGGGAGAAAGCAAATCCACAAGGCGTATCCGCAAGTGGAAATTTAAAGGGAGAAATGAGCCTACTCGATGCATTTTTGCTAGTCTACACAAGTAGCTATAACACAAGGTTGAATTTGGAAGTCACACCAAGGAAGTTTCCTTAGCAATGTTTTGTAATATAAATGATGAATGAATAAAATGTACTATGGGAGTACATCTGTGTGTATAGAAGAGGACAAATGGAATTTTTTTAAATGTCTTTTTGTATGTCTGTTACATATGTGTGTTTGGGTGAATATATAGGAGTGTATGTGTCATTGAATAATGTGTATATATGTATGCCTTATGTATGTAAGCACATTAATAGCTGTATATGAGGTCGTGTGCCAAGAATACATTTCTGTGTATATGGACAGGTGTGTATCTTTATATGCCTAGGTGTTAACTGTATAAGACCTATGGGCTTTCCTGAGTTTGTTTTAAATATGCATATTTATGTGAATTTATGAGTTTGTGAATGTGACAGCATATCCTTGGGGGGTATGTGTGGGGGTTTTTTGTGTGTGCCAGTATTGTATAAATGTGTATGTGTATACGGGACTCCTGTCTGAGATCGTGTTATGCTTGGATATTTGTGTGTGTGCATGTGTATGGTAATACATTTGTGATCAGTCTGTGACCAGGGCTACAGGGCATCTTGAGGTTGCATGTGTGTGTCTGTGTGTATAATTGAGAATGTATGTCTGTTTTTCAGAGTCTTTATGGATATGATTGTGTCTAGCATCTCTGTAGCCACCCTGTCGATCCATTTGTGATAAGGGCTATGTGATTCTTAAGGGTTGGGCTGGTCAAGGCGGCTCCTTGGAGGAAGAGGTTCTTGTGAGGTGGGGACGGTAGACACAGGAAGAAGTTGCATGTGTGCTGGCCCACTGAATAGACCACCCAGAGCAGCCGGAGGCCAGGCAAGCAAAGTAGGCTGAAACAAGACCAGGGAAAGCGCTGAATGCCAGAATGGGTAATCACGGCCTCTTCTGGCATCTTCCGCCCTCTCAAGCGTTGGATCAGTTTCTCTCATGGCCCTTCTCTGGGTCTACCTGGTCAGTGCTCTTCTGCAGAGTGCACATCCTTGGTAATGAACATGGCAACAATGGTGGAGCATTACTATGAGCCTGCCTGCAGAAAGCACTTAACAGGCAATAGGTCAGCTCTGTGAGGCAGAAATTTGGTATCCCCAGTTTTACAGAGGGGGAGCAGGAGATTAAGCCCTGTTGGTGATGCCCCTGTTGGATTCTGAGGCCCCATGCCCTCTCAACCACTATTGACGTTTTGGGCCAGATAATTCAGCGTTGCGGGTGGCTGTCCTGTGCATTGTAGCATAATTAGCAGCATCCCTCGTGTTTACCCAGTAGATGCCAATAGCACCTCCCTCTCCAGATATGCAAACCAAAATGTCTCTAAACATTTCCAGAAGTCCACTGGGGACAAAATCGTCTGAGATTGAGAGCCACAGCACTACACTGTCCTGCCTCCCCTCATGTAAGTGTTTTCTGAGGGGCTGCAACAACTCCACCTTGTCCAGTGTCTTCAGCTGTCCCTCTTCTTTCACGGTGATCTTCATGACCGTGCAGGTAGCCCCTTGTCTTTGCCACAGTCAACAGAAGGCTTACTAGCCGGGCCACCTTTCCTAGCAACTCAACCTCTCTGTCTCCCAGGCACAGAAGGCACAGGGCTTGGGGCCTGATAGACACCTCTATAGCTCTTATTATTATTTGAATCACAGGAGTTCCCTGGGGTCAGAGCCTGGAGGAGAAGTGCCCCGAACCTGCTGACCCTCTCTGGCCCAGAGCTGTGGACACTGCTGGTTCTGTGAGTTTGTTTTCCTGGTTGAGCAAGAACACCACACGATGGTGTTGGGCCAAAACTGGTCCCATTTTATGCTACTATATCTCCACTGCCCAGGCTGGAGTGCACTGGCATGATCACGGCTCATGGCAGCCTTGACTTTCCGGGCTCAAGGGATCCTCCCACCTCAGCCTCCTGAGTAGCTGCTTACTAGGCACATGCCACCATTCCTGGCTAACTTTTGTATTTTTGGTAGAGATGGGGTTTCACCATGTTGCCCAGGCTGGTCTTGAACTCCTGGGCTCAATCTATCTGCCCTCCTCCACCCCACAAAGTGCGAAGGGATTACAGATGTGAGCCACCGTGTCCAGCCATCTTATGCTGTTGCATCTTGGCAAATGAAATGGCCTGGCTTTCCCCTCTGGCAGACCCTGATTTTAATGAGCCAGTGCTGTGTTGTGACCACGGCAGGAATTCAGGAAGGGCAAGGCAGAGCTGTCAGCAGGGCTCTTGGCATGTCCAAACCCAGGCCTCAGCAGGGCGTCCATGCTGCTGCGGGACCCTGCCACTGTAGCAGCTCAGGGTCCTGGGGAGCAGGTGCTAGAGAGTGTGGTGGCTCTACCACACACACAAGAGGTCCAACACTCCCACTACAGAGAAGACAGACAGATGGTGGTGCTCACAGAGGACTCCATGCCACCGCTGTGTCTGCCACTTGGGAAAGTCTCTCCTCTGGACTGTTCCTTTACTGCATGACCTCACTCTGCCCCTTCTGTTCTCCTCAATCCCTGCAGTGTTCCTAGTGTTTACAGGGCCCTTTGCTCCATTCCTCCTGGGATGCTGCAGAGCAAGGTGGTTAAGGGTGAGGGCTCCTATACCTGATTACGTGAGTCTGTGTAATCTTGGGCAAAGCACCTCACCTCTCTGTGCCTCAGCTTCCTCATTTCTAAAATGGGGAAAAGTAAGAGGCCCTGTCTCTCAAGATTAAATGAGATAGTGCATGTAAAGGATGCTAGCCATGTGGTAAGCGCTTACTAAATAGCAGCCATTATTATTATTATTATTATTAGAGACAGAGTCCCACTCTGTTGCCCAGGCTGGAGTGCAGTGGTGTGATATTGGCTCACTGCAACCTCCACTTCCTGGGTTCAAGCGATTCTCCTGCCCCAGCCTCCCAAGTAGCTGGGATTACAGGCGTATGCCACCACACCTGGCTAATTTTTGTTTGTTTGTTTGTTTAGTAGAGACGGGGTTTCACCATGTTGGCTAGGCTGGTCTTGAACTCCTGACCTCAGGTGTTCCGTCCGCCTGGGCCTCCCAGGGTGCTGGGATTACGCATGTGAGCCACCACACACAGCCTAGTAGCTATCATCATTGCTATTCTTTTTTTTTTTTTTGAGACAGGGACTTGCTGTGTCGCTTAGGCTGGAGTGTAGTGGTGTGATCACTGCTCACTGCAGCCTCAACACTCTGGGCTCAAGGGATCCTCCTGCCTCAGCCTCCCAAGTAGCTGGGACTAGAGGCATGTGCCACCATGCCCAGCTAATTTTTTTTTTTTTTAAAGACAGAGTTTCACTCTTGTCGCCCAGGCTGGAGTGCAATGGCACGATCTCAGCTCACCACCACAACCTCTGCCTCCCAGGTTCAAGGGATTCTCCCACCTCAGCCTCCTGAGTAGCTGGGATTACAGGTATGTGCTACCACGCCCAGCTAATTTTGTATTTTTAGTAGAGACGGGGTTTCTCCATGTTGGTCAGGCTGGTCTTGAACTCCTGACCTCAGATGATCCGCCCGCCTCGGCCTCCCAAAGTGCTGGGATTACAGGCATGAGCCACTGCGCCTGGCCAATTTTTTTTTTTTTTTTTTAATTGTTAGTAGAGATGAGGTCTTGCTCTATTGCCCAGGCTGATCTTGAACTCCTGGGCTCAAGTGATCCTCCTGCCTTGATCTCCCAAAGTGCTGGGATTACAGGCATGAGCCACCACGCCTGTCTATTGCTATTATTCTTGAATAACAATAAAAGGAGAATGAGCTCTTACTAATTGCCAAGCAATGTGCTAAACTCTGGACGATCCTTTTCTTGTTTTGTCTCTTCAACAACTCTATGAGGAAAGTGCTATTATTAGCTCCGTAGCTGGGAAGAGGAAGCTCAGGTACAATGGTGTTAAGTAACTTACCCAGGGTGACAGAGCTAAGAAGCAGCAACTCTGAATCTGAACCAGAGTACTGCCACTGTGAAGTCTCACTATCTGCTCCTCTCCACTGAAAGCAGATTTCACCATAGGAAGGAGGAGCTTCTCTTTAGCTGGTTGTCCTGAATAGATGTCAGAGGCCTAGAAGAAGATTGTGTTGAGAGGACAGAACCCCCACATCCCTGACTAGAGCAGAAGGAGGGGTTTGGGCTCAAGGAAGTGAAGTATTTTTTTCTTTTACAGCTATTGATGAAACCACTTAGCACGGTAGGCTGTGGTCTCATGGACGGACTCCAAAAGGTATCACCAAGCGTTTTTGTTTTTTTTTTTTTGAGACGGAGTCTCGCTTTATCACCCAGGCTGGAGTGCAGTGGCTTGATCTCGGCTCCCTGCAGCCTCCTCCTCCCAGGTTCAAGCGATTCTTCTGCCTCAGCCTCCCTAATAGCTGAGATGATAGGCACGCACCACCACGCTCAGCTAATTTTTTGTATTTTTAGCAGAGACAGTGTTTCACCATGTTGCCAGGCTGGTCTCAAACTCCTGACTTCAAGTGATCCACCACCTCGGCCTCCCAAAGTGTTGGGATTAAAGGCATGAGCCACCACGCCTGGCCTTTTTTTGGTTTTGTTGTTGAGACAGGATCTCATTCTGTCACCCAGGCTGGAGTGCAGTGACATGATCTCAGCTCACTGCAGCCTTGACTTCCTAGGCTCAAGCCATCCTCCCACCTCAGCTCCCAAGTAGCTGGGACTACAGGGCGTGTGCCACCACATCTAGCTACTTTTTGTATTTTGGGTTTTTTTTGTTTTTTTTTTTTTCTGAGACGGAGTTCACTCTTGTTGCCTGGGCTGGAGTGCAATGGCGCGATCTCGGCTCACCACAACCTCTGCCTCCCGCGTTCAAGGGATTCTCCTGCCTCAGCCTCCCTGAGTAGCTGGGATTACAGGCATGTGCCACCACGCCCAGCTAATTTTGTATTTTTAGTAGAGACGGGGTTTCACCATGTTGGTCAGGCTGGTCTCAAACTCCCAACCTCAGGTGATCCACCCACCTCGGCCTCCCAAAGTGCTGGGATTACAGGCGTGAGCCACTGCACCCGGCCTAATTTTTGTATTTTTTGTAGAGATGAAGTTTTGCCACATTGCCCAGGTTGGTCTTGAACTCCTATGCTCAAGCAATCTGCCTGCCTCAGCCTCTGAAAGTGCTGGGATTACAGGTGTGCACCACCACCCCTGGCCTTGCCAAGTTTTTACTAGCACATAAAATTTATTTTTGCTACAATCCAGGCTATATATTGTTCTAGTGCTTTTTGTTGGAATTGGACTGTCAGAATGGTACAAAAAGGCATTCACTTGCTACAAGTCAGAGGATAGATGGGAGGCCTATTCTGGAGTTGATGCAGAAGAAAGGTGGTGTGTTTATCAAGAGCTGTGAGAAATTGTCCAGGTGAGTACATATGAGAGGATGGTTTGTAAGGAAGGGTTAGTTCTTCCAACCCATGTGCCAAAGGGGACAAAGGAGACCATGTGATAATTCATTTTTTAAAAAAATATATTCGAGGCAGTTTTTTTCCTTGTACTGTCATAATATAGTTATTAGTTATCTATTGCTGTGTAGCAAATACCCCAAACTTAATGGCTTAAAACAATACATATGTATTACCTCACAGTTTCAGTGGATCTGGATTTCAGGAGTGATTTAGCTGGGTGCTACTGGCACAGGGTCACTCACGAAGTTGTAACCAAGATGTCAGCCAGGTCTGCAGTCATCTGAAGGCTCGAGTAGGGCTGGAGGATCTGCTTCCAAGATGGTGCACCAACATGACTGTTGGCAGCAGGCCTCAGTTCTGTACCACGTGGACCTTTCTGTTGGACTTCTTTAATGTCCTTATATCATGGAGGTGAGCTTCCTCCAGAGCCAGGGAGAACAAGGTGGAGGCCACATTGTCTTTTATGCCTAGCTTTAGAAGCTACGCACTATTGTTCCTGAATATCCTGTTGGTAACACAGGTCAGCCCTGCTCATTGTGGGGAAGGACCATAGAAGTATGTGAGTACCAGGAGGTGAAGATCATGAGGCCATCTTGGGGGCTGGCTATCACAGGGCTCATCATTGCTGACTTGTTTACTATCATGAAAGTAAGTGGGCTGCAAGTACTGAAAAGTGGGCTGTAAGCACTCAAAAGTTGAGAGCTGCTCACTAAACAATTTTATTTACCTGGATTTGTCTGTGGTGTTCCCTTGGAGGCATGACTTTACAAGTCATGTAACCCAGGATGGGTTGAGTGTGGTGGTTCACGCCTGTAATCCCAACGCTTTGGGAGGTGAAGACAGCTGGATCACTTGAGCTCAGGAGTTCGAGACCAGCCTGGGCAGCATGGTGAAACCCCATCTCTACAAAAAAATACAAAAATTAGCTGGCGCAGTGGTGTGTGCCTGTAGTTCCAGCTACTTGGAGGCTGAGGCAGGAGAATCGCTTGAGCCTGGGAGGCAGAGGTTGCAGTGAGCTGAGATGGTGCCACCGCATTCCAGCCTAGGGAATGGTAGTGAAACCCTGTCTCAAAGTCACCCTGACTCCATCAGAAACAAAGCCCTGCAATCCTATGACAATGAAAGTGTATTACCTGTGCCAGGTGCCAGCAGGGAACAATGGTTAAGAGAGTGAATTTTGCAACCAGACAAAACTGGATTCAAATCTTAACTCTCCTATTCTTGACTTGAGGACTTTGGGCAACTGGCTTAACCTTTCTGAGCCTCAGTATTCTTGTGTGTAAAATGGATTAAGATCAACTTCACAAGGTCATGGGGGAGATGGATTAGAGGATCGCAGAGCTATGATAATGGAAGTCAGGTGCCCAGCCAACGTTGACCTATAGATTTATTATTAATAATGACAACAATAAAGTAATAGCTCACATTTATTGAGCTTCTGTTTTTGCCAGTCTGTGAAGTTTGGAGCAGTTAAGAGCCTTGCTCGCCAGGTATGGTGGCTCACACCTGTAATCCCAGCACTTTGGGGGGCCGAGGCAGGCAGGTCATCTAAGGTTGGGAGTTTAAGACCAGCCTGACCAACGTGGTGAAACCCTGTCTCTACTAAAAATACAAAATTATCCGGGGGTGGTGGTGGGTGCATGCCTGTAATCCCAGCTACTCAGGAGGCTGAGGCAGGAGAATCGCTTGAACCAGAAGATGGAGGTTGCGGTGAGCCAAGATCGCACCATTGCACTCCAGCCTGGGCAACAAGAGCAAAACTCCATCTCAGAAAAAAAAAAAAAAAAAAAAAAAAAAAAAGAGCCTTGCCCAAGACACACAGCTAGGAGAGCTGGGACTCAATTCTGGGTCTGTTTCCAAAGCTAACCTGTTTGATAACTTGCTCTTTTCACTTAACAATGGTCTATCATAACCTACATATTACATTGCCCCACCTTCTTCCTTTCTTCCCCCTTCTTTTAGCTATGTAGCAGTACATGAACGTACCATAATTAGTTAACTGTTCCTCTACTGTTGGATTATTGGTTTCTAATTAACGACAAGGTTTCCGTGAGTATCTTTGTGTCCAGAGCTCACAGTGTGCTATGCTAGGCACTTGATGCGTGTACTTCATTTAATCTTCCACCAGCCCAAGGATGTTCAGCTGGGAAATAACTCACTCAGCCTCTAACTTGTCTAACATAGAATGCCTTTTCAGGACTAAGAATCCCCTGCCTTCTCAATCCTGAAATTTTTCATTCCAATTGGGCCACCAAGGAATATCTTTCTTTCCTCTGCAGCAGGTTTATCTGAGAGACCAGGGAAGTGGGCTTGGAGTCTCCAAACTCAGGTTTAACAAAAGGATGGGCCTTGATAGGTTTTCACCAGGCTCATGGCAGCTTTGACTAACCAGACATGAACCTGTATCAGTCAGGATGGGCTGGGTTGTGCTGCAGTAACAACCCTCAAGTGAGTGGCTTCAAACACGCATTGTGGGACTGTTGTGTGCTCTGTTTTGTGCTGTCTTTACTCCAGGTCCAAGTTGATAGAGCAGCCACCAACTTGAACATTGCCAGTTGTCATTCCTGGAGCCAAGAGAAAATGTAGTAAATTGCACGTTGCTCTTAAAACATCCACCTGGAAGTGACACATGTTATTTCCTCTGATTTTTTTTTTTTTTTTTTTTTTTTTTTTGACAAAGCACATCACAGAGCTACACTTAACTCTGAAGAGACAGGGAAGTTCATCCTACCATGTACCCAGAATGTGGAGAACTGGAATATTTGATAAACAATACTAATGACCACCAAAAGCCTTGTCCTTTGCTAATCATTAAAAAAAAAATTGTCCACCAATTCTAACGACATCTTGGAACAATTAAGTCCAGGCGTGGCTTAACATTCTGTCCTGGAGGAAAGACCCTTCCATCTAAAACCCCTCTTGCCCACATCCTGAAGCCAGCTCGCCCTGAATCATGGGACCCTGGAGATGAGGAGAACAGAGGAGAGCAAGGTCAGGGAGATGGCTGGTGGATTCCACCGGTGACCATGGGCAGAGCTCTGAATTCTGAATTGTATTAGCCCACAGAGTAACTATGCATCTGTGTTGTGGGGTAGTGGAAAGGCCATCTGACTCCTGTGTGACCTTGGACAAGTCATCTGGAAAGATCCTAAATGCATCTCAAAGGGGAATGCAGGCTGGGCGCAATGGCTCACGCCTGTAATCCCAGCACTTTGGGAGGCTGAGGTGGGCAGATCACAAGGTCAAGAGATCGAGACCATCCTGGCCAACATATTGAAACCCCGTCTCTACTAAAAATATAAAAATTAGGTGGACATGGTGGCAAGCGCCTGTAGTCCCAGCTACTCAGGGTGCTGAGGCAGGAGAATCGCTTGAACCCGGGAGGCGGAGATTGCAGTGAGCTGAGATCACGCCACTGCACTGCAGCCTGGCGACACAGCGAGACTCCATCTCAAAAAAAGAAAAAATAATAATAATAATAAATAAGACTGAGGTGGGCGGATCACGAAGTCAGGAGTTCGAGACCAGCCTAGCCAAGACCCATCTCTACTAAAAATACAAAAAAATTAGCCGGGAGTGGTAGTACATGCCTGTAGTCCCAGGTACTCAGGAGGCTGAGGCAGGAGAATCGTTTGAACCTGGGAGGCGGAGGTTGCAGTGAGCTGAAATCATGCCACTGCACTCCAGCCTGGGTGACAGAGTGAGACTTCATCTCAAAAAATAAATAAATAAAAATAAATAAATAAATATAATAAATAGGCCAGGCATAGTGGCTGATGCCTGTAATCCCAGCATTTTAGGAGGCTAAGGTGGGCAGATCGCCTGAGGGCAGGAGTTCAAGACCAGCCTCGCCAAAAAGGTGAAACCCCATCTCCACTAAAAATACAAAAATTAGCCAGGCGTGGGATCACGTACCTGTAATTCCAGCTACTCGGGAGGCTGAGGCAGGAGAATTGCTTGATCCTGGGAGGCAGAGGTTGCAGTGAGCTGAGATCGTACCACTGCACTCCAGCCTAGGCAACAGAGTGAGACTCTGTCTCAAAAATAATAAATAAATAAATAAATAAATAAATAAAGCAAGCAAGCAGGCGTGGTGGCTCACACCTATAATCCTAGCTCTTTGGGAGGCTGAGGTGGGCAGATCACTTGATGTCAGGAGTTTGAGACCAGCCTGGCCAACATGGTGAAACCCCATCTCTACTAAAAATACAAAAAATTTAGCCAGGGTTGGTGGTGTATGCCTGTAATCCCAGCTACTTGGGAGGCTGAGGCATGAGAATCACTTGAATCCGGGAGGCAGAGGTTGTGGTGAGCTGAGATGGTGCCACTGCACACCAGCCTGGGCGACAGAGCAAGACCCTGACTCATAATAATAATAATAATAATATAAATAAAATGAGGTGGTTGGACAAGAATGGTAGATTGTTATTGGACAACAAGACTTCAGAGACCAATGAAATGTCAGGGAAAAAGAAATTGGGAACTGACATAAGGGAAGTCCATTTTATTTATTTAATTTAACTTAATTTAATTTAATTTAATTTTATTTTATTTTTTGAGACGGAGTCTCACTCCATTGCCCAGGCTGGAGTGCAGTGGCACAACCTCAGCTCACTGCAACCTCTGCCTTCCAGGTTCAAGTAATTCTCCCACCTTAGCCTCCCCAGTAGCTGGGACTACAGGTGTGCACCACCATGCCTGGCTCATTTTTGTATTTTTTGGTAGAGACGGAGTTTCACCATGTTGGCCAGGCTGGTCTCGAATTCCTGACCTCAGGTGATCTGTCTGCCTCGGCCTCCCAAAGTTCTGGGATTACAGGGGTGAGCCACCAAACCCAGCCAATTGTGCCTGGTCTTTTTTTTTTTTTTTTTTTGAGACAGAGTCTTGCTCTGTCGCCCAGGCTGGAGTGCAGTGGCGCAATTTTGGCTCACTGCAAGCTCCGCCTCCCAGGTTCACGCCATTCTCCTGCCTCAGCCTCCCAAGTAGCTGGGACTACAGGTGCGCCCACTACCACAGCCGGCTAATTTTTGTATTTTTAGTAGAGACGGGGTTTCACCGTGTTAGCCAGGATGGTCTCGATCTCCTGACCTCGTGATCCACCCACCTCGGCCTCCCAAAGTGCTGGGATTACAGGCGTGAGCCACCGCGCCTGGCCTTGTGCCCGGTCTTAATAATCAATACTTATCAGGCACTTACTATGTGCCAAGCCTTTTGCTAACTGCTTTACCGGTCTCTTTCCACTTAATTCTCATCACAACCTTGTGAAGCAGAAACTTTTATTGCTCCATTTCACAGATGTGGAAGCCGAGGTTCAGAAAGGTAAAGCAATTTGCCTAAAGTTACACATATCCCGGAATCTGACACCCAGAAAGTTGTGTAAACTGTGTCTCCTCCCACTTCACTTGCTGAGTGCTTTGCTCTCTGTCCATCCTGTACCCCTGAGAACCAAAGGGTGGCCTACCAGGATTTGAGGTTCAGCTGAAGGTCAGGGGATAGAGGAAACCCTTGCTTAGGTCCCACTGACATGTGGTCAGGAACCCTTACCAGAAAAATCTCTGAGAGGTGATTCTGTGGCTTAGTGATGAGGGAAGCACACGTTCTCCTGCTCATCAGCCAAGGCTGTCTTATCTTGTCCTCCCTCCCTCACTCCCTCATCAGCCCCTGGGGCATTGGTCTAGGGTCAGCCCCATACAGGAACTCCTGAGACAGCTCAGGTCAGCCAACTCATGTGCCGTAGTGCCTTTAAGTGTGTTCCCCAACTCCCGACTCCCAGAAACCAAGCAGCAGCCTTCATTTGTACATCGCAAGTTCATTCACTTACCATCTTTGGACTGAAGGCCTGCCATATGCCAGGTGCTGTGATGAGTGCCTAGAAAAGGACAAGAAGAAGTTCCTGCGCTCATGGAGCTCAGTGTGGGAGTGGGAAGAGAAAGGGTTCCCGATACCTTCTGGTTGTGTTCACGCACTGGCTCCAGACTAGGCAAGGCTGCTAGCAACACGCTCTTCTCAGTCCTTCATTGGGCAAATTAAAATAGTTAATGCTACTGGGCTAACAGGTGTTGGTTTGGTGAGGCCTAAAGTTCACACAAGCTCAGGAGCCTTCTTTAAGAAAAGAAAGTAAGGCCAGGCACGGTGGCTCACACTTGTCATCCCAGCACTTTGGGAGGCCGAGGTGGGTGGATCATGAGGTCAAGAGATCGAGACCATCCTGGCCAACATGGTGAAACCCCGTCTCTACTAAAAATACAAAAATTAGCCGGGCGTGGCAGCGTGCACCTGTAGTCCCAGCTACTTGGGAGGCTGAGGCAGGAGACACTTGAAACCGGGAGGCGGAGGTTGCAGTGAGCTGAGATTGTGCCACTGCACTCCAGCCTGGCAACAGAGCGAGACTCCTCAAAAAAACAAAAAAAAGAAAAAGAAAAAGAAAGTAAAATGCAAAATTATAAATACAAAACTAGGCCGGATGTGGTGGCTCATGTCTGTAATCCCAGCACTTTGGGAGGCCAAGGCAGCTGGATCACGTGAAGTCAGGTATTTGAGAGCAGCCTGACCAACATGGTGAAACACCATCTCTACTAAAAATACAAAAAATTAGCCAGGTGTGGTGGCAGGCGCCTGTAATCCCAGCTACTCAGGAGGCTGAGGCAAGAGAACCGCTTAACCTGGGAGGTGGAGGTTGCTGTGAGCCGAGATCCTGCGGTTGCACTCCAGCCTGGGCAACAAGAGTGAAACTCCGTCTCAAACAAACAAACAAATATATGAGACCATGTTGTCCTCCCCTATGCCAGAACCTTCAGTGGCTCTTTTACCCAAGCTGGAGTGTAGTGGTGTGATCATAGCTCACTGCAGCCTTGAACTCCTAGGCTCAAGCCATCCTCCTGCCTCAGCCTCCCGAGAGTAGCTGGGATTATAGGCATGCACCATCATGCCCAACTAATAAAAAAATTTTTTTTTGTGGATGGGGTCTCACTATGTTGCCCAGGCTGGTCTTGAACTGTTTCATCCTGGGCTCAAGTGATGCTCTCACCTCGGCCTCCCGAGGGGCTGGGATTATGGGCATGAGCCACCGTGTCTGACTCTGGTGGCTCTTATTTACTTATTATTTGGCTCTAACTTCTCTTTTTTTTTTTTTTTTTTGAGATGGAGTCTTGATCTGTCGCCCAGGCTGGAGCGCAATGGCTCAGCCCCCCGAGTAGCTGGGATTACAGGCATGTACCACCATGCCCCACTAATTTTTGTATTTTTAGTAGAGCAGGGGTTAAGCCATGTTGGCCAGGCTGGTCTCAAACGCCTGACCTCAGGTGCTCCGCCCGCCTTGGCCTCCCACAGTGCTGGGATTATAGGTGTGAGCCACCGTGCCCAGCCTTTAACTTATTCTTAAAGACAAAAGTCCCTAATGTGGCTTCCTGGTTCTCAGGTCCCAGCTCATCTTTCTCTGTTGATCCCATTGCTGGCCCTCCTGGCCACATGGCAGGCTTTCTCACCTTGGGCTTTACACACACCATTCCCTCTCTCTAGCACACTCTTCCCCAGTCTTCCCCAGGCGAACTCCTAGTCATCCTTTCCATCTCGTGGACAGCATCTCTTTTTTGGAGAGGCCTTCTCTGACCATCCCCAGTTTAAATGAAGCTCCCCCAAACAGACACTGAGGTAACCTACTGTAGTAGGCTGAGAAATAGCCCCATATAGATATCAGGCCCTAATTCCTGGAACTTAAGAATGTTACATTCTTTGGATAAAGGGTAACATTTGTGGATGTGAGGAAGGACCTTGAGATGGGGAGGTTATCCTGGGTTATCAGGGTGGGCCCTAAATGCATTCACATGTAACCTTCTAAGCAGGAGGCAGAGAGAGATGTGACACTCACAGAAGAGAAGACAATGTGAACACAAAGCAGACAGATTTGAAGATGTGCTAGCTTTGAAGAATGCAGCGATGTGACCACAAGCCAAGGAATGCCAGCAGCCACCAGAAGCTGAAGAGGCAAGGAACAGATTCTCCTCTAGAGCCTCCGGAGGGAGGGAAGCTCTGCTACCACCTTAATTTTGGCCCAGTGGCCAGTTGCAGTGGCTCATGCCTGTAATCCCAGCACTTTGGGAGGTCAAGGCAGGCAGATCACCTGAGGTCAGGCGTTTAAGACCAGCCTGGCCAACATGGTGAAAGCCCATCTCTACTAAAAATATAAAAATTAGCCGAGCGTGATGGTGGGTGCCTACAATCCCAGCTGCTTGAGAGGCTGAGGTGGGAGAATCACTTGAACCTGGGAAGCAGAGGTTGCAGTAAGTCAAGATTGTGCCACTGCACGCCAGCCTGGGCCACAGAGTGAGACTCCTTCTCAAAACAAAAAAAAAAATTGGCTGGGTGTGGTGGCTCATGCCTGTAATCCCAGCACTTTGGAAGGCAGAGGCAGGCGGATCACCTGAGGTCAGGAGTTCGAGACCAACCTGACCAACATGGAGAAACCCTGTCTCTGTTAATAAAATACAACATTAGCTGGGCATGGTGGCACATGCCTGTAATCGCAGCTACTTGGTAGGCTGAGGCAGGAGAATCATTGAACCTGGGAGGCGGAGGTTGCGGTGAGCCAAGATCGTGCCATTGCACTCCAGCCTGGGCAACAAGAGCAAAACTCCGTCTCAAAAAAAAAAAAAGCAACAACTAATTTTTTTGGCCCAGTGATACGGATTTTGACTTCAGGCCTCCAGAATTGTAAGAAAATAAATTTCTCTGGCTGGGCACAGTGGCTCACGTCTGTAATCCCAGAGCTTTGGGAGGCCAAAGCGGGAGGATAGCTTGAGGCTAAGGGTGGGAGACCAGCTTTGGCAACACAGAGAGACCCCATATCTATAAAAAAATTACAAAATTAGCCAGGCATAGTGGCCCATGCCTGTAATCCCAGCACTTTGGGAGGCCGAGGTGGGCAGATCACCTGAGGTAGGGAGTTCAAGACCAGCCTGAGCAATATGGAGAAACCCTGTCTCTACTAAAAATACAAAATCAGCTGGGCGTGGTGGCCCATGCCTGTAATCCCAATCGCTCGGGAGGTTGAGGCGGGAGAATCACTTGAACCCAGGAAGCAGAGGTTGTGGTAAGCCGAGATTGTACCATTGCACTCCAGTCTGAGTGACAAGTGTGAAACTCTGTCTCAAAAAAAAAAAAAAAAAATTACAAAATTATCCAGGTGTCATGGCACACATCTGTAGTTCCAGCTACTCTGGAGGTTGAGGTGGGAGGATTGCTTGAGCCCAGGAGGTCAAGGCTGCAGGAGGCCATGATGGTGTTACTACACTCCAGCCTGGGGAACAGAGTGAGACCTTGTGTTTATTTTTTTTTCTTCACAAAGACAGGGTTTCACAATGTTGGCCAGGCTGGTCTTGAACTCCTGACCTCAAGGAATCCACCCTCCTTGGCTTCCCAAAGTTCTGGGATTACAGGTGTGAGCCACTCTTCCCGGTCTCAGCTAATTTTTGTTTTTTCTACAGACAGGGTCTCGTCATGTTGCCCAAGCTGTTCTCAAACTCCTGGGCTCAAGTGATCCACCTGCCTCGGCCTCCCAAAGTGCTGGGATTACAGGCATGAGCCACTGTGCCCAGCCTCTCATACCATTTTTAAAATGTAAGCCATCACAATGTGTAATAATATTTGTAATGGTGTGTTTATCTCTTTCAGGTCTGCTTCTTCCACTAGACTGAAATTTCTTTTTTTTGAGACAGAGTTTCATTCTTGTTGCCCAGGCCGGAGTACAGTGGCACGATCTCTGCTCACTGCAACCTCTGCCTTCCAGGTTCAAGCGATTCTCTTGCCTCAGCCTCCTGAGTAGCTGGGATTGCAGGTGTGCGCCACCACAACTGGCTAATTTTTTGTATTTTTAGTAGAGACCGGGTTTCACCATGTTGGCCAGGCTGGTCTCGAACTCCTGAACTCAGGTGATCCACCTGCCTCAGCTTCCCAAAGTCCTGGGATTACAGGCATGAGCCACCGTGCCGGGCCTAGACTGAATTTTCTTTGAGAACAGAGCCTGTGTCTGTTTTGTACAAATCACAGGGCCGAGTACAGAGTAAGTGCTCAATAAGTATTTGTTCAATGAATGAAAGAGTGAGTGAGTGAATGAATGAACAAATGCCTTCTCTTCTTGAGGTCTCAAGCTCCTCTTAGGAAAAAGTCTACACTTGACTCCTTTCTTTTCCACAGCTTAGCTCTGAACTCCAAGTGAATATTTATGGAATCCTGATTAAGTGGCATGGAATATAGATAATTGAGAATACCTGTTTTTTCTCTCTTCTGGGCTCCAGTCTGCCCTGTGGCCTGGAAATAGGAGGTACTGAATAAAGATTTGTTGAGTGAATAGTGTACAGTCTGGCCCTCTGACAAGGAACAAGGAGGTATGGGGATAGCATTTCAGCCTAGCACATGAGGCCCTGAGAATCCAATGAATACTGAATCCCTGACCAGCCATCAGATTTTAAGGGCAGGCAGAAGCCAGCTCTGAGCTCGACCAGGCTGTGCATGTTTCAAATTCCTGGGAGCCAAGGCTCAGAGAGAAAGAGGAACTTGCTTGAGGTCACCCAGGATGTTGGCAGAGCCAGAATGAGGCTGCACAGCTCCCAGTTTAGTCCTTTCCCCTGTTTAGTGTTCTCCCCACCACCTCTTGCTGCCTTCCAGGTAAGAAGAGAAAGGAAAAGGAGGCCTGGATGCCTAGAGATTTTCCACTTCTAGCAAGAACACCGTCAAGCAAGAGTTCAACCCACCCATTTCACAGATGTGATAACTGAGGTGCTGTGAGGCTGCAGGCCTTGCCTCACAGAGAGTTTGCAGGGGCTAGAAGCCCAGCCCAGGTGACCCCAATGTGAAGCTTTTTCTATATGTATGTACTATTTCTCTACTATTTCTTGACCAGCCTAGAGTGAATCTCACCTCCCCAAATGATATGGTATGAACGTTTGTCCCTGCCAAATCTCATATTGAAATATAATTCCCAATGTTGGATGTGGGGCCTCATGAAAAGTGATTGGATCATGGAGGCAGATGCCTCATGAATGGATTAGCACCATCCTCTTAGTTCATGTAAGATCTGGTTGTTTCAAAGAGTCTGGGACCTCCCCCTTCTCTCTCATGCTCCCACTCTTGCCCTGTGATGTACCTGCTCCCCCTTTGCCTTCCACCATGATTGTAAGCTTCCTGAGGCCTCACCAGAAGGAGTTGCTGGCATTATGCTTCTTGTACAGCCTGCAGAATTGTGAGCCAATTAATACTCTTTTCTTTATAAATTACTCAGCCTCAGGTATTTATTTATAGCAATATGACAATGGCTTAACACAGAAAATTGATACCAGAGGCCAGGCGTGGGGGCTCACACCTGTAATCCCAGCTACTCGGGAGGCTGAGGCAGGAGAATCACTTGAACCCAGAAGGTGGAGGGTGCAGAGAGCCAAGATCATGCCATTGCACTCCAGCCTGGGCAACAAGAGTGAAACTCCATGTCAAAAAAAAAAAAACAAAAAAACAAAAAACAAAAAACAAAAAACAAACAAACAAAAAAAACCCCAGAAAATTGGTACCAGGAGTAGGGTGTTACTATAAAGATATCTGAAAATGTGGAAGTGACTTTGGAATTGGGTAACAGGCTGAAGTTGAAAGAATTTGGAGGGCTCAGAAGAAGACAAGAAGATGAGAAGACAAATGATTTTGACCAAAATGCTGATAGTAACATGGACAGTGAAGGCCAGGCTGACAAGGTCTAAGATAGAAATGAGGAAGTTAGGCAGGGCACAGTGGCTCATGCCTGTAATCCCAGCACTTTGGGAGGCTGAGGTGGGCAGATCACCTGAGGTCAGGAGTTTGAGACCAGGCTGGCCAACATGGTGAAACCCCCATCTCTACTAAAAATACAAAAATTAGCCGGGCATGGTAGTGCGTGCCTGTAATCCTAGCTACTAGGGAGGCTGAGGCATGAGAATCACTTGAACCTGGGAGGTGGAGGCTGCAGTGAGCCGAGATCGTGCCACTGCACTCCAGCCTGGGCGACAACAGCAAAACTAAAAAAAAAAAAAAAAAAAAAGCAAAGAAATGAGGAGGTTATTAGGAACTGGAGTAAAGGACACCCGTTTTATGACCTAACAAAGAACTTGGAGCATTGTGTCCATGTCTGAGGGCTCTTTGGAAGTTTGAACTTAAGGGTGACGACCTCTGGTATCTGGTGGAAGAAATTGCTAAGCAGCAAAGCATTCAAGATGTGGTCTGGCCACTTCTAATAATCTAAATGAGATATGGGAACAAAGAAATAACAAAGTTGGAATTTATTTTTAAAAGAAGAGTAGAGCATAAAAGTTCGAAAAATTTGCAGCCTGGCCCAGTGGTGGAGAAAGAATCCAAGTAGGCTGTGGAGTAACCACTTGCTACAGAGATCAACATGACTAAAAGGCAGCCAGGTGTTAATATCCAAGACAATGGGAAAGAGGCCTCAAAGCCATTTCAGAAGGTTTTTGGAAAGCCCCTTCCATCACAGGTCCATAGGCCTAGAAGGAGGAGGAAAGAATGGTTTTCTGGGCCAGGCTCAGGGCACCAATGCCCTGCACCACCTCCAGAGGCTGCTCCCCTCATGCCCACTGCTTCAGCTCCAGCCATGACTCAAAGGGCCCCAGGTACAGCTTGGGCTGCCACTTCAGAAGGCACAAGCCATAAGCCTTGGTGGCTTCTACATGCTGTTAAGCCTGCAGATGCACAGAATGCAAGAGTGAAGGAGGCTTGGCAGCTTCCTCCTAGATTTCAGAGGATGTATAGAAAAGCCAGGGTACCCAGGCAGAAGCCTGCTGCAGGGGTGGAGCCCCCACAGAGAAACTCTACTTGGGCAATGCTGAGTGGAAATGTGGGGTTGGAGCCCCCATACAGAGTCCCCAACAGGGCACTGCCTACTGGAGCTGCAGGAAGGGGGCCACCGCCCTCCAGACCCCAGAATTGTAGACCCACTTCAGCATGGAAAAGCCACAGGCATTCAACTTCAACCCACAAGAGCAACCACATGGGCTATGCCCAGGAAAGCCACGGGGTGGGGCTGCCCAAGGCTTTAGAAACCAATCCCTCACACCAGGATCTGGGACATGGAGTCAAGGATTATTTTGGAGCTTTAAGATTTAATGCCCACCGTGCTGGGTTTCAGACTTGTGTGGGGACTATTACCTCTTTCTTTTGGCCAATTTCTCCCTCTTGTAACAAGAAGGATTACCCAATGCCTGTACCGTCTCATAGGTGGAAGGAACTTGACTTTGAGTCTCAAATGAGACTTTGGATTTTGGAGTTTGGGACTTTTGAGTTAAGGCTGGAACAAGTTTTGAGTTAAGGCTGGAACAACTTTGGGGTACTATTGCAAAGGCATGATTGTATTTTGAAATGTGAGAAGGGCATGAGATTTGGGAGGCCAGCAGTGGAATGATATAGATATTTATCCCTTCCAAATCTCATGTTGAAATGTGATTCCCAATGTTGGAGGTGGGGCCTGGTGGGAAGTAATTAGATCATGGGGGTAGATTTCTCATGAATGGCTTAGCATCATCCTTTTGGTAAGGAGTGAATTCTCACTCAGTTCATGCAAGATCTGTTTGTTTAAAACAGTCTGGGGCTGGGGGCGGTGGCTCACGCCTATAATCTCAGCACTATGGGAGGCCAAGGCAGGCAAATCACTTGAGGTCAGGAGTTCGAGACCAGCCTGGCCAACATGGTAGAACCCCGTCTCTACTAAAAAAAACACAAAAATTAGCCAGGCATGGTGGTGTGTGCCTGCAGTCCCAGCTACTTGGGAGGCCGAGGCACAAGAATCGCTTGAACCCAGGAGATGGAGGTTGCAGTGAGCTGAGATCGTGCCAGTGCACTTCAGCCTGGGTGACAGAGTGAGACTCTGTCTAAATAAATAAATAAATAAGGGCCGGGTGTGGTGGCTCACGCCTATAATCCCAGCACTTTGGGAGGCCGAGGCAGGTGGATTACCTGAGGTCAGGAGCTCGAGACTGGCCTGGCCAATATGGTGAAACTCCATCTCCAGTAAAAATACAAAAAAAAAAAAAAAAAAAAAAAAGCTGGGCATGGTGGCGGGTGCCTGTAATCCTGGCTACTCGGGAGGCTGAGGCAGGAGAATCCCTTGAACTTGGGAGGCAGAGGCTGCAGTGAGCTGATATTGCACCACTGCACTCCAGCCTGCATGACAGAGTGAGACTCCATCTCAAAAATAAAATAAAATAAAATACAATAAAAATAGATAAATAAATACGTAAATAAAAGAGTCTGGGACCTTCCCTTTTTCTGTCTCTCTCATACTCTTACCATGTGAGGCACCTGCTTCCCCTTCCCCTTCCACCATGACTGTAAGTTTCCTGAGGCTTCACAGAAGCAAATGCCGGCACTATGTTTCTTGTACAGCCCACAGAACTGTGGGCAATTAAACCTGATTTTTTTTTTTTTTTTTTTTTTGAGACAGAGTCTTGCTCTGTCGCCCAGGCTGGAGTGCAGTAGCGTGATCTTGGCTCACTGCAACCTCTGCCTCCTGGGCACAAGCAATTCTCTAGCTTTAGCCTCCTGAGTAGCTGGGACCACAGGTGCATGCCACCATGCCTGGCTGATTTTCATGTGTTTAGTAGAGGTGGAGTTTCACCGTGTTGGCTAGTCTGATCTCAAACTCCTGGCCTCAAGTGATCCGCCTGCCTCTGCCTCCCAAAGTCCTGGGATTACAGGTCTGATCCACCATGCCTGGCCTATTTTTAAAATAAATTAGCCAACCTCAGGTCTTTCTTTCCTTCTTTTCTTTTCTTCTTTCTTTCTTTCTTCTCTCCCTCTTTTTTTTTTTTTTTTTTTTTTTTTTTTTTTTTTTTACAGTTTCACTCTTGTTGCCCATGCTTGAGTGCAATGGCACGATCTTGGCTCATCGCAACCTCTGCCTCCTGGGTTCAAGCAATTCTCCTGCCTCAGTCTCCCAAGTAGCTGGGATTACAGGCATGTGCCACGATGTCCGGCTAATTTTGTATTTTTGGTAAAGACGAGGTTTCTTCATGTTGGTCAGGCTGGTCTCGAACTCCCAACCTCAGGTGATCTGCCCGCATCAGCCTCCCAAAGTGCTAGGATTACAGGCATGAGGCACCGCGCCCGGCTAGGTATTTCTTTATAGCGATGCAAAAACAGCCTAACACACCAGATTTAGGATTTATTGTTCGCATTTTCTCCACATGTCGACAGTTCAAGGTGGCTGAGAAATCTGCTTGGCTGATCATGCTGGTCCTTCAGGTGAACAAACAGGAAGCTCAGAGCATCCCAGTGTCTAGTCCAGGGTCACTGAACAGCCACCATCGTGGCCATTGTGCAGCCACCTGCGGTTTAGCAACTTCCTCCAGCAGGGCAGGCAGAGGAGGGGAGACACAGCCAGGGAATAAGGGATTGATGCATTTTAGGGAGCCCAAGATCAGGGGTGCTTTCTTCCACATGTGTAGCCAGAACCTTGCACTCATTTAGCAGTTCTCAAACTTTTCAGTCTTGGAACCTCTTTATACTCTTCAAAATTATTGAGGACCCCAAAGAGTTTTTGTTCATGTGGGTTATATCTATCAGTACTGACTGTATTAGAAATTAAAGCTGAGGGCTGGGCACAGTGGCTCATGCCTGTAATCCCAGCACTTTGGGAGGCCGAGGAGGGTGGAACACTTGAGGTCAGGAGTTCAAGACCAGTCTGGCCAACAATGTGAAACCCTGTGTCGACTGAAAATATAAAAGTTAGCTGGGAGTGGTGGCATATGCAACTGTAATCCCAGATACTCGGGAGGCTGAGGCAGGAGAATTACTTGAATCCGGGAGGTGGAGGTTGCAGTAAGCCAAGATGGCACCACTGCACTCCCGCCTGGGCTACAGTGAGGCTGTGTCTCAAGAAAAAAAAAAATTTGAGAAAATTGTATAAATATTAATTAATGTAAAAGTAACAGCAGACACTACACATTAACATAAACCATCTATTTTATGAAAAATAACCACATTTTCAAAAACAAAAAAAATAGTGTGAAGGTAGCTTTTTTTAACATTATTCCAGATTTCTTTAATGTCTGGCTGCGTAGCAGGCAGCTGGATTCTCCTATCTGCCTCTGTTTTCAGTCTGTTGTGATATCACATGACATGTAGCCTCCAGAAAACACCATACGCTCAAGAGAAAATGAGAGTGAAAAAGGCAAATAACATCTTAGTCTTATTATGAAAATAATTTTGACTTCATGGATCCCCTGAAAGAGTCTTGGGGATCCTCAGAGGTCTCCTGACTGTTCTTTGAGAGCCAGTGGTCTACACTACTGATTTAATCTTCACAATAAACCTGTGGGGTGGATCCTGTTGTTCCCATTTTTTATAGAAGAGCAAACAGGCTCTGAGGCTTGCTCAAAGACACACAGCCAGTGAGTGGCAGTTAGGACTTGAACCTGACTGTCAACTCTGGCTCCTGTGCTCTTAATATTAACAGTAACACTGAGCCAGGCGCTGTGGCTCACGCCTATAATCCCAGCACTTTGGGAGGCTGAGGCAGGCAGATCACCTGAGGTCGGGAGTTTGAGACCAGCCTGACTAACATGGAGAAATCCTCATCTCTACTAAAAATAGAAAATTAGCCAGGCATGGTGGTGCATGCCTATAATCCCAGCTACTTGGGAGGCTGAGGCAGGAGAATTGCTTGAACCCGGGAGGCGGAGGTTACGGTGAACCGAGATTGTGCCATTGCACTCCAGCCTGGGCAACAAGAGCGAAACTCTGTCTCAAAAAAAAAAAGAAAAAAAAAAAACCAGCATCACTATACTCCAGCCTCTAGCAGATGGAGAGGGGCTGACACTGTAGGAAGGACAGAATTGGGAAGGAGTCAGGGGCTCTGGGGTGCCATAAGTGGGAAGGAAATATAGTGTGTTGGTTAAGAGTATGGGCTGGGGAATAGTCTGCCTGGACCCACATCCTGGCTTTGTCCCATAGATGCTGTGTGACCTGGTGCAAAGTGCTCAACCTTTTTGGGCCTCAAATATCTCATCTGGAAAATGTGTAATAGGATATTTACATTATAGGGTCCTTAGGAGAATTGAATATTAACTCATATAAATTCTTTTTTCTGTTTGTTTCTGTTTTTTGAATCAGGGTCTCGCTCTGTCGCCCAGGCTGGAGTGCAGTGGTGTGATCTTGGCTCACTGCAACCTCTGCCTCCCAAGCTCAAGTGATTCTTTCACCTCAGCCCCCTGAGTAGCTGGGACTATAGGCACACACCACCATACCCAGCTAATTTTTGTACGTGTGCATTTTTTATAGAAATGGGGTCTCACCATGTTACCCAGGCTGATCTTGAACTCCTGAGCTCAAGATCTGTCCACCTTGGCTTCCCAAAATGTTGAGATTATGGGCGTTACCCACCATGCCCAGCCTAATTCATGTAAATTCTAACAGTGCTCCATACATGTTGTATCCAGTATATGTCTTTTTTTTTTTTTGATACAGAGTCTGTCTCTGATGTGCAGGCTGGAGTGCAGTGGTGTGATCTCGGCTCACTGTAACCTCCGCCTCCCGGGTTCAAGTGATTCTCCTGCCTCAGCCTCTGGAGTAACTGGGATTACAGGTGTGTGCCACCATGCCCAGCTAACTTTTGTATGTTTAGTAGAGATGGGGTTTCACCATGTTGGCCAGGCTGGTCTCAAACTCCTGACCTCATGTGATCCTCCTGCCTTGGCCTCCCAAAGTATTGGGATTACAGGCGTGAGCCTGTATATGTGAGCACCCAGCTGTGTATGTCTTTTAGTTGGTATAAATTTGAGAACAGGGCCATGGACTTGGTTTCCCTGAAGTTGGAGAGAGGCGGGGCACTTTCGGCATGGGTCCAGAATGCAGGGCCCAGGGGAAGGAGAAGATGGGTGACCTGGAGAAGGAGGGGCTGCGAGGCTGAGAACACGTTGCCCTCAGGTGGAGGGCACAGGCTGTCACTCTACTCCATGGACCAGGCATCCAAGCCATCAGTGAAAAACAGTATGACAAGAGAGCCAGTCCCAGGGGACAGAGGCCACATCCCTTGCCCACTGAGGATGAGTCCAGGCCTCCCATGTCCATCCCAGAAAAGCCACCAGACCACTCGTCTCTCCTGACCCAGTTCAGGAGTAAAGCCACAAACTCTAGCTCTCTTTTTCTCCTGTCAGCTCAGCTCTACAAAAATACATCTAGCTTTGTTCACAAAGGGCAAGAAAAAAAGGAAAAAAAAAGGAAAGAAAATACATGTAGAACCACATTGCCAGGCCGGGCACAGTGGCTCATGCCTGTAATCCCAGCAATTTAGGAGGCCGAGGTGGGCAGATCACTTGAGGTCAGGAGTTCGAGACCAGCCTAGCCAACATGGTGAAACCCTGTCTCTGCTAAAAATACAAAAAATTAGCCGGGCATGGTCGCGGGCACCTGTAATCCCAGCTACTGGTAAGGGAGGCTGAGGCAGGAGAATCACTTGAACCCGGGAGGCGGAGGTTGCAGTGAGCTGAGATCATGCCATTGTGCTCCATCCTGGGCGACAAAACGAGACTGTCTCAAAAAACAAAACAAAACAAAACACCACATTGCCAAAGGATCCTAAGAGCCTCTTGCTAAACTGCCTCTTTTCCCTTTTGGTAGGTAAAGGGAGTCCCAGGGTGGGAACTGACCACATTACCCAGCAAGGTGGGGACAGACTCCCTGGCCACCTGGCATCTGATTCAGGTTGCATCCACCATGCCATGTCACTTTCCTTACTCAGCAGGGACTCACAGACTCTTCCTTACTCTGCAGCACTGGAGCCTGACTACCCTGTATGAGTCTCAGCTCTGCTTCTTCTTCGCTGTGTGATTTTAGGTGAGATGCTTAAACTCTCTGTGCCTCAGTTTCTTTATCTATAGAATGGGAATAGTAATTTTACCTCCTTCATTGGGATATGTGTGGATTAAAGTGAGTGGATCCAGGCAAAGAACTTAGAACACTGCCGAGCATAGGGTAAGCATTTAATACCAGTAGCGAACACTGTCACCCTCATCATCATCAAGGTCTTGAGCATCATTTGGGGATACTCTTTGTGGAGAACCCACCCTGCTTTGTGCAAGGGCTTGGGGAGGCATGGGTAAAGGCTGAGCTGAGTTCTGGCCTCTGCATGGAAACTCACTCATTGCTTGATCTTAGGCACATTGCTTCCCTTCTCTGGGCCTTTGGGTCTCCAGCTGGAACAAGGAGAATTTTTTTCTTTTTTTGAGACAGGGTCTCGCTCTGTCACCCAGGCTGGAGTGCCATGGTGTGATCTCTGCTCTCTGCAACTTCCGCCTCCTGGGCTCAAGCAATCCTCCCACCTCAGCCTCCTGAGCAGCTAGGACTACAGGTGTGCGCCATCACACCCAGCTAATTTTTTTTTTTTTTTTGAGACGAAGTCTTGCTCTTGTTCCCCAGGCTGGAGTGTGATGGCGCTATCTCGGCTCACTGCAACCTCCGCCTCCTGGGTTCAAGCGGTTCTCCTGCCTCAGCTCCCCCAAGTAGCTGGGATTACAGGCGCCTGCCACCACTCCTGGCTAATTTTTGTATTTTTAGTAGAGACAGGGTTTCACCATGTTGGCCAGGCTGGTCTAGAACTCCTGACCTCAGGTGATCCACCCACCTCAGCTTCCCAAAGTGCTGGGATTACAGGTGTGAGCCACCGTGCCTGGCCACACCCAGCTAATTTTTTTTGGTATTTTTTGTAGAAATGGATTTTTGTGGCTAGCCATGGTGGCTCACACTTGTAACCCCAGCACTGTGGGGGGCCGAGGCGGGTGGATCACCTGAGGTCAGGAGTTTGAGACCAACCTGGCCAACATGCTGAAACCCCCTCTCTAGTAAAAATACAAAAATAAACTGGGTGTAATGACAGGCACCTGTAATCCCAGCTGCTTGGGAGGCTGAGACGGGAGAATCACCTGAACCCAGGAGGCAGAGGTTGCAGTGAGCCGAGATCATGCCACCACACTCCAGCTTGAGTGACAGAGCAAGACTCCATCTAAAAAACAAAACAAAACAAAACAAAACAAAAAAGGGCCGGGCGCGGTGGCTCATGCCTGTTATCCCAGCACTTTGGGAGGCCAAGGTGGGCAGATCACCTAAGGTCAGGAGTTCAAGACCAGCCTGACCAACATGGAGAAACTCTGTCTCTACTAAAAATACAAAATTAGCCGGGTGGAGGCAGGAGAATCGCTTGAACCCGGGAGGCGGATGTTGTAGTGAGCCGAGATTGCACCACTGCACCTCAGTCTGGGCAAGGAGAGCGAAACGCTGTCTCAAAAAAAAAAAAAAAAAAAGAGAAAAAAGAAGTGGATTTTCACTTTGTTGCCCAGGCTGGTCTCGAACTCCTACACTCAAGTGATCCACCCACCTCAGCCTCCCAAAGTGCTGGGATTACAGGAGTGAGCCACCATGCCAGGCTGGCCAAGGAGAATCTTTTTTTTTTTTTTTTTTTTTTTAAGATGGAGTCTCACTCTGTCACCAAGGCTGGAGTACAGTGGCACTGTGTCAGCTCACTGCAACCTCCGTCTCCTGGGTTCAAGCAATTCTCCTGCCTCAGCCTCTCGAGTAGCTGGGATTAGAGGTGCCCACCACCACGCCTGGCTAGTTTTTATATTTTTCGTAGAGACGGGGTTTCACCATGTTGGCCAGGCTGGTCTCGAACTCCTGACCTCACGTGATCCACCCACCTTGGCCTCCCAAAGTGCTGGGATTACAGGCGTGAGCCACCGTGCCCGGCGGAGAATCTTTAAAAAATTGTTTCTTCAGAAAGAATTGGATCTGCCAAAAAAAAAAAAATTTTTTTTTCTGTTGTACCTCTAGTGTCATGACACTCCTCCCACAAAATGTCCATGCAAATTTGCATAGCCAGTGATTGCAGTATTTTTTTTATAAGCTAACAATAAACATTTAGAAACAGTCTGTTTTTCTTTTTTTAATTTATTTTCTTTTTTATGATGGAACCTTGCTCTGTCGCTCAGGCTGGAGTACGGTGGCGCGATCTCGGCTCACTGCAACCTCTGCCTCCCAGGTTCAAGCGATTCTCCTGCCTCAGCCTCTTGAGTAGCTGGGATGACAGGTGCCCACCACACCTGGCTAATTTTTTTGTATTTTTAGTAGAGACAGGGTTTCACCATGTTGGCTATGCTGGTCTCGACCTCCTCACCTCAGGCGAGCCGCCCACCTTGGCCTCCCAAAGTGCTGGGATCATAGGTGTGAGCCACCGCACCCGGCCTAGAAACAGTCTTGATGTCCTTCCTCATTGGGGTTCTAAAAATAGGAGATTTGTAGCCCTACACTGGAAACCATCCAAATGTCCCCCAGCAGGTGAAGGGATACAGATCGCATGTCCTGCAATGGGGCACTCTTTAGCACAGCAAAGCCATGAGCTACTGGTGACCCGACAGCAACAACATGGAGAAATCTCAAAAGCATTATGCCAAGTGGACGAAGCCTTCCCCGAGAGGGCACATGCTGTGTGATTTCATTTACGATATTCTACAAAAGGGAAATCTACACTACAGGGACAGGAAACAGTTCAGTGGTTGCCTGGGTCTGGGTGTGGGGGCAGGAGATTAATTGCAAAGGGGAATGAAGGAATCTTCCGGACAACGGAAATGTTCCAGACTTCACTGTAGCAGTGGTTACATGGCCAAATAATTTTCCAAAGCTCATTCAACTGTGCTATTTTCTGGGTGCATTTGATTGTATGTAAAGTATACTGCAATAGAGTTGATTTTTTAAAAAATGATGATTCACCCATACAAGGAAAGTTCTGAATTTGTCAAAAGGAGTTTACTACATCTCTAGGCACTAATATAGAAAGATGTCCTTGTTTTTTTGTTTTTTTTTTTGTTTTTTTTTTTTGTAATTAAAAGAAAAACACACATTAGGTTGTTAAGTGAAAAATAAAGGCAGGTTGTGTGATGACACTGGTGACGTTGCCATTTATCAAGAGCTCACTGAGCTGGGTGTAGGTCCATGAAGTGCCCGGCATGTGTAATTTTCTTTACTCTCGACAATATCCGTGCGAGGTTTTATAGACGAGAAAACTGAGGCTCAGAGAGATTAAGTAATGTGTCTGGGTTTGAAGCTGAGGAGCCACATGACTGGGACCTGGGACACACTAGGAGCCACCACACTGTGCTCTATATGATTCCAATTCATTAATTAATTGACCATGTTTATGTGTAGAAAGAAATCTGGAGAAATGACCCCAAACCAGGCCTGGGGATTATGTCTGAAGGCAGATTTACAGGCACTTTCACTTTCCATACTGTCTATTTTTGTTATGTTCTAATTAATTGTAACATGCCTGAATTGCCTTTGTAATCAGAGAAAGCAATACAGATTAAAAAACAAAAAGAAAAGTATTTTAAAAAGTCTCTGTCCTTTATCTCTTTTGCTCAGGGGCTGGGCACCCTCTCTTCACAGCTTCCTCTCCCAAACGGGGACACATGCCTGTCGGGAGCCCCAAGTCCCACTGATAAAGGCCTGAGCCAAGTCCCTTATCAGGCCTGAGCAGGCCCTGCAGTCCCGTCCATCTGGTCCCCCCAGGGAGGGTGGGCCCTGTCCCAGGAATCAGCAGGCTCCAGGGCCCCAGAGATAAGAGGAGCTGCAGGTGGTGGGTGGGAGGCAGTAGGACCAGCAGGGTCAGGGTCTGCAGCAGAGCGATTTATGGACCTGGCTCTGTCTGCTGTGTGGTCCTAGGCACATGTCAGCCCCTCTCTGGTCCTCAGGTTCTTCTGGGATTTCTTGGTTCCAGCCTGGTCCTCTTTTAGGAAGTAACCTGGGGATTCCCCAGGGTATGGGGAGGTAGCAAGATGAATGAGATGTCCTTGGCCCCCAGATCCAATCCCAAGTGGATGTGTGGAGACCCAAACACACCCTTATGGCCCTAAACATATTCACACACACCTGCCTGGGCATGCACAGGTCTGCAGGCCCCAAGGCCAAGCTGGGCCACCCCTGGTCAGGCCAAGGCTGTTTACATGTCCAAAGGTTGGACGCCACCTGCCAGGAAGGCCTCAGCTGGTGAGAATCTGCAGCTTTGTCCCCAGGACACAGATAACATGTTCCTGGGGGCAGGACCGGCAGCCCCAGGAGAGGTGGGGCAAGAACACCCAGGTTGCCCTCTCTGGGAAAACCCTTGCCAGCCTCACTGCTGTGGGTCCTACCTGGCGCCTCTGGGCCCTGCCTGGGGTGCTTCTGCATCCCTTGTGGGTCTAGGAGTGCCTCCAACCCCCCCATGCCAGTTAGTTTGGTTTTTCTGACCTTATCCTGGGTCTGCACTGCCCACTATGCCATGCTTTTTATGCCAATGGGTGCTTCCACGTCCCTAAGCCTCAGTTTCCTCATCTGTAAAATGGGGAAAATCATAGCTCTTACCTGATAGGGACAGTGAGGAATCAATGAGCTAAGGTGTGGCATGGTGTCAGGGGAGTAGAAGTGACCCTCCCCACCCCCTGGCAGTGGGCCAGTCCTTCCCCATCCACGCTGCCCTACAGGATGAATCATGCACAATTCTCATGTCAGTGAAAGCACAGTAGTAACTTAGGGGGCTTCTAGTCAGATTGTGATGATGGGGCTTGCACAGTAAAACCTTAAAAGTGGCAATGTGTGTGTGCCCCAGGCACAGACAGAGGGGGGTACACTCAGCTGGGATCTCTGCCGGGAAAGGACCTGAGACATTTTCTTCACTCCTCTCTCCCCCTAGAGACTGTCTTGGCCATGCAGACTCTTTTTTTTTTTTTTTTTTTTTTTTTTTCCTGAGATGGAGTAACATTTTGTTACCCAGGCTGGAGTAAAGTGGCCAGATCTCAGCTCACTGCAACCTCCACCTCCTGGGTTCAAGCGATTCTCTTGCCTCAGCCTCCCGAGTAGCTGGGATTGCAGGTGTGTGCCACCATGTCCAGCTAATTTTTGTATTTTTAGTAGAGAGGGGGTTTCAGCATGTTGCCCAGGCTGGTCTTGAACTCCTGACTTCAGGTTATCTACCCGCCTCGGCCTCCCAGAGTGCTGGGATTACAGGCATGAGCCATGGCACCCAGCCTGGCCATGCAAACTCTTTTTTTTTTTTTTTTTTTTTTTGGAGACAGAGTCTCACTCTGTTGCCCAGGCTGGAGTGCGATGGCATGATCTCGGCTCACTTGCAATCTCCACCTCCCGGGCTCAAGTGATTCTCCTGCCTCAGCCTCCTGGGTAACTGGGATTACAGGTACGTGCCACCATGCCTGGCTAATTTTCATATTTTTAGTAGAGACAGGGTTTCACCATGTTGGTCAGGCTAGTCTCAAACTCCTGACCTCGTGATCCTCCTGCCTTGGCCTCCCAAAGTGCTGGGATTATAGGCGTGAGCCACCTCACCTGGACTTTTCTTTTTGAGATGGAGTCTTGTCCTGTCACCCAGGCTGCAGTGCAATGGCACGATCTCAGCTCACTGCAACCTCTCCCTGCTGGGTTCAAGCAATTCTCCTACCTCAGCCTCCTAAGTAGCTGGAACTATAGGCACGTGCCACCATGCCCAGCTAATTTTTTGTATTTTTAGTAGAGATGGGGTTTCACCATGCTGGCCAGGCTGGTCTCGAACTCCTGACCTTGTGATCTGCCTGCCTTGGCCTCCGAGAGTTCTGGGATTACAGGTGTGAGCCACCGTGCCCGGCCCCATGCAAACTCATGACTGATCACCTGCAAGGAAGAGTGAAGCTCATTTTGTTTTAAGGTAGCTTAGTCTATTACTAAATTGTTTACTAAAACTTTTTTCATATTATTAATAAATTAGCAAAAAAAAAAAAATAATAAACATTGATAACCTCCAGGGTTGGCCAAGCCATGAGGAAACAGGCTCTGTCCGGCACCATGGGTGGGATGAAAATGGGCACAACCCACCTGTGAGTGACCAGCATCTTTACCAACCCCAGCTACACACACCCCACAACCCAGGGGTCACACGCCTGGGAGTCTACTGACAGAAACACCATCACAGTGACATCTGTTTGTGGATATTTCTGGAACATTTTTCTTTGTTTTTTGGTAAAAGCAAAAAATTAGAAGTAATTCAGATGACTAGCCACAGAGGGTTTATTACCTAGACATTTTGTGATCCACCCACACTATAGAATACTGTACAGATGCCAAAAAGAATGGATTCCTTGGAAATGTTTCTAAGATTCACTGGCAGGTGAAAGAAGAAAATTAAAGAATAAAATGGGCCAGGCGCGGTGGCTCACGCCTGTAATCCCAGCACTTCGGGAGGCCGAGGCAGGTGGATCACTTGAGGTCAGGAGTTTGAGACCAGCCTGGCCAACATGGTGAAGCCCCGTCTCTACGAAAAAATACAAAAATTAGCTGGGTGTGGTAGCTCGCCTGTAATTCCAGCTACTCGGGAGGCTGAGGCGCGAGAATCGCCGCTTGAACCTGGGAGATGGAGGTTGCAGAGATGGCGCCATTGCACTCCAGCCTGGGCAACAGAGTGAGACTCTGTCTCAAAAAAAAAAAAAAAAAAAAAAAAAAGAATAATATGTATGATCAGAATTCTAAAAACACACACAAACAAAATTACTCCCATTACTCCCCTTTTCTCTAAAAATATCTATACAGCAACTCAGGTATATTGGCATAGAAAACTTTTAGAAGTATTCATACCACACGTTTAACTTAATTCATGTCATTTTCTAGCTGTGTGGCCCTTAGGAAGTCATACCTCTCAGCCCCAGTCTCCGCCTTTGTAAACTGGTAATAGCAAATCTCACATATGGTTGTGACGAGAATATAACTAGTTCTTGTAAATCACTTGGCACATAAATACTTAGTAAAAGAACGCAGGAGGCCGGGTGTGGTGGCTCACGCCTGTAATCCCAGCACTTTGGGAGGCCGAGGCAGGCGGATCACCTGAGGTCGGAGGTTTGAGTTCAAGACCAACCTGGCCAACATGGAGGAACACTGTCTCCACTAAAACTACAAAAAAAAAAAAAAAAAAAAAAATTAGCCGGGCTTGGTGGCGCATGCCTGTAATCCCAGCTTTTCGGGAGGCTGAGGCAGGAGAATCGCTTGAACCCGGGGGGCGTTAAGTTGTGGTGAGACGAGATGGCGCCATTGCACTCCAGCCTGGGCAACAAGAGTGAAATTTCGTCTCAAAAATAAAAAGTAAAAATAAAAAATAATGCAGGAATACAATTTCATCTAAATAAGCAAATTAATTTTTAGGAATACATTTTCAGCTAAGCGCAAAGGCTGGCTCGTCTGCCTGTCTTTGCTGCCACCTAGTGGTAACAGGTAGGAAAGCGCATATTGGAAGGCTTGCTTTTTTTTCTTTATTTATGACACAATTTATTCAAGGCCTACAATGTATCCGGCACACACCACGCCTGTACCTTCTCAGTTTTCTTATCTGAAGAATGGGGGTAATAAATGAACTGACCCCATAAGTTTGTGAGGATAAAATGCAATAATGCATGTAAAGCATTTAACATTGGCTGTAACACAAAAGAATGCTCTAGAAATGGTAATTATTGGTGTTTACACATGCATAATTTAATTTAGGAAATCAGTATTATACCCATTTTTCTGTGTGAGAAATTTGAGGCTCAGAGAAATCAAAGTAACTTGCCTAAGGCTACTGAGCTAACTAGAGGAGGGTCTGAGATTAGAATCTAGGTCTGGGCAACACAGCCAGAGAAAAAGAAAAAAGAAAAAAATACAAAAAAGAAAAAAATAGCCGTGTGTGGTGGTGCACATCTGTAGTCCCAGCTACTTGGGAGGCTGAGGTGGGAGGACCGCTCGAGCCCAGGAGGTTGAGGCTGCTCTAAGCCGAGATTTTGTCACTGCACTTCAACCTAGGCGCAGAGCAAGATCTCATCTCAAAACAAACAAACAAAAAGGAATCTAGGTCTGTCCTGGGGCTGCCTCATCACCCTTAAGATACCATCTCACATGACCTCCTGAAAAGGAGTTGGTTTTTGGATTCCACAGACCAAGAGCATTTAAAAATACCCAGATGTATTGGTTATCTATTGCTGCATAATGAATTACCCTAAAACCCAGTGGGCACAGATTCACTGGCTCCTCCACTGCAGGTATCTCACAGGTGCTATTCAGGGTGTTGGCCACACAGGGTGGGGTCAGGGCACACTTGTTACATGTGAGTGCCTCCTGAAATTTTACATGCTGCGCCTTAAGGTTCCTTAAGTAGCCTTAAGGTTCAACTGGGGAACCACCTGCTTCCAGCTTACCTGGCTGTTGGCAGGACTCAGTTCCTCCAGGGCTGTTGGATTGAGGCCCTCAGTACCCCTAGCTGTTGGTCAGAGACCACCAGCTCCTTACTACATCATTGGCTGACCTTTTTTTTTTTTTTTTTTGAGACGGAGTTTTGCTCTGTTGCCCAGGCTGGAGTGCAATGGCTCGATCTCAGCTCACTGCAACCTCTGCCACCTGGGTTCAAGCGATTCTCCTGCCTCAGCCTCCCGAATAGCTGGGATTACAGGTGCCAGGCACCATGCCCGGGTAATTTTTGTATTTTCAGTAGAGATGGGGTTTCACTATGTTGGCCAGGCTGGTCTCGAACCCCTGACCTCATGATCCGCCCGCTTCGGCCTCCCAAAGTGCTGAGATTACAGGCGTGGGCCACCGCGCCCAGCCTGGCTGCTTTTTCAGTGTGGCAGTTTGTTTCATCAAAGTGTGCAAGCCAAGAAGAGCAAAAGTCAGCTGGCAAGATGGAAGTCACAGTCATTGCTAATCTAATCACAGAAGTCATTATTGCGACATTCTGTTTCTTAGAAGCAAGTCACCAGCCCCAGCCACTCTGGAGGGGAGGGGATCATACAAAGGCTTGAATATCAGGAGGAGGGGACTGCGGAAGGCCATTCTAGAGCCTTCCTGTCACACTGGAGTTGCCTGTCAACTTTTAATTTTGCTAAATAACATTTATTTACTTATCTATTTATTTTTTTTTTTTGAAACAGAGTCAAACTCCGTAACCCAGCCTTGAGTGCAGTGGTGCGATCTCATCTCGGCTCACTGCAACCTCTGTCTCCCGGGTTCAAGCAATTCTCCTGCCTCGGGTTCCCGAGTAGCTGGGGCTACAGGTGAGCACCGGCCCGCCCGCCTAATTTTTGTATTTTTTAATAGAGACGGGGTTTCACTATGTTGGCCAGTCTGGTCTCCTGGCCGCAGGTGATCCGCCCGCCTCCCAAAGTGCTAGGATTACCTGGGGCGTGAGCCACTGAGCCAGGCTGATCCACTGCACCCGGTAACCCAAGAACATTTAGAAAATCAACTCCCGGCCAGGCACAGTGGCCCAGGGCTGTAATCCCAGCACTTTGGGAGGCTGAGGCTGGGGGATTGCTTGAGCCCAGGAGTTCGAGACCAGTCTGGGCAATATAGAGAAACCTCGTCTCAATTCAAAATAAATAAATAAGAAAAAAGAAAACTCCCAGCCCTGGTTACCATCATTTCATAAAAGAAATGGACATTTTAACAACTAGATACAAACAGGAAATTTCAGAATAAAGGCTAGTCCCTTGTGGTTGAGTAAATACAGCTCTATTAGAAGCTTCCACATTGCTCTGAGATTTCTCACCGAGCAGCATTCTGGTGCCTAGACTAGCCCTGGGAACCTCCAGGGGCCTGCACACCCGCCAGGGGAAAGAGAGAGGAGGACATGGGTAGGGCCTGCCTGAGACCACACTGTGCCCAGCACTTCAAAAAAAAAAAACGGCTGGCTGAATGAATAGTAAATGTACAACCTCATGTGGAAGTGTCTCACTTATCTTCAGCTTCTAGAGGAGGAAACCGGGCCCCGTAAGGCTAAATGGCGGGTCTCAAAGTTTTAGGGATGGAAAGGGGATTAATATTTGCAGGGTGCTTTGCCAGCCACCACAGCCCCAGTGCCATTTTAGCACCCTGCAAACAAGTCCTGAGAGGGCAAGCAAGCTGCTGACGGGGACTCGAGCGGCTGTGGGAAAAGGGACCTGCGGTGGTTCAGGAAAGCAGCCTTAAGTGACCGAGCCTGGACGCGCCAGGCACAGTGTGGGAAGAGTGCCATTCAATCCTCCGCGTAACCCTGGCGGGGCCGGGCTAAGAAGCGCTTACCCAAGCGCAGGAGACAGGAGCTGAGCACAGCGTCGGGAGCTTGCGAGATCACCTGGCTGGGATGAGGTCATCTAAGGTTTAAGAGCGCGGTCGTCTGAGTCTAAAGTCCAGCTCTTTATCTCTGCCGCCGGGGATCCTGGGGCGTAGTGTAAAGGAGGCGGGTGGCTAGGGTCACGTGGCTGATCACCCCAAGAGAAGTCAACCCCAGGCGGGCGGTTACGACGCTCATGCTCCTTAGTGGTCTTCATTTCCGTAATGAGGGGCCGGAGGTGACGGTGCAGCAGGCGGGAGCCAGGGTAAACTTCACCCAGGTGGCCCCAGTGCGAAGGCAGCGAGGCCCTACAGCAAATGGCCAAGGCCGCCTCAGAGGCAAAGCTGCTCTCCCTTTCTCTTTGCTGCCCCATTCTCCCAGTTCCTCCTCAGCCCGGGCCTCCGGGAGCCTTCTGCTGGAAGAGATGTGCTTTCTTTTTTTAGTTTCTTGAGTTTTTTTAGAGACGAGGTCTCGCTCTTCTGCCGCCCAGGTTGGAGTGCAGTGGGGCGAACACGGCTCACTGCAGCCTCCAGCTCCTGGGCTCCAGCAAGCCTCCCGCCTGGGACCAAAGGAGCGCTCCACGGGGCGGGGGCCGCTGTGCGCTTTCTTACTTTGCCCTTTTCATCGCATATTCGGTTGTTCACCCGCGACTTCCTTTCCCGAGGAGCGACGGCGGCGGGGGCTTCTCTCTGCAACCACCACCGGCCCAGAGGAGAGCCCTTGACCAAGGACATCACGAGTACGAAATGACCAAATTTGTTCAGTATTGACTGTATCTAGGAGTATCCTACTCTCAAATAACCCACATGCAAAATCCTGAGGCGGAAGCTACCTTCATCCCTGTTTACAAAACAAACAAACAAAAAACAAAAAAACCCAGGAACCAAAAGATTGAGCAAGGTGTCCAAACCACACAGTTGGTATTTGGTGTCACGTTGGAAGGAGGAAAGGCCACAATTAAAAATTGTTATTCCCGCCGGGTGTGGTGGCTTACACCTGTAATCCCAGCACTTTGGCAGGCTCAGGCAGGTAGATCATCTAAGATCGGGAGTTTGAGACCAGCCTGACCAACATGGTGAAACCCCGTTTCTACTAAAAATACAAAAATTAGCTGGGTGTGGTGGCGCATGCCTGTAATCCCAGCTACTTGGGAGGCTGAGGCAGGAGAATCGCTACAACCCAGGAGGCGGAGGTTCTGGTGAACCGAGATCGTGCCATTGCACTCCAGCCTGGGAAACAAGAGCGAAACTCCATCTCAAAAAAAAAAAAAAAAAAAACCCAAAATTTGTTATTCTTGCGTTCAAGGCATTGTGCTAACACTTTTCTTTTTTTTTTGGAACGAAGTTTCGCTCTTGTTGCCCAGTCTGGAGTGCAGTGGCACGATCTCTGCTCACTGCAACCTCTGCCTCCTAGGTTCAAGTGATTCTCCTGCCTCAGCCTCCTGAGTAGCTGGGATTACAGGTGCCGGCCACCATGCCCGGCTAATTTTTGTGTATTTAGTAGAGACGGGGTTTCACCATGTTGACCAGGCTGGTCTTGAACTTCTGACCTCAGTTGATCCACCTGCCTCGGCCTCCCAAAGTGCTGGGATTACAGGCGTGAGCCACCATGCCCGGTTTGTGCTAACACTTTTCTAGGCATTATCTCATTTAATTACCAGCAGAGGGTGAGTGCTTTAACTCTTTAGAGGAAGCTTAGAGAGGTTGACAGGCCTGCCCAGGCTTATTAGCTGGAGTGTGGATGGACCCACAGCTGACCCTCCTCAGCAGAGCACTCCAGTACCTGCAAAACTGTGGGCAGATGTCTGTGATTCTGAGATCGATTGGGAGTTGGGGTCCGGCTTTTCTTTTCTTTCTTTTTTTTTTGAGTTGTAGTTTCACTCTTGTTGCCCAGGCTGGAGTGCAGTGACAGTGATCTCAGCTCACTGCAGCCTCCACCTCCCCAGCTCAAGTGATTCTCCTGCCTCAACCTCCTGAGTATCTGGGACTACAGGTGACCACCACCATGCCTGGCTAATTTTTTGTATTTTTAGTAGAGACGGGGTTTCACCATGTTGTCCAGGCTGGTCTCGAACTCCCAACCTCAGGTGATCCGCCCGCCTTGGCCTCCCAAAGTTCTAGGATTACAGGCATGAGCCACTGCGGCCTGCCTGGGGTTTGGCTTTTCAAATCTCAGTAGGTAGGTTGGTTTTTGTTTTTTTTTTTCCCTTTGGTGTGCTGTGGGTTGAGGATGTGGGCACTCGACTCAGTCAGCCTGATTTGGGATCCTGGCAGTGCCACATTCTGGCTGTGGGCCAAGGGGCAGGTCACTCAGCCTCTTTCAGACTCAGTTTCCTCATGTGCAAAATGGGAGTAGTACTGGTACCTGCCTCATAGGGCCTGTGAGAGAAATGCGTGGAGTCACTTAGCACTGAGCCTGGCTCCTAGCAAAAGCTAAAAATACGCAATTGTTGCTCTTAATTATTCTTACAGCCTATAAAACAGCTTTGTGTGCATTATTTGATTTGATTCTCACAATAGCACTGAGAGGATGTACAGGGGCAGATTTATCTCTGTTTTTTTTTTTTTTTTTTTTTTTTTTTAACACAAAGCGACCAAAGTTCAGAGAGGATGAGAGGCCTGGTCTAAGTCACAGGGCCATGACCTCAAGTTCAGGGAGGCTGGTTCCTCTCACCACTGCATTCTCTAAAATACTGTCCAAGGGAAATATAAAGGCAATCACAAATGTAATTTTAAATATTCTAATAACCACATTAGGAATCATAAAAGCAAACAAGTGAAAGTAATTTTAATAAGATATTTCATCTACTATATAAAAATATTACATTTTAACATGTAATCAATATAAAATCATTACTTTTAGGGAAAAGAAAGAGAGATCAGACTGTTGCTGTATCTATGTAGAAAAGGAAAACATAAGAGATTCTATTTTGACCTGTACCTTAAACAATTGCTTTGCTGAGATGTTGTTAATTTGTAACATTGCCCCAGCCACTTTGCCCCAACCTTGAGCTCACAAAAACATGTGTTGTATGGAATCAAGGTTTAAGGGATCTAGGGCTGTGCAGGATGTGCCTTGTTAACAAAATGTTTACAGGCACTATGCTTGGTAAAAGTCATCGCCATTCTCTAGTCTCAATAAACCAGGGGCACAATGCACTGTGAAAAGCCACAGGGACCTCTGTCCTGAAAAGCTGGGTATGGTCCAACGTTTCTCCCCATGTGATAGTCTGAAATATGGCCTCGTGGGATGAGAAAGACCTGACCGTCCCCCAGCCCGACACCTGTAAAAAGTCTGTGCTGAGGTGGATTAGTAAAAGAGGAAAGCCTCTTGCACTTGAGATAGAGGAAGGCCACTGTCTCCTGCCTGCCCCTGGGAACCGAATGTCTCGGTATAAAACCTGATTGTACATTTGTTCAATTCTGAGATGGGAGAAAAACCACCCTATGGTGGGAGACGAGACATGTTGGCAGCAATGCTGCCTTGTTATTCTTTACTCCACTGAGATGTTTGGGCAGAGAGAAACATAAATCTGGCCTATGTGCACATCCAGGCATAGTACCTCTCCTTGAACTTAATTATGACATAGATTCTTTTGCTCACATGTTTTTTTGCTGACCTTCTCCTTATTATCACCCTGCTCTCCTACCACATTCCTTTGGCTAAAATAATGAAAATAATAATCAATAAAAACTGAGGGAACTCAAAGACCAGTGCTGGTGCAGGCCCTCCGTATGCTGAGTGTCGGTCTCCTGGGCCCACTGTTGTTTCTCTATACTTTGCCTCTGTGTCTTATTTCTTTTCTCAGTCTCTTGTCCCACCTGGTGAGATATACCCACAGGTGTGGAGGGGCGGGCCACCCCTTCATCTGGCGCCCAATCTGGGGCCTTTCTCTAGGGTGAAGGTATGCTAAGAACGTGAACATTGAGAACAGCTGATGAGAGATTCCCAAGTATGTCCACGGTCAACCTTGCGGTAAGCTTGTGTGCTCGGAGGAATCCAGGGTAACAATGGGGCAAGCTGAAAGTAAATATGCCTCTTATCTCAGCTTCATTAAAATTATCTTAAGAAGAGGGGGAGTTAAAGCTTCTACAGAAAATCTAATTATGCTATTTCAAACAATAGAACAATTCTGCCCATGGTTTCCAGAACAGGGAACTTTATATTTAAAAGATTGGGAAAAAATTGGCAAAGAATTAAAACAAGCAAGTAGGGAAGGTAAAATCATCCCACTTACAGTATGGAATGACTGGGCCATTATTAAAGCAACTTTAGAACCGTTTCAAATAGAAGAAGATAGTGTTTCAGTTTCTGATGCCCCTGAGAGCTGTGTAATAGATTGTGAAGAAGAGGCAGGAACAGAGTTCAAGAAAGGAATGGAAAGTTCACATTGTAAAAATGTAGCAGAGTCTGTAATGGCTCGGTCAATGCAAAATTGTTGACTATAATCAATTACAGGAGGTAATATATCCTGAATCATCAAAATTGGCAGAAGGAGGTCCAGAATTATTTGGGTCATCAGAGTTTAAACCACGACGGCCATCAACTCCTCCTCCTGCGGTTCAGATGCCTGTGACATTACAACCTCAAATGCAGGTTAGACAAGTACAAACTGCAAGAGAATATCAAGTAGAAAAGGATAGAGTCTCTATCCCGGCAATGCCAATCCAGACACAGTATCCACAATATCAGCTGGTAGAAAATAAAACCCAACCACTGGTAGTTTATCAATACTGGCCGCCAGTCAAATTTCAGTATCAGCTGCTTCCAGAGGTTCAGTATAGATCTCAGGCGGGGTGTCCTGTCCCAAATAGCAGGGCACTATATCAGCAACCCACAGCGATGGCGTTTGATCCTACAGCACCAGCTAGTGTACAAGATAGTACACTGCATAAAACCATTAGCCAGAAAACAGGGAGATCTTGAGGCATGGCAGTACCCGGTAATTTTACAACCGATACTGGCTGGGAAAGGGAGTCAAGCAGGAGCCTCTGTCCAAACTGAGATTAGATATGAATCTTTCACCCTGAAAATGTTAAAAGATATGAAGGAAGGAGTTAAACAATATGGACCCAACTCTCCTTATATGAGAACATTATTAGATTCCATTGCTCATGGAAATAGACTTATTCCTTATGATTGGGAAATTTTGGCTAAGTCTTCCCTTTCACCCTCTCAGTTTCTACAGTTTAAAACCTGGTGGATTGATGGAGTACAAGAACAGGTAAGGAAAAATCAGGCTACTTATCCTGCTGTTAATATAGATGCAGACCAATTGCTAGGAACAGGTCCAAATTGGAGCACTATTAACCAACAATCAGTAATGCAGAATGAGGCTATTGAACAACTAAGGACTATTTGCCTCAGGGCTTGGGAAAAAAATTCAGGACCCAGGAACCTCCTGCCATTCTTTTAGTTCAATCAGACAAGGCTCTAAGAGCCATATCCAGACTTCGTGGCAAGGTTGCAAGATGCCGCTCAAAAATCTATTGCAGATGATAACGCCTGAAAAGTTGTTGTAGAAATAATGGCTTATCAAAATACAAATCCAGAATGTCAATCAGCCATAAAGCCATTAAGAGAAAATGTTCCAGCAGGAGTTGATGTAATTACAGAATATGTGAAGGCTTGTGATGGGATTGGAGGAGCTATGCATAAGGCAATGCTATTGGCTCAAGCAATTACGGGGGTTGCTTTAGGAGGACAAGTTAGAACATTTGGGGGGAAATGTTATAATTGTGGTCAAATTGGTCATCTAAAAAAGAATTGCCCAGTCTTAAATAAACAGAGTAAAAATAAAGAGCCACCTGGCCTGTGTCCATAATGTGAAAGAGGAAAACACTGGGCTAAGGAATGTCATTCTAAATTTGATAAAAATGGGCAACCATTATCGGGAAATGGGAAGAGGGGCCAGCCTCAGGCCCCGCGACAAAGTGGGGCGTTCCCGATTCAGCCATTTGTTCCTCAGGGTTTTCAGGGACAACAACCCCCACAGCAAATACCACCATTTCAGGGAATCAGCCAATTACAACAATACAACAGTTCTCCCCCACCACAGCGGGCAGCACAGCAGCAGATTTATGTTCTACTCAAAGGGTTTCTTTACTCCCTGGATAGCCCCCGCAAAAGATTCCTACAGGGGTATATGGTACACTGCCAGAAGGGATGGTAGGCCTTATTTTAGGAAGATCAAGTCTAAATTTGAAGGGAGTCCAAATTCATACTGGGGTAATTGATTCAGATTATAAAGGGGTAATTCAGTTAGTGATTAACTCCACTGTTCCCTGGAGTGCCAATCCAGGTGATAGAATTGCTCAATTATTGCTTTGCCTTATATTAAAATTGGGGATAGCAAAACAGAAAGAACAAGAGGGTTTGGAAGTACCAACCCTGCTGGAAAATCTGTTTATTGGAGTAGTCAGTTCTCAGAGAATAGATCTGTGTGTACAGTCACTATTCAGGGAAAGCAGTTTGAAAGATTAGTGGATACTGGGGCTGATGTTTCTATCATTACCTTAAATCAGTGGCCAAAAAATTGGCCTAAACAAAAGTCTGTTACAGGACTTGTTGGTGTGGGCGCCACCTCAGAAGTGTATCAAAGTGCCATGATTTTACATTGTCTAGGACCTAATAATCAAGAGAGTACAGTTCAGCCTATGATTACTTCTATTCCAATTAATTTATGGGGCCGAGACTTGTTACAAGAGTGGCATGCAGAGATTACTATTCCAGTCTCCCTATACAGCCCCACAAGTCAAAAAATCATGACTAAAATGGGATATCTCCCTGGCAAAGGACTAGGAAAGAATGGAGAAGGCATTAAAGTCCCAATTAAGGCTAAGGAAAATCCAGAAAGAAAAGGAATAGAGTATCCTTTTTAGGAGTGGCCACTGTAGAGCCTCCAAAACCCATTCCATTAACTTGGAAAACAGAAAAGCCTGTATGGGTAAATCAGTGGCCACTACCAAAACAAAAGCTGGAGGCTTTACACTTATTGACAAAGGAACAATTAGAAAAGGGACATAATGAGCCTTCATTTTCGCCTTGGAATTCTCCTGTGTTTGTAATTCAGAAAAAATCAGGCAGATGGCGCATGCTAACTGACTTAAGAGCTGTTAATGCAGTAATTCAACCCATGGGGCCTCTCCAACCCGGGCTGCCCTCTCTAGCCATGATTCCCAAAGATTGGCCTTTAATTATAATTGATCTAAAGGATTGCCTTTTTTACCATTCCTCTGGCAAAACAGGATTTTGAAAAATTTGCTTTTACTATACCAGCCATAAATAGTAAAGAACAAGCCACCAGGTTTCAGTGGAAAGTGTTGCCTCAGGGAATGCTTAATAGTCCAACTATTTGTCAGACTTTTGTAGCTCAGGTTCTTCAACCAGTTAGAAACAAGTTTTCAGACTGTTATATCATTCATTATGTTGATGATATTTTGTGTGCTACACAAATGAGACAAATTAATTGACTGTTACACATATGTAGTACAGGCTACAAAGGATGTTGAGACAGCCCTAATCAAATATAGTATGGATGATCAGTTAAATCAGCTGTTTAATTTGTTACAACAAACTGTAAGAAAAAGAAATTTCCCATTTTATATTACTCATATTCAAGCACACACTAATTTACCAGGGCCTTTAACTAAAGCAAATGAACAAGCTGACTTGCTACTATCATCTGCGTTTATGGAAGCACAAGAACTTCATGCCCTGACTCATGTAAATGCAACAGGATTAAAAAATAAATTTGATATCACATGGAAACAGTCAGTGTCGAGTCCTACACCTACCCACTCAGGAGGCGGGAATTAATCCCAGAGATTTATGTCCTAATGCATTATGGCAAATGGATGTCACACATGTACCTTCACTTGGAAAATTGTCATTTGTCCATGTGACAGTTGATACTTATTCACATTTCATATGGGCAACCTGCCAGACAGGAGAAAGTACTCCTCATGTTAAAAGACATTTACTATCTTGTTTTGCTGCCATGGGAGTTCCAGAAAAAAATTAAAACAGATAACGGGCCAGGATACTGTAGTAAAGCATTTCAAAAATTCTTAAATAAGTGGAAAATTACACATACAACAGGAATCCCTTATAATTCCCAAGGACAGGCCATAATAGAAAGAACTAATAGAACACTTAAAGCTCAATTGGTTAAACAAAAAAAAAAAAAAAAAAAAAGAAAGTAAGGAGCATAACACTCCCCAGATGCAACTTAATCTAGCACTCTTTAAATTTTTTAGACATTTATAAAAATAAGACCACTACTTCTGCAGAGCAACATTTTACTGGTAAAAAAAACAGCCCATATGAGGGAAAACTGATTTGGTGGAAAGACATTAAAAATAAGACATGGGAAATAGGTAAGGTGATAACATGGGGGACAGGTTTTGCTTGTGTTTCACAAGGAGAAAATCAGCTTCCTGTTTGGATACCCACTAAACATTTAAAGTTCTACAATGAACCCATCTGAGATGCAAAGAAAAGTGCCTCCACAGAGACAGAAAACCTGCAATCGAGCATCATTGACTCGCCAGGTGAACAAAATGGTGATATCGGAAGAACAGATGAAGTTGCCATCCACCAAGAAAGCGGAGCAGCCGACCTGGGCCCAACAAAAGAAGCTGACACAGTTAACTGAAAAAAGCCTGAAAAACACAAGGGTAACAAAAACTCCAGAGAATATGCTGCTTCCAGCTTTAATGATTGTATCAACAGTGGTAAGTCTCCCTATGTCTGCAGGAGCAGCTGCAGCTAATTATACTTACTGGGCCTATGTGCCTTTCCCACCCTTAATTCCGGCAGTCACTTGGATAGATAATCCTATTGAAGTATATGTTAATAATAGTGCATGAGTACCAGGCCCCACAGATGACCATGGCCCTGTCCAACCTAAAGAAGAAGAAATGATGATAAACATTTCCATTGGGTATCATTATCCTCCTATTTGCCTGGGGAAAGCACCAGGATGCTTAAGGCCTACAACCCAAAAATTGGTTGGTAGAAGTACCTACTGTCAGTGCCACCAGTAAATTTACTTATTACATGGTAAGTGGAATGTCGCTCGGGTCACAAATGAATAATTTACAGGACTCTTCTTATCAAAGATCATTAAAATTTAAGCCTAAAGAAAAAACTTGCCCCAAGGAAATTCCCAAAGAATCAAAAGACCCAAAAGTCTTAGTTTGGGAAGAATGTGTGGCTGATACTGCGGTGGTATTACAAAACAATAAATTTGGAACTATTATAGACTGGGCCCCTTGAGGACAATTATAGTATGATTGTATGGGCTAGACTCACTCATATTCACAGGCTCCATCTGTCTGGCCCACTAATCCGGCCTATGATAGTGATTTGACTGAAAGGCTAGACCAGGTTTATATAAGGTTAGAATCACCCTATCCATGGAAATGGGGTGAAAAGGGAATTTCATCACCCCAACCAAAGTTAGTTAGTCTTGTTACTGGTCCTGAACACTCAAAATTATGGAAGCTCACTGTGGCCTCGCACCGCATTAGAATTTGGTCTGGAAATCAAGTTATGGAAACAAGAAATTGTAAGCCATATTATACTATCGACCTAAATTCCAATCTGACAATTCCTTTGCAAAGTTGTGTAAAACCCCCTTATATGCTAGTTGTGGGAAACATAGTTATTAAACCAGATTCCAAAACTATAACCTGTGAAAATTGTAGATTGTTTACTTGTATTGATTCAACTTTTGATTGGCAGCACCATATTCTGCTAGTGAGGGCAAAAGAGGGTGTGTGGATCCCTGTGTCCACGGACCGACCATGGGAGGCTTCCCCATCTGTCCATATTTTAATAGAAGTATTAAAAGGAGTTCTAACTAGATCCAAAAGATTCATTTTTACTTCAATTGCAGTGATTATGGATCTTATTGCAATCACAGCTACTGCTGTGGCTGCTGGAATTGCTTTACACTGCTCTGTTCAAGCTGCAAAATATGTAAATAATTGGCAAAAGAATTCCTCAAAATTGTGAAATTCTCAGACTCAAATAGATCAAAAATTGGCAAGCCAAATTAATGATCTTAGACAACTGTCATTTGGATGGGAGATAGGCTCATGAGCCTGAAATATCTTTTTCAGTTACAGTGTGACTGGAATACATCAGATTTTTGTATTACACCTCGAGCCTATAATAAATCTGAACATCACTGGGACACGGTTAGATGCCATTTACAAAAAAGAGAAGATAATCTTACTTTAAATATTTCAAAATTAAAAGAACAAATTTTTGAGGCATCAAAAGCCCAGTTAAATCTGGTGCCAGAAACTGAGGCAATGGTAAAAGCTGTTGATAGCCTCACAAATCTTAACCCTGTCACTTGGGTTAAAACCACTGAAAATTCCACTATTGCAAATTTTGTATTAATCCTTGTATGTCTGTTCTCTCTGTTGTTAGTCTACAGGTGTATCCAGCAGCTTCGGAGACACAGCGACCGGCGAGAACGGGACATGATGATGATGGCGGTTTTGTCAAAAAGAAAAGGGGGATATGTAGGGAAAAGAAAGTGAGATCAGACTGTTACTGTATCTATGTAGAAAGGGAAGACGTAAGAGATTCCATTTTGACCTACACCTTAAACAATTGCTTTGCTGAGATGTTGTTAATTTGTAACATTGCCCCAGCCACTTTGCCCCAGCCATTTTGCCCCAACCTTGAGCTCACAAAAACATGTCTTGCATGAAATCAAGGTTTAAGGGATCTAGGGCTGTGCAGGATGTGCCTTGTTAACAAAATGTTTACAGGCAGTATGCTTGGTAAAAGTCATCGCCATTCTCTAGTCTCAATAAACCAGGGGCACAATGCACTGTGAAAAGCCACAGGGACCTCTGCCCTGAAAAGCTGGGTATGGTCCAATGTTTCTCCCCATGTGATAGTCTGAAATATAGCCTCGTGGGATGAGAAAGACCTGACCGTCCCCCAGCCCGACACCCGTAAAAGGTCTGTGCTGAGGTGGATTAGTAAAAGAGGAAAGCCTCTTGCACTTGAGATGGACGAAGGCCACTGTCTCCTGCCTGCCCCTGCGAACCGAATGTCTCGGTATAAAACCCGATTGTACATTTGTTCAATTCTGAGATGGGAGAAAAACCACCCTATGGCGGGAGGCGAGACATGTTGGCAGCAATGCTGCCTTGTTATTCTTTACTCCACTGAGATGTTTGGGCAGAGAGAAACATAAATCTGGCCTACGTGCACATCCAGGCATAGTACCTCCCCTTAAATTTAATTATGACATAGATTCTTTTGCTCACATGTTTTTTTTGCTGACGTTCTCCTTATTATCACCCTGCTCTCCTACCGCATTCCTTTGACTAAAATAATAAAAATAATAATCAATAAAAACTGAGGGAACTCAGAGACCGGTGCCGGTGCAGGTCCCCCGTATGCTGAGTGCCGGTTTCCTGGGCCCACTGTTGTTTCTCTATACTTTGCCTCTGTGTCTTATTTCTTTTCTCAGTCTCTTGTCCCACCTGGTGCGATATACCCGCATGTGTGGAGGGGCAGGCCACCCCTTCAATTACTGAGCTATTTTACCTCCTTTTTTTGGAACCAAATCTTTGAAATCTGGTTTGTATTTTGTACTTACAACACACCTCAATTGGACACTAAATTTTCACTAGAAACACTTGATCAGTATTTATATGATAAAAGTTACATTTGAAAAATAGCTTACATACCCTAGTTGTTCCAAGCATACTTAAAAGTTTTCCAATAACTGAATCAAATATAAGTTTGTAAATTTAAATTTAAATTAAATAAAGTTTAACATTCAGTTCCTTGGTTGTACTGCCACATTTCAAATGCTCAATAGCCACATGTGGCTATGATATTGGACAGCACACACGTAGAATATTTCTATTATTGCAGAAGTTTCTATTTGTTTTAGCATACTCCCTCATTTCCATCATTCCCTGTGTAAATTAGTATCAAGAGAGAATTATTGGATAAAAAAAGGAAGGTGGTTTTCAGAATACTGAAAGTTGATTTTAAAGAGTAAGATAAAAGTGAGAATAGTGTATTTACAATCATATTTCATAACTTATAAGGATACCCATGCATGTCAGGAAAAAACAGGATTCTCACTATTATTGCTTCTACCCAACATTATATTGGAGGTCTTAGCTAATGTAATAAAACAAGAAAAAGAAAAAAAGTGTAAATCTTTGAAAGGAAGATAGAAAACTCTATTTGTCAATGATAGGATCAGAGGTCTTAAAAACAGAAGAGAATTAATGACACAAACCTTTAAAACCAATTAGAGATTTCAGCAAGAGCTAAGCTATGAGCTCAACATGGAAAAAACCAATAGCTTTGTTGAAATCCAGCAATAATAATTAATCATAGCCCAGGTACAGTGGTTCATGCCTATAATCCCAACATTTTGGGAAGCCAAGGCAAGAGGATCACTTGAGGCCAGGAGTTTGAGACCAGCCTTGGCAACATAGCAAGACCTTGTCTCTAATTAAAAAAAAAAAAAATCAATCATAAACATATAGTAGGGGGAAAAAATATTGGCAAAAGCAAAGCAAAACCAAACATACAACATCTAGAAATACTCCAACCAAAAAACATCTTTCTGAAGGCATTTATGAAACTTTACTGAAAAAGTTAATTAAAGATCTGAATAGGCCAGGTATGGTGGCTCACATCTGTAATCCCAGCACTTTGGGAGGCCGAGGCAGGCAGATCACCTGACGTTGGGAGTTTGAGACCAGCCTGACCAACATGGAGAAACCCCGTCTCTGCTAAAAATACAAAAAAATTACGTGGTGTGGTGGTGCATGCCTGTAATCCCAGCTACTCCGGAGGCTGAGGCAGGAGAATTACTTGAATCTGGGAGGCAGAGGTTGCGGCGAGCCGAGATCGAGCCATTACACTCTAGCCTGGGCAACAAGAGTGAAACTCCATCTCAAAAAAGAAAAAAAAAAAAGATCTGAGGCTGGGTGTGGTAGCTCACACCTATAATCCCAGCACTTTGGGAGGCCGAGGCAGGCAGATCAAGAGGTTAGGAGTTCGAGACCAGCCTGACCAACATGGGGAAACTCCATCTCTACTAAATACAAAAAAAAAAAAAAAAAAATAGCCGGGCATGGTGGCACACGCCTATAATCCCAGCTACTTAGGAGGCTGAGGCAGGCGAATGATTTGAACCCATAGGCAGAGGCTGCAGTGAGCCAAGGTTGCACCACTGCACTCCAACCTGGGCGACAGAGCGAGACTGTCTCAAAAAAAAAAAAAAGATCCTAATCATGGCAAGATATATCATGATCATGAGCAAAAGATGTCAGTTCTTGGCTGGGCGTGGTGGCTTACGCCTATAATCCCAACACTTTGGGAAGCTGAGGTGGATGGATCACCTCAGGTCAGGAGTTTGAAACCAGAGCAGCCAACATGGTGAAACTCTACCTCTAATAAAAATAAAAAAATTAGCCAGGTGTGGTGGCACACACCTGTAATCCCAGCTACTCAGGAGGCTGAGGCAGGAGAATCACTTGAGCCTGGGAGGCGGAGGTTGCAGTGAGCTGAGATTGCGTCATTGCACTCCAGCCTGGGCGACAAGATGCAAACTCCGTCTCAAAAAGAAAAAAAAAAGATGTCAGTTCTCCTCAGTTTAATCTGTAAGTACAAAGCAATCCAATCAAACATCACCAAAATCTTTTGCAAAATTTAATACACTTATTCTAGAGTCACATGGGAGAGCAAAGGATAGGAAATTTATGAAACTAGAAGACCTAGGAGGAGCACTTCTATCAAATAACAAGACTTAGTATAAAGGCTTATTTTATATAATTAAGAGAATATTGTGTCAGAAATACATATTAGGAAAGAGCAAGGCGGGCCAGGTGTGGTGGCTCATGCCTGTAATCCCAGCACTTTGGGAGGCGAGGTAGGAGGATCACTTGAGGCCAGGAGATCCAGACCAGCCTGGCCAACATAGTGAAGCCCCGTCTCTACTAAAAATACATCAATTAGCTGGGCATGGTGGTTCACACCTGCAATCTCAGCTACTTGGGTAGCTGAGGCATGAGAATCACTTAACTTGAACCTGGGAGATGGAGGTTGCAGTGAGCCGAGGTCACGCCACTGTGCATCAGCCTGGGAGACAGATCAAGACCCCGTCTCAAAACAAACAAACAAACAAAAAACAAGAAACAAAAAACAAACAAACAAAAAGAAGGCATAAAGAAAACCTATGTTTCTATTTCACCACTTAGGTTATAGAAGAAACACAAACTAAAATGAGATAGCTGGCCGGGCGTGGTGGCTCACGCCTGTAATTCCAGCACTCTGAGAGGCCAAGGCAGGCAGATCACCTGAGGTTGGCAGTTCAAGACCAGCCCGACCAACATGGTGAAACCCTGTCTCTACTAAAAATACAAAATTAGCCGGGTATGGTGGCACATGCCTGTAATCCCAGCTACTTGGGAGGCTGAGGCAGGAGAATCACTTGAACCTGGGATGTGGAGGTTGCGGTGAGCTGAGATCATGCCGTTGCTCTCCAGCCTGGGCAATAAAAGGGAAACTCCATCTCAAAAAAAAAAAAAAAGATAACTTTTTATACCTAGCAGACTGGCAGAAATTAAAAACGACCATTCTGGCTGGACATGGTAGACCACACATGTAATCCTAGCACTTTGGGAGGCCAAGGTAGGAGGACTGTTTGAGCTCAGGAGTGAGACCAGCTTGGGCAACATAGTGAGACCCCATCTCTATTCTTAAAAAAAAAAAAAAAAGAAGAAGAAAAATGACAATTCCAAGTGTTTGTGAGTGAGTGGAAAAATAGATGCTCCATACATTGCTTGGAGGGAGGTGTAGGGAGTGGGAATGAGTAAAACTTGCCTGGGCAGCAATTTAGCAATATGTATCAAAATTTAATGTGCTATGGCACCTGGAGGTTGTCACCTCTTCAACCTAAAGGTTGCCCTTTGAGAACTTATCCTTGTGTAATGAAAGATGCTCATTACAATATTGTTTATAAGAAAATATTGGAAGCTGCTTAAACATCCATCAATAAAAGATTGGTTAGCCAGGTGTGGTGGCTCATGCCTGTAATCCCAGCACTTTGGGAGGCTAGGAGGGAAAGAGGGAGGGAGAAGGGAAAGAAGGAAGGAGGGAGGGAGGAGGGAAGGAAGAAGGAGGGAGGGAGGGAGGAGAAAGAAGGAAGGAAGGAAGAAAGGAAGGAAGGAGGGAAGGGAGGGAGGGAGGAAGGATGGAGGGAAGGGAGGGAGGGAGGAAGGATGGAGGGAGGGAGAGAAGAGAGGGAAGGAAGAAAGGAAGGAAGGGAGGGAGGGAAGGAGAAAAAGAAAGACAAGTAATAAAGCAAGGTTTAAGAAAGGGAGGGAGGAAGAGCGGGAGGGAGGGAGGGAAAAGGAAAATAAAGGTATCTTAACTTCCTCCTTTAAAATGTTTTAAAGCTCCCTCGATGTCCACTAGGAGGAGACAAAGAAACGAGACTAGAAGAGTCAAAATGCGCTTTATTCTTTATTGCTGGGTGGCTCATCAATGACGCCATGGCCTTCCTGAAGTCCCATCACCTTCTCCTCCTCCTCCCGCCACGTCAGCATTTTTTTTTTTTATTTTTTTGAGACGGAGTCTCTCTCTGTCACCCAGACTGGAGTGCAGTGGCATGATCTCAGCTCACTGCAACCTCCGCCTCCCGGGTTCAAGCGATTCTCCTGCCTCAGCCTCCGGAGTAGCTGGGATCACAGGCACCCACCACCACACCCGGCTGATTTTGTATTTTTAAAGTAGAAATAGGGTTTCACCATGTTGGCCAGGCTGGTCTCGAACTCCCAACCTCAGGTTATCCACCCTACTCGGCCTCCCAAAGTTCTGGGATTATAGGCGTGAGCAACCGCGCCTGGCCCACGCCAGCTTTTAACACGCGCGTCTGTTTCGCAAGGGGCCGCGAGCCTTCCAGGGGCGCTCTCCTGCAATGCCCAGACTCCAGGCGCCGGGAACGGCCGCAGGACCTTGGCAGCTGCGTGGTCCAAGGCGGCTCGTGGTGGTGCTAGGGCTCCTACAGGTGCCCAACCTCCAGGAGCGCGACCTCTGTCTCCGCGGCACTTGGTTCCTGCCTCGGTGTCCACCGCCCCAACCTGATGGGAGCTGTCAGCGCCCAGCTCACGCCTGCCTGCGCAGGTGGCGCCAGCCGGAGGCAGCTATGAGGTCGCTGGTGGTCTTGATGTCTCAAACACACCGGCTGGGAGAAATCCCCCCACTCTCCCGGGTTCCCCAAAGTGGATCTGCTGGGACAGGGGAGATACTGACTTCCACCCACCAAGCATGGCTGAGCACTCCATAGGTGAAGTCTGTGAAGTCCGGTCAAGACAACAAGTTTGTCAGTCAACACGCATTTAACCTCTACATGTCTCACCTGTCCAGCCCCAAGTGAGTTCTGTGCGTGTCTGTTGGGCAAAGGGGAATACAAAGCAAGCTCAGACTCCACCTCGGTCCTCTAGTGGCTTCTGGTCCTTGACAGTTATTTTGTTGTTGCTTGTTTTTTTTTTTTGAGACAGGGTCTTGGTCTGTTATCCAGGTTGGAATGCAGTGGCATGATTACAGGTCACCGCAGCTAATTTAAAAAAAAATTTTTTTTTTTTTTTGTAGAGATGGTGTCTCCCTATGTTCACCAGGCTGGTCTTGAACTCCTGGGCTCCTTTGATCCTCCTGCCTCAGTCTCCCAAATTGCTGGGATGATGGGTGTGAGCCACTGTGCCTGTCCTCTCAACAGCTTTTTATATTATGACCATTTGTCCCCTGCACTCTGACCACCCTCCATGCTAGAACATCTGCTCTTCTCAGAAATGGAGCTGGTATCTGTGTTTCACTGCCCTCTGATCCCAGGCCTGGCTGGCCCTAATCCCAGCGTCCCTCAGGATGTGAACAGAGCAGCAGCAAGCCAAGAACAGACACATGGTGAGGTTTCCTGGGAGAATGGGAAGAGCATTAGGCAGGGGCCTGTAGGCTGTGTTCTGACTCCAGCTCGGCTGTTATTTGCGGTGTAACCTTGCTTTGGTCTTAACCGTCTCTGGACTTCTGTCTCCTCCTCCCTCAAGCTCTTGCACTCCCAAGTCACCTTTCACCCAGATGATCACTTCTGGAAGCACCTTCAGTTCCTCCTCGGAATTGGTGTTCCTCCTGGTGAATGGGCCAAGCCGACCAGGACTGGCTCCTTGTCCCAGTGGACATATGTCCACGGAGAAGTAGTACCTAGCATCCGGGTACTACTTCTCACTCAATTCTTCAGTTCTCAGCTTAAACTAACTTTTAAAATTAGAGGCCAACTTTTTTTTTTTTTTTTGAGAGTCTTGCTCTGTCACCCAGGCTGGAGTGCAGTGGCATAATCTCAGCTCACTGCAATCTCGGCTCACTGTAACCTTAAGTTCAAGCGATTCTCCTGCCTCAGCCTCCTGAGTAGCTGAGATTGCAGGCACCCGCCACCACGCCTGGCTAATTTTTGTATTTTAGTAGAGTTGGGGTTTCACATGTTGGCCAGGCTGGTCTCGAATTCCTGACCTCAAGTGATCTGCCCACCTTGGCCTCCCAAAGTGCTGGGATTACAGGCGTGAGCCACTGCACCCGGCCTTAGAGGCCAACATTTAAAAATCAGAACAGTCATATACAAATTCTGAGCTGCTTTCGTAAAATCAGAAGCTCCAACCCATTTGGCCTGACTTCTTTGGCACAGGGCTAAGGGGCAATTGCCCTCTGCAGATGGAGACTCTGGCCCTGGTTCACTGCAGGCCCCACCTAGACGCTCACCCACATGAGCTGCCTGGCCCTGTGAACACTGTGGCCCCTGGCCAGGGGAGACTTCTCAGGCCAGGTGCAGTATCTCTATCTCCAGGGCCTGAACCTGGGACTGAAACATGGTAGTAACTCAGTAAACACTGGTTGAATCAATGAATGAATAAACACACGTATGTGACATTAAATCTAAATATACGTCTTTCATTCTGGCATTCAAAGCCCTCCTTGATTCTGTCCAAAACTGCCAATCACTACGATAGTGACAATAATGGTGAATACAGTAATAGTACACCACGTATGACTCTATAGCCCTGCAGAAAATTCCAGTTATTCCTGCTACAGCCCTTGGGATATGTATTATATCCCCCATTTTATGAATAAGAGGGGAAGCAATTTGCCAAGGGTCATACTGCTCCTTTGGGGACAGAGCTCAAGCTGGATGTCAGACCCCAGTGACTTCCAGTCCCATCCTTTCCACTCATCTCTCCGGGAGAGATGCATCTTCCAGAAAGCCTCTACCAGATAGGGTACCATGGCAGAGGTGGGAGGACCCAGAGAAGGTTCCAGGCCCACCCTCCAGGGGCCACTGCTTTTCTTCTGCATGGGAATCTTGCAAGGTGCTTGCCAAAATGCATCTTCCCAGCCATCGGGATCTCTGGCCGTGGATCCAGGAACCTGCATTTTCACAAGCAGCCCAGGAGATTCGGTTACACTGGCAGGTTTGGGATCCTCTGGTTTTTGAGAAGGGCTGCCCTAAAGGGACCACACAGGGACTCCAGGAAACCCTCCATCCCACTGGGCATCTGGGAGCCTTCAGGCAGAAGTGGGCATTGTCTCCTTGTTTCTTCACCCATTCTCAAGGCACTATGGTGGGCTCTCAGCAGTGCACATGCCAGACCCTGCCCCTGACTTGGACATACAGTCTCCTGGGGGAGACAGAAAGTAACCGACATGCAATCTAAGATGTGCTATGAAAGAAAAATATGGAGAGGAATGAGAGGGAATCAGAGGGGTCCCCCTTGGGGCATCAGGGAACCTGAGCTTGGAGGGAGGAGGAAGTAGGAACTGGGGAGATCCCTTCCACAAGCTAAGGTGTATGGACTGGGCATTCAGAGTAAAGGGAAGAAGGGATATAGAAAATAGACATATAAAGAGATTTGCTATAAGGAATTGGCTCACATGCTTTTGGAGGCCGACCAGTCCTCAGATCTGCTGCAAGCTGGAGACCCAGGGGAGCCCAGCCTGAGTCTGAAGGCCTGAGACCCAGGAGAGCCAATGAATTGTGTAAGTTCCAGTCCCAGCCTGAGTCTGAAGGTAGGACAAAACTAATATCCCAGCAGAAAGAGAGAAAATTTTTTCTTATTCTGCCTTTTGTTCTATTTGGGACTTCAGTGGATCAGATGAGGTCCTCCCACATGGGGAGGCTAGTCTGCCTTACTCAATCCACTGATTCAAATGCTAATCTTATCCAGAAACACCCTCATAGACACACCCAGAAATCGTGGTGAGCCAAATATCTGGGCACCCTGTGGCCTAGTTGAGCTGACACATAAATTAACCACCACAGTGCAGTTGGGCAAAGAGAGGAGATTGGTTGAGGCTTTATGACCTCTTGTCAGAGCAGGGAGGGGTTGACCATGCCTTGCCGCTGCTTCCCAGTGCAGAAAGGCCCACCATATCCCAGGATGGGATCAGGAAGGTTCTTGGGCCTCTGGTTAGCACCATCAATCTGTCCCCCACCCCACGTGATGCTGACTCGGGCTCCCAGTAAGGGTGTTCACTCTGGCTTCCTTCCAGTCCCTGGACGGCTGTGTGTACCCCTGTCTCCCTGGAGAAGCCACTTGGACAACCCCAGCTCAGGGAGCTGGCCTTAGCCAGGCCACAGAGAAACTCCAGTTGCCTCCAAGTCCCTCCTGACATTTATGAGGTGCTGCTGAAGGGGGCCTGCCTCAAACCCTGAAGGAATGTTAATTGACTAAAGCTGTTGCCCGTGCTCTTGCTTAGCCCAAGTTATTACCATTTTATTGTTATTTGTTTTCCCCCCAGAGGCACCTGGGTGGGGCTGAGTGGGCTGGAGCTGCCTTTGGACTGGAGCCAGAGATGGGAAGAGGCTGGGGACAGAGGCAGGGTGTGTGTTGGGGGCATGGACGACCCTCAACTTGTCCCCAACTCCTATACAGCTTCTTCCTCTTGTCAGGGCCTCAACTCAGGGAGGGGATGAAGAAAAAAGTCTGGAAAGGGAGTAAAACGCAGAGGCTAAAAACATGGCTTTGGTGTCCCAGACCCTGAAGGGTCCAAAAGCTGGCTCTGCCCTCCTCAGCTTTGTGAGCCCCGGAGCTTCACTCCCCATGTCTGTTGTAATGATATCAGCCTTTCTGGGCTGTCCTGATGGAAAATGTGCCTGCTCAGCACATAGGGGTTACATTTCTCATAGGAGAGCCACCTCTGGGGCAAGTTTGAAAACATCTTACCGTACTATTCACAGTTGGAAAGACCCTTCCAGAGGGTCTGCATTACTGTCAAGATGATGAAACTAGCGCAGACAGGAAAGGAGACTTGGGCAGTGCCTCTCTGCAACAGACATGGGGCTGGGTCCAGGCTGCTGTTGGTCTGGGCCCTGCTCCGTCTTGAGTCAGCTCCAAGCACCTGGGGCAGTGGGGTTGTTGAGAACATGGTAGTGACGGCTTCTTCCAGGAAGGTGACCTAAGGGTGAGGCATGGAGTGGGTCGGGGCTTGAATTTGCCCAAAAGATCCCTCATTTCAAAGCCTCAGCCCACTTCCAGAGCAGAGAAATATTCTTGAGCTATCATAGACTGCCTCCTTCTTCCTCCTCCCTTTCTCTCCCCACCCAACCCCCCCTTTTTTTTGAGCCAGGTCTTGCTCTGTTGTCCAGACTGGAGTGCAGTGGCACTATCTCGGCTCACTGCAACCTCCACCTCCCAGGTTCAAGCGACTCTTGTGCCTCAGCCTCCCAAGTAGCTGGGATCACAGGCATGCACCATCATGCCCAGCTAATTTTTGTATTTTTAGTAGATACAAGTTTTGCTATATTGTCCAGACTGGTCTTGAACTCCTGGCCTCTCAAGTGATCCACCCGCCTTGGCCTCCCAAAGTGCTGGGATTACAGGTATAAGCCACTGCGCCCAGGCTCTCTTCCTCTTTTTCTTTCTCTTCCTTCTTCCTCCCTCCCTTCTACCCTTCCTTCCTGAGCTTAGTCAATAGTTAATTATTTCTTTTCTTTTTTCTTTCTTTCTTTCTTTTTTTTTTTTTTTTTTTTTTGTGAGACAGAGTCTCACTCTGTCACCCAGGCTGGAGTGTAGTGGTGTGATCTCAGCTCACTGCAACCTCCTCCTCCCAGGTTCAAGTGATTCTCGTGCCTCAGCCCTCTGAGTAGCTGGGATTACAGGCAGGCGCCACCACACCTGGCTGATTTTTGTATTTTTAGTAGTGATGGGGTTTCACCATGTTGGCCAGGCTGGTCTCGAACTCCTGACCTTGAGTGATCCACCCGCCTTGGCCTCCCAAAGTGCTGGGATTACAGGCGTGAGCCACTGCGCCAGGCCAATAGTTAATTATTTCATCCCTGTACTTACTCACTATGTGTTGGATACTGTGTCAAACACTTTCCTCCATCAGTCCTGTGCCTGTAACGAGTTGTGTTGAGCTTCCAATTACACAAATCTGACTAATGTTGTTCCAACACATTTGAGTTTCAAATTTCTCCTATCCTGAGAACCTGCAGCTAGACAGTCTATGACGGGGATGGCTGCTCCATGATATCATCCAGAGCCTAGGCTGCTTCTGCTCTGCCATCTTTAGTACATGGCTTCTATTCTTGAGGTCACCTCATGGCCCAAGATAGCTGTTGGAGCTCCAGCCGTTGCATCTGAGCTCTAGCATTATGTACAAGAAGGAGGAGAAAATCAAAAAAAGCACCATCAGTCCGGGTATGGTGGCTCATGCCTATAATCCCAGCACTTTGGGAGGCCGAGGCGGGCAAATCACAAGGTCAGGAGATCAAGACCATCCTGGCTAACACAGCGAAACCCCATCTCTATTAAAAATACAAAAAATTAGCTGGGCGTGGTGTTGGGCGTCTGTAGTCCCAGCTACTTGGGAGGCTGAGGCAGGAGAATGGCATGAACCGGGGAGGCAGAGCTTGCAGTGAGCCGAGATCACGCCACTGCACTCCAGCCTGGGCAACAGAGGGAGACTCTGTCTTGGAAAAAAAAAAAGCACCATCAATCTGTCTCTTAACCTCCTAGTCAGTTGTCTTTCAGGTACTTTCCTGAAAGTCCTAACCAATGACTTTCGCTTCGATCTTGTTGGTCTCCTCTATGCGCAAAGATGACTGGGAAATTCAGTTTTCAACTGGGCACGTTGACAATTCTGTTCTGTTGCTAAGGTAGAAGGAGAGAATAGATCTTGGATGATGGAGATAAACACTAGCATTTTGTTCCATCATCCCCACTGATTTTTGCCTCCCACAGCCTTGGGAATGCCTTGTCTTCTGTACTCTACCCAGGAGTGTGTAGGTGTCCTCATAATCATAGCTGAGGACTCCCCTTCACTTCAGTGCTCTTTCCTGAGTGTCTTCATGTAGCATTCCAGAGGGGGAAGCCACAATTGTCAGACCCAGGCCAGAACGGTTAGAAGATTCTTGAAAATTCCCTTTTATTTGTTGTGCAACAGATAAAAGTCATAACCCTTGCATGAAGAATGAAAAGCAAAGCAAAGAAAGACCATGCCCATCATCTCACAGAGATGCCTCCCCTGCTGTGCCTAGGTTGTGGCCCTGCACCCATTTTCCCCTACAGCCTGACAGCTCACTGGCATTGGCTTGGCATTCCAGGCAAGGAGTGCCAGTAATTCTTTGCATTATGTCTTGGCTCACCAAGGCTATTGCAAATCTGGGGGTGTAAGTAAGAGCAACTTCATATTTCAGAGAAGAAACTGAAACTTAGAAATGATAATAATAATGATCATATTCATACTGTAATTTATTGAGCATTTACTAAGTGTCAACACAGGGCCAAGACCTGTTCATGGTTCCATCCAATAAATATTTATTGAAGGCCTACTTTGTCAGGCACAGGGCTGCGTGCCAGGGATAGAATGGGGATAAAATAGAGCGCAACCACTAGAGCTGAGAGTTGGGGGTGGGGATGGCTGGAGAGGGACAGGGGGAATAAGCAAGTAAACAAATAATTGTGTGATTGCAAACTGGGCAAAGTGTGGGGGCAGTGAGTGAATGAGTGGGACCCCCTTAGGGAGGTCAGGGAGGTGGCATGCAGTTGGATCTCAGGAAGGTCCACCTCCCCATTTGGTAGACGAGGAAACCAAGGCTTAGATGGGCAAAGTAGGTGAGTGAAAGAGCTTGGACGTATTTTGGTTCTCCCATAATTGGCACCAGTTCTGTGCCTGGTCTGTGCAACTCCAGAGGTCCTCCTCTAACCCTGCCTGAGTGCCTTATCTGCGGTCGTTGCCAAAGAGGCTACAGGGTCAGGAGTGGAGCTTGGGGCTCCTGACTCCCCACCCAGTGCACATTCCCACCCTGCTGTGTTCCTTCCTTTTGATCCAACCAGGAGCTCTCCAGGGGCAGCCAAGAGATCCCAGTGACCTCAAGGAACCTCCCGAAGTTCATGGCAGACTTCTCAAATGGTGGGCACTTCTGAAGTGACCACAAATTCTAGATGTCGTCATAAACAGCCACATCATGATGGGTCTCCAGCCTGAATTAATAATGTACTTAATAAGTTTAATCCCAACCAGGCCTCCTCTAATTAGGGGTTGTGTCAGAAGCAGCTGTGGTTTGCTACTAGTCCTGGGGCCAGTTTTGTGTGTGTCAAAGTGGGCATGGTGGGGTGGGGGGTCCGTGGGGTCTTCCCTCAGTCTGTGTGGCTCCAGATGGGAAATTGTCCCTGCCAGGAGACCCCTGTGCCCAGGAGGCATCATGGTTGAGACCCCCAATTTAGCTGCATCATGGACTGTTTAACTCACCATCAAGCCTGTGCCTAACTTAGTCAGGAGCCCCAGAGAGTGACAACCAAGTTCCTGGACAAGAAGCATTTGTGTGTGTGTGTGTGTGTGTTTTAAGACAGGGTCTCACTCGGTCACCCAGGTTGGAATGCAGTGGCACGATCATGGCTCACTACAGCCTCAGCCTCCTGGGCTCAAACAATCCTCCTGCCTCAGCCACCTGAGACTACAGGAGAGTACCACCACATCTGGCTAATTTTTAAATTTTTTTGAAGAGATGGAGATCTCTCTATGTTGCCTAGGCTGGTCTTGAACTCCTGGGCTCTATATGATCCTCCCTCCTTTGCCTCCCAAAATGCTGTTATTACAAGCGTGAGCCACTGTGCCCAGCCTCATTTTTTTGTTGTTGCTGTTTTTAAGTTTTTTTTTGAAATTGTGAACATTTCCAAACATACACAAAAGTACAGAGTGCAACTGACATCCGTGTGTCCATTACCCAACTTCAATAAGCATCAACGTTTTGCCATACTTACTTCATCTAACCTTACCCATCTTTAATTTTCTGTTTTTTTAGGGGAGGGTATTGTAAAGCAAATCTCAGACACAGTGTCTGTCACCTCCAGAGTCATCAGTATGCATTTCAAAAAACAGAGAAATAATTTCTTGCATAATCTAGTCACAAAGTGATTATTACACTTACCAAAATTAAAAGTTCCTTATTGTCACCTGATACTCAAGTCAAATTAGAATTTTCAGAATGCCAAAAAAATCTGTGTTTACAGTTGGCTTATAGTAATGAAGGTCCAAACAAAGTCTACTCTTTGCATTGATTTGTTATTTGTTTTAAATCTTTTAAAAAGTGTTTAAAAATATACCACAGTTTCCCCCCACCTCATTTTCATGACATTGACTTGAACTTACAAAATTTCAACAAATATTTATTCAGTGCTTGCTTCTTCTATGCAAGGCACTGTGCTAAATGTTTTGCTTTTTTTTTATTGTTTTATTTTTTCTGAGACGGAGTTTCGCTCTTGTCGCCCAGGCTGGAGTGCAATGGCGCAATCTCGGCTCACCACAACCTCCATCTCCCAGGTTCAAGTGATTCTCCTGCCTCAGCCTCCCAAGTAGCTGGGACTACAGGTGCATGCTACCTTGCCTGGCTAATTTGTGTATTTTTAGTAGAGACAGGGTTTCGCCATGTTGGTCAGGCTGGTCTCGAACTCCTGACCTCAGGTGATCCACCTGCCTCAGCCTCCCAAAGTGCTGGGATAACAGGGTTGAGCCACGGTGCCGGACCTATTATTTTTATTTATTATTTATTTTTATTTTTTCAGAGATAGAGCCTCACTTTGTTGCCCAGTCTGGAGTGCAATGGTGCAATCCACTCTTGGATTGCTCACTGCAGCCTTGAACTCTTGGGTTCAATCAGTCCTCCTTGTTCTGCTATTATTATTATTATTTTGAGATGAAGTCTTGCTCTATTGCCCAGGCTGGGGTGCAGTGGCATGATCTCAACTCACTGCAATCTCCACTTCCCGGGTTCAGGCGATTCTCCAGCCTCAGCCTCCCAAGTAGCTGGGATTACTGGTGCGCACCACCCCGCCCGGCTACTTTTTGCATTTTTAGTAGAGATGGGGTTTCACCATGTTGGCCAGACTGGTCTCGAACTCCTGACCTCAGGTGATCCCCCGTCTTGGCCTCCCAAAGTGCTGGGATTACAGGCATGAGCCCCTGCGCCAGGCCATTTTGCTATTATTAATAACAATAATTACCATTTCTTGAGGACTTACTCTGTACTAGCATCATATATAATTTATGTCAAAATATCCTGAGACAGATAATATTGTCTCCTTTTTTATTTTAGTAGTGGAAGTGATGAAGACCAGAGAGACAAGTAACTCATCCAAGATCACACAGCAAGTGAGTAGCAGAATAGAGTTTTAAACCAAGCACTATTGGTTCCAAAGTTATTCCTTTTCATGATTCCCATGATACCCCCAGAAGCAGAGAGAGACAGCTTCCTCGCTCAGGAGTAGCTGGGGAGGGCACTTTGTGGAGAAAGACTCATGAAAGGGCTACTCCAGGGCCAGGATGCCTCAGCTGCTGAAAGCACATGTGAAAGTTCGTGTCTTATGGTGATTTGCTGGAATAAATTCTGCTTCCCAAGACCATGTGAAATGGGGTTTCAACAAGTAAGAAAAGGATGGAAAATGTGAAACACTGAACTTATTTTATTCTAAAGTAACCAGCTGATATGGTTTGGCTGTGTCCCCACCCAAATCTCATCTTGAACTGTAGCTCCCACAATTCCCACATGTTGTGGTAGGGACCCGGTGGGAGGTAACTGAACCATGGGGCCAGGTCTTTCCTGTGCTGCTCTCATGATAGTGAATAAATCTCACGAGATCTGATGGTTTTATAAAGGAGAGTTTCCCTGCACAAGTTCTGTTATTCTCTCTTGACTGCTGCCATGTAAGACACGTCTTTTGCCTTCTGCCATGATTGTGAGGCCTCCCCAGCCATGTGGAACTGTAAGTCCATTAAACCTCTTTTTCTTTACATATTACATAGTCTCAGTATGTCTTTATAAGCAGCGTGAAAACAGACTAATACACCAGCTATCTCTATGTATCTATTTGCTTTACCTAGGGTTGCACGTAAGCTGGCAGTTGCACAGTGGGTCAGAACATGGAACTTTATAACAAAATTTACTCTGTGGATTAGCCAAAATCTTTGAGCTGTGAGGAACATAAACCCAACTCTAATGGGCTTAAGCAAAAATTATGTATTGGCTCAGTTAACAGACAGGTTGAGGGGGATCTAACTTCAGGCCCAGGTGGCTCCGTGGGCCTGGTGATGTCAGTCATTGGGACTCCTCTTCATCTCAGCTCTGCTTTCCTCTGTGTTGGCTTCATTCTCTGACACACACTCTCCAGCAGGGTCATGGTGGCCATCAGCAGTTCTAGACCTAAATTCACAGCTTTGCAAACTCAGTTGAAAAAGAGAGCATTTATTTCTCAATATCTCTAGGGAAAATCCTGGACTTTATTTTCACTGTCCAGGCCTGCTCACGTACCCTGCCTTGGATCCTCATTCAGCCAAATGAATTGTGGTTGAAGAGGGCTGGTTTCACAGAAGGAAATGAGGAAGTTGTTATAGAGGAGAGGGAAATAGGTGCCTATCAGGCAAAACTGCACATGTTTCTGTGTTATTTCAGGATTGTGTTTTGCTGCATTCAACAGAAAACTCAATAACAATGCCTTTAAAAAGAGATTTTTTTGGTTTGTTTGTTTTGGTTTTGTACAAAACAAAAAAACTGAAGGTAGGTAGTTGTGGTGGTGGACCAGCAGGTAAAGGATGGCAAGACTGAGGTCACCGTGATGCTCCTAGCCTTTTTGATGAGATCTCAAGATGGCTGCTTCTACTTTAGCTTTCATGTCCTTACTCCAAGCAAGAGTCAAAACAAGACAGAAGGAGGAAGGGAAAATACATTTTTCATAAAAACCTCGAGATTTCCACTTGTGTTTCATGGGCCAATTTTACCTATAAGTTATGGGATAAGGGAACGTAATATTTTAGCCATGCACATTGCTGTTCCCACTGGAATTGGTGTTCTGTAAGTAAAGAGAAAAGAAAGAATAGTTATTTGGCCGGTAACTAGCAGTCCACTCGACTGCTACTGGCACTGCCCACTATACAGTGTCATTTTGGGACAGATATTTGGACTCACAGTGCTGGGTTCCAAGAGGGAGCATCCCAAGAGAAATATTCCAGGTCTAGGCAGAAGCAACACAGTCTTTTTTTTTTTTTTTTTTTTAAGAGATAGGGTATTGTTCTATTGTCCAGGCTGGAGTGCAGTGGCATGGTCATAGTTCACTGCAGCCTCCAACTCCTGTGCTTAGGCAATCCTCCTGCTTCAGGCTCCTGAGTAGCTAGAACCAGAGGTGTGTGCCACCACACCTAGCTAATTTTTAAATTTTTTGTAGAGACATGGTCTTGCTGTGTTGTCCAGGCTGGTCTTGAACTTCTGGCCTCAATTGATACCCCCACCTCAGCCTCCCAAAGTTCTGGGATTACAGGTGTGAGCCACTATGCCCAGCCTTACAAGACTTCTTATAACCTATCTTGGAATTCTTAGAATGTCACTGTGCCACATTCTATGGGTCAAATCACTCATTAGGGCCAGGACAGATTCTAGGGAAGAGGAGTTAGACACCCCCCTCAATGATGAAAGTAACTAAGATTTGGCTGCCATCTTTAATCCACCACACCCTCCCCGACCCTCCTTCTTCATTGTTTCGTCATCACCATCACCACTCCAGCTAGTATTAATTGAGCAACATCAATACCCCAGGCACCAAGGCAAGCTGTTTACACATTATCCTTATAACGTCCTTCCAAACATACATCAGCACTTGCCCACTTTACACAGGAGGAAGCTGAGGCTCAGGGAGCTTAAGGGAGTTTCCCAAGGTCAATGCATCTAGCAAACAGCATAACTGGACTTGAACCCAGTTCTGTTTGGTTCTTTGTCTGATTCCAAGGCTGGACTTTTTACCATTAGGCAAATTCTGGTCCCCTGACTTTACTCCATGTGACTATGCTGTGGGCTTTACAGAAGCCAGTGGCAAACCTGCCATACAGATCTCCTTGTTGACCACAAGGAACTCCCTGCTAATCCAGCTTCCAGTGCTTCTTAGCTTGTGGAGAACACAGGCATTCTAAAGCCAGCCATTGCCTAACCTCTCCTAACCATGGCACTTTACATTATTCTTTAGGGCCATTATGCTCTGGGGGATGCAATGGGACTTGCTTTCTGCCCACATCCATCTGCTGATTCATCTAACAAACATTTATTGAGCACTGACTATGTACCAGGAAACTGTGCTAAGTGCTTGTTTGTTGTAACTCAGAGCAGACCTGTGAGGTCTCAATTATCATTGCCCTCATTTCACAGATGAGACAGAGAGAGTGGGAACTTGCCTATGGCAGTTGCAATTTGAACTCAGGCAGTGACTCTGGAACCTGTTATTCTGTTCAAACAGCTGACAGTAGAGGGAGAAAGGTGGAGATATAAAACACAATAGTGAAGGGAAGATGTCCATTCAGAGAGGGGTGGATAAGTCTGCGGGGGGTATGGGCCCACTCTGGTATGCTGTGCGGTAATTAGAACACGGTGGGTGCTGATGCAGACAGGTCTCCTATGCATGCTATGAGGGAAAAAGCAAGGATGATACCAGTTATGCAAAATAAAATTCCACAAACAGTATCCTAGCTTTTAGGTATACCAGGGATATATTTGTAAATGCACTGAAATGTGTCTGGAAGAAATTACATTAAACAGGGGGGCAGGTTGTAAAGGGGACTAGTGATCCATTGCCATGTTTTCAGTTTTTACAGTGAAAATGTGTGCATAATTTTAAAAGAACAATCACCATGATGTGGTATATATGCTAAGAAAGAAGGGGAAGCCTAGAGTGCTGCGGGTGCCCAATCCAGTTGGAGGAAGTAGAAATCAGGGAAGGCTGGAGGAAGGGACTCTGAGCTGGATTTTGAAGAATGAGTACCGTTAACCAGATAGAGATCTGGATAAAAATGTTCTAAGCAGTGGGAACGAACAGCTTGTGCAAAGGCCCAGAAGGGTGATTGCACATGGTGTCAGGGAGCACAAGCCTAGCTCTTTCTAAAGTGTACCCCTGGGTGTATGTGAGTTTAAACTGCAGATTTCCACACCTTGCTCCAGAATCCATGGTGGGCCTGGGGATTAGCATTTTGACAAACTCCTTAGGCACACTGACTTTTTTTTTCAATTTTATTATTATTATACTTAAAGTTTTAGGGTACATGTGCACAATGTGCAGGTTAGTTACATATGTATACATGTACCATGCTGGTGTGCTGCACCCATTAACTCGTCATTTAGCATTAGGTATATCTCCTAATGCTATCCCTCCCCCCTCCCCCCACCCCACAACAGTCCCCAGAGTGTGATGTTCCCCTTCCTGTGTCCATGTGTTCTCACTGTTCAATTCCCACCTATGAGTGAGAATATGCGGTGTTTGGTTTTTTGTTCTTGCGATAGTTTACTGAGAATGATGATTTCCAATTTCATCCATGTCCCTACAAAGGACATGAACTCATCCTTTTTTATGGCTGCATAGTATTCCATGGTGTATATGTGCCACACTTTCTTAATCCAGTCTATCGTTGTTGGACATTTGGGTTGGTTCCAAGTCTTTGCTATTGTGAATAGAGCCGCAATAAACATACGTGTGCATGTGTCTTTATAGCAGCATGATTTATAGTCCTCTGGGTATACATCCAGTAATGGGATGGCTGGGTCAAATGGTATTTCTAGTTCTAGATCCCTGAGGAATCGCCAAACTGACTTCCACAATGGTTGAACTAGTTTACAGTCCCACCAACAGTGTAAAACTGTTCCTATTTCTCCACATCCTCTCCAGCATCTGTTGTTTCCTGACATTTTAATGATTGCCATTCTAGCTGGAGTGAGATGGTATCTCATTGTGGTTTTGATTTGCATTTCTCTGATGGCCAGTGATGGTGAGCATTTTTTCATGTGTTTTTTGGCTGCATAAATGTCTTCTTTTGAGAAGTGTCTGTTCATGTCCTTTGCCCACTTTTTGATGGGGTTGTTTGTTTTTTTCTTGTAAATTTGTTTGAGTTCATTGTAGATTCTGGATATTAGCCCTTTGTCAGATGAGTAGGTTGCGAAAATTTTCTCCCATTTTGTAGGTTGCCTGTTCACTCTGATGGTAGTTTCTTTTGCTGTGCAGAAGCTCTTTAGTTTAATTAGATCCCATTTGTCAATTTTGGCTTTCGTTGCCATTGCTTTTGGTGTTTTAGACATGAAGTCCTTGCCCATGCCTATGTCCTGAATGGTATTGCCTAGGTTTTCTTCTAGGGTTTTTATGGTTTTAGGTCTAACGTTTAAGTCTTTAATCCACCTTGAATTCATTTTTGTATAAGGTGTAAGGAAGGGATCCAGTTTCAGCTTTCTCCATATGGCTAGCCGGTTTTCCCAGCACCATTTATTAAATAGGGAATCCTTTCCCCATTGCTTGTTTTTGTCAGGTTTGTCAAAGATCAGGTAGTTGTAGATATGTGGCGTTATTTCTGAGGGCTCTGTTCTGTTCCATTGGTCTATATCTCTGTTTTGGTACCAGTACCATGCTGTTTTGGTTACTGTAGCCTTGTAGTAGAGTTTGAAGTCAGGTAGTGTGATGCCTCCAGCTTTGTTCTTTTGGCTTAGGATTGACTTGGCAATGCGGGCTCTTTTTTGGTGCCATATGAACTTTAAAGTAGTTTTTTCCAATTCTGTGAAGAAAGTCATTGGTAGCTTGATGGAGATGGCATTGAATCTATAAATTACCTTGGGCAGTATGGCCATTTTCACGATATTGATTCTTCCTATCCATGAGCATGGAATGTTCTTCCATTTGTTTGTATCCTCTTTTATTTCATTGAGCAATGGTTTTTAGTTCTCCCTGAAGAGGTCCTTCACGTCCCTTGTAAGTTGGATTCCTAAGTATTTTATTATCTTTGAAGCAATTGTCAATGGGAGTTCACCCATGATTTGGCTCTCTGTTTGTCTGTTATTGGTGTATAAGAATGCTTGTGATTTTTGTACATTGATTTTGTATCCTGAGACTTTGCTGAAGTTGCTTATCAGCTTAAGGAGATTTTGGGCTGAGACAATGGGGTTTTCTAGATATACAGTCATGTCATCTGCAAACAGGGACAATTTGACTTCCTCTTCTCCTAATTGAATACCCTTTATTTCCTTCTCCTGCCTAATTGCCCTGGCCAGAACTTCCAACACTATGTTGAATAGGAGTGGTGAGAGAAGGCATCCCTGTCTTGAGGCACACTGACTTTTGAGATCCCTGCCATGAGCTGAAAGGGCACTTGGAGATCATTTAGTTCAATTCCATCAGTAGGATGAGACTGGGACCCAGAGAGAAGCAGGGACTTGCCAAAGGCTACAAGGCAGTCAGTGGTTGAAATGGGGTACTCCTGGACCCCCGTACTCTGTCCTTGCTTTCCTAAACACACTCCTTGTATCAAAGTTCCTACTGTGGCACACTCACAGTCCCATTGATATCACAGGATCAGGGAGTGGTTTTCATGGTTTTATTTGAGCCACTGTTGTCATGCTGCATAGTGGTTCAGTCTGAGTCCCTGGGTAGTTAATAGGAGTAATAAAAATAGCTATCATTTATTTATTGAGGACATATGATGAGCCCGGTACTTAGGTGCTATCTATGGTTTATCTTATTTAGCATTCCTGAAAATTGTATAGAGTAGGCATTGGTATTTCTTTTTTTTTGAGACAGAGTCTAACTCTGTCGCCCAGGCTGGAGTGCAGTGGCGTGATCTCAGCTCACTGCAACCTCCGCCTCCCAGGTTCAAGCAATTCTCTTGCCTCAGCCTCCCGAGAAGCTGGGATTACAGATGCCCGCCACCAAGCCTGGCTAATTTTTTGTATTTTTGGTAGAGATGGGGTTTCACCGTGCTGGCCAGGCTGATCTTGAACTCCCGACCTCATGATCCACCCTCCTCGGCCTCCCAAAGTGGTATTGGTATTTCTATCTCTATCTCACAATTGGAGGAGTTGAAGCTCAGAGCAGTCACAACACTTGTCTGAGGTCACAGGGCTGCAGGAGGCGGAGCTGTGATTTTCACCCAGGCTTTCCTCCTGTGCGCTGGGTGGTTCCCTGAATATTGGCCAGGGGAGGAAGCATCACTATGCTACATCACATTTTTACCACCTAAATGTGATTAATAAACCAACAATTATTTCCAAGGAAACATAAAGGTGAATGATGAAGCATGGTGACATGCAAAAAGCTCAGGTTGTGAGTCAGAAGATTGAAGAGCTCATCCTAGCTTTCTCATGAACTGGCTGTGTGACCTTGGGTGAGTTCCTCTCCCTCTCTGAGCCTCAGCTTTCTTGGAAAGGATTTCTAAACCCAGATAAGCTTAAGAATCACTGGCGGAGCTTTGGCCCACAGATCACACAGCGCCTGGAGAGGGTGCAGTGACAAGCATGCTGGGCTGGGATCCTGGAGATCTGAATTCTTCTTTTAAAATAAGGCATAATTACTTACAGTGAAAGTCACCTTTGTTATGGTTCCACAAGTATGGCCCTGCAAATTTTGATGAATGCAGAAGTCATGTAACCAACATCACAATCAAGACATAGAATAATTTAATTATCCCCCAATTCCTGTGTGAACCCTTCTGCCCACTCTCTTTAGTCCCCAAAGTTTTGCCTTTTGCAGATGTTCTATACACAGAATCATAGAGTATGTAGCCTTTTGAGTCTTCTTTTGCTCAGCATAATACATACAGGAACCATGTTTATTGCTGAGTAGTGTTCCACTGCATGGATGTACCACGATTTGTTTATCCATTCCCCAGTTGAAGGACATTTGGGTTCTTTTCAGTTCTTGCTGATTACAAATAAAGCTACTACAAACATTTATATACAGATTTTTGTGTGAATATAAATTTTCATTTCAGTTGGTAAATAAATGAGTAGAAATGGGATTGTTGGGTTTTGTTATTATTATTCAAAGTAGGACTATCACCCTCAAATCACCAAACATGTTGGGGCTAAACGTGAAAGGTCACTGGCCCTTAGGGAATATCATTTCTTTTTTTTTTTTATTTGAGATGGAGTTTTGCTTTTGTCACCCGGGCTGGAGTCCAGTGGTGCAGTCTCAACTTACTGCAACTTCCGCCTTCTGGTTTCAAGTGATTCTCCTGCCTCAGCCTCCTGAGGAGCTGGGATTACAGGCGCCCACCCCCACACCAGCTAATTTTTGTATTTTTAGTAGAGACAGGCTTTCACCATGTTGGCCAGGCTGGTCTTGAACTCCTGACCTCAGGTGATCCACCCGCCTCAGCCTCCTAAAGTGCAGGGATTACAGGTGTGAGCCACCGCACTTTGGCAAGGAATGTCATTTCTATTGTGCTCACTCCCCTTCCTGGCTGCCACGGCCCCATTACATGTTATTATTATTATTATTAAAGAGAGGGTCTTGCTCTGTCATCCAGGCTGCAGTATAGTGGCCAGATCCTAGCTCACTGCAACCCCAAACTCCTGGGCTCAAGAAACCCTCCCACCTCAGCCTCATGAGTAGCTGGGACCACAGATGTGCACCACCATTCTTGGCTAATTTCTAATTTTTTTGTAGAGATGGGACGGGGCGGTCTCACTGTGTTGCCCAGGCTTGTCTCAAACTCGTAGCCTCAAGTGATCCTACCATGTCGGCTGCCCAAAGTTTTGAGATTACAGATGTGAGTACTGCCCCCACCCTTCTGGGGTTTTATTGTAAGTATATGTTTAACTTTATAAGAAACTGTGAGACTGTAATCCAAAGTGCCTGCACCATTTTGTATTCCCATCAGCAATGCATCAGAGTTCTAGCTGCTCTGCATCTCCATCAGCACTTGGTATTGTTGGCTTTCCGTTCCCATTTTAGTCATTTTTTTTTTTTTTTTTTGAGACAGGGTTTCGCTCTTGTTGCCCAGGCTGGAGTGCAATGGCATGATCTCGGCTCACCACAACCTCTGCCTCCTGGGTTCAAGTGATTCTCCTGCCTCAGCCTCCCAAGTAGCTGGGAGTACAGGCATGCGCCATGATGCCCTGCTAATTTTGTATTTTTAGCAGAGATGGGGTTTCTCCATGTTGGTCAGGTCAGTCTCGAACTCCTGACCTCAGATGATCTGCCCACCTCAGCTTCCCAAAGTGCTGGGATTATAGGCGTGAGCCACCACGCCTGGCCCCAGTTTAGTCATTCTAGTAAATGTGTAGTGGTATTTCATTATTATCTTAATTTGCATTTCCCTAATGACTAATGGTGAGCCTCTTTGCAAGTGCTTATTTGTCATTCAAACATTTTCTTTGGTGAAGTGTCTGTTCAAGTCTTTTGACCATTTAAAAATTGGATTGTTTGTTTTTGTATTACTGATTTTTACAAGCTCTTTATATATGTTTGATACAACTTATATATCGGATATACGACTTGTAAATATTTCTCAATATGTGGCTTTTTTTATCCTCTTAACAATGTCTTTTGAAGGACAGAAGTTTTTAATTTCAATAAAGTCCATCAATTTCATTTTATTTTTTTGAGACAAAATCTCACTCTGTTGCCCAGGCTGTAATGCAGTGGCACAAATTTCGGCTCACTGCAACCTCTGCCTCCCAGGTTCAAGTGATTCTCGTGCCTCAGTCTCCCAAGTAGCTAGGACTACAGGCATGCGCCACCATGCCTGGCTAATTTTTAGTATTTTTAGTAGAGGTGAGGTTTCACCATGTTGGCCAGGCTGGTCTCAAACTCCTGACCTCAAATGATTCACCTGCCTTGGCTTCCCAAAGTGCTGAGATTATAGGTGTTAGCCACCACGCCTGGCCCAATTTATCAATTTCAGAAAACAGATTGTGATTTTGGTATTATGTCTAACAACTCCTCACCTAGGAGATCTGAACTTTTGACGTGGTTCTACCACTGACTGGCAGTGTGATTTTGAGCAAGCGACTCTCTAGACTTCTTTTTCTCCAGCTTACAAAGACAGAGCTGGAATACAGGTCTCTAAAAACCTGTCCAACTCTGCTATTTTAAGTTTAAATAGCATCCTAAGAATAATCATTTTAAAGACCCTATAATAACTATACTTCCCATTTTATGAATATTTAACAATGACCAGGCATAGCGGCCCCGGGCTTTAGTGCATTATCTCTTCATTCTCACATCTTCTCCCAGGAGTAAGTACTATTATTATTCCCATTTCGCAGTGGAAGACACAGAGGTCGCTTGTCTAAGGGCACTTACTGTTCAGAGCAGAGCTAGGATTCAAACACTGGCAATCTAAGTGGTGGTGGCGTTGATGACAGTGGTGTGATCATAGGTGAAGGGTACCATTTGAACTGGCTGATTAGTTTGAGAAGGGTGGGGATGAGCAGAGGGTGGGAAGATACGCCCCCCTCCTCGTGAGAAGGAAGGCGGGGCGGACGGACAGGGGCGGGGATTTGCTGGCCGAAATTTACAGCCCTTAAGTTCGTAAAATTCTTGCTCCCCACTGTTTGTCACTGGGGCCCTTCCCAACTCCCTCCCTTGGTGGCTTCAAAAGGACCCAGCTGAGCCCTTAGTACCAAAGTGTGGGGGAAGTTGTGGGAGCTGAGTGGGAAACCGGATGGGCTCTCTGTGCCTGAAGGCCAGGCCGTGCCTTGCGCATGTGTGTGTGTACGTGTGTGCGTTCTCGGACTGTGTGTACACGCGGGTGTGTGGCCCGTCCGCGGCTCGGCCCTTCTGTGAGGGCGCTGCTCTCCAGCGTGGGGAGGCGGGGATGGCAAATCATAGTGACAGTGTCTGTGCCTGGGGCGAGTGTGACTGAGATTGGCGTGCCTGTGTGTGTCGCTAGAAATGTTCTATTTTATTAATTTAATACATTTCATTTTCATTTTTAAACAGTATTTATTTATTTTATTTATTTAACACATAGTCGTGTGCCAGGTGCTTGGAATCCGGGGGATGGGGCACGCAGTCCAGGCTCTGTCCTCCCTCCAGGAGCTGACGGTGAGGGGATGGGGAGGATTGAGGGGAGAAACATTAAACAAATGAAGCCAGAAAACAAAACAAAACAAAAAACCCCAGGAACTTGCTGGGCGCGTGGGCGTGGGTATGGGCCCGGGAGTGTGTGCGCCCGGCAGGTGAAACGGGGATCGGAGCACCTGCTCTGCCCTGCGCCGTGGGCGCCCGGTGGTGGAGCAGGCAGCTGTGGGTTTTGCTTTGGTGAGGAACAAGGCCGAGCCTGGAACTCGTCTTGAACCCCGAGGGACTGGGTCCCAGGCTCAGGGTCCACTCGCCCAGTGACAGCTCCTCCACGGGGGACGCAGCGTGGCCAGCTGCCGTGGCTGAGCCGGTCCCGTCCCTCACAGAAGGGATTTATTTCCTGGCTCCCCCGGCTCTCTGGAAGCCTCCAAACCATGCTAATGGGCAGAGGGAGACTGCCGTGTCGAAGTTACGGATGCGAAGGTCCGGCCCGCGGCGGCGGGGGTTGGGGTTGGGGCTCGTCCCGCGTGCTGCAGGGAGGGAGTCGGGGCAGGGCTGAGGCTGGCACTCGGGGCTCTGGAGTCCTTCACCCCAGGACGGCAGGGTGCGACATTCTCCCACTGGACCAGCAGGTGACGCTGGAGGCCAGGGCTACGCAGGCCCGGGCGCTTTGGGTTCTGGGGAAAGAGGACAAACATCGCAGTTGCACTTAGGCGTCTCGCCGTGCTCAGGACCATGTGCTCGGGCCTTTCACGATGAAGTTGTTCAACCCTCCCATGGTCTTGTTTATTATCCCATAACTTAGGCTTAGAGATGATTTTTTTTTTTTTTTCTTTGGAGACGGACTCTCGCTCTGTCGCCAGGCTGGAGTGCAGTGGCGGGATCTCTGCTCACTGCAACCTCCGCCTCCCGGGTTCAAGCGATTCTCCTGCCTCAGCCTCCCAAATAGCTGGGACTACAGGCGCCCGCCACCATGCCGAGCTAATTTTTGTATTTTTAGTAGAGATGGGGTTTCACCATGTTAGCCAAAATGGTCTCTATCTCTTGACCTTGTGATCCCCCGACCTCGGCCTCCCAAAGTGCTGGGATTACAGGCGTGAGCCACTGCACTCGGCCGTAAGTAGCTTTCTTATGGTCACCCAGTTTGTGTGTGGCAGGAACATGGCCCAAGCCCAGTTCAGAGTGCGCGAAACAGGGCTCTTGCTGCAGGGAAGGGGAAGAAGGGCTGAGGGTTGGCCCGGTCTCCCTGAGAGTGTTCTGGAGGCATGCTAGGAGGGGTCTCTGACCCTGCTTGGTAGGAGCTGAGGGCAGACCTGCACCTGCTGCCGCAGGTGGTGCTGGCAGGACCAGCAGGGGTCTGAAGCCAGCCCAAGGCTCCTCCATTTCGGGCCTCCCTGGTCTTCAGCATAACCCACCTGGGAGTCTTGGGCTTGGGGAGGAGAGGAGGTGCCCTGCTGCTCCCAGCCCTCCACAGCCAGACCGTCTGTTGTCTTCTCATGATCTTGTAGTTCCTTGCCCTGGCAGGTGTACCTGATTACCAATGTCCCAGCCCAGCTCCTCTGGGAAGCCTTCCCTTCCACCGGAGGGGCAGGTCAAGCAGCCATCTCTGTAACAAGTTTTCTGAGGGTTCTAACACAGGCAGGCAGGGAACCACCTTGTCCAAACCAGCTCTGGGCTTGCAGCTGAAACCAGCAGTGTTGCTTCTCTTTCCAAACCCACCTACGCAATCTGCTCTCTCACAATAGGAAGAACATGGCTCCTTGGGCAGGGATCCTGGCTTAACCACCCTCTATCCCCCAACCCCAACCCTGGCCGAGAGCCCAGGAGGGTGGTTTCACAGATCTACCACCCTCATCCTTTCCTTCCACAAATTACTACTGAGCCCCCCTCTATGCACCAGGCTCTGTCTGAAGCGCTGAGGAGAGAATCTCAGCTCACTTCTTCATGGGAGAGGCAGATGAATAGCAGAAAATAGATATGAATGTCAGCCTCTGATTATAAAATTAAACAGGGAAAAATGAGAGTGGCACAGTGGGGTGGGTAGGGGAAGACCTTAGAAATGTGGCCAGGGAAGGCATCTCTGGGATGTGACGTTTGAGAAGAGACCTGCAGGAGGTGCCTTTTGAAGATCTGGGAAGGAGTTTCCAGGCACAGGAAGAGCCAGTGCCAAAGTCTCAGGGCAAGAGCAAATGAGGAGGGAAGGGGTCTGAAAGGGAAGGAAGGCAGGCAGGCGAAGCTGGAGCACCCCACAGCCAGGGCTGAGATCAAAGAGGAGGGCAGGGCCCGATGGGTGGGGCAAGGTCTGGGTTTCATTTTAGACGCAGAGGCAGCCCCCTGAAGGGTTCTAAGTAGGAGAGTGAGGTATTCTCATTTAGTTTTAATCTCTCTGGCTGCCAGTGAGTCCCTCCCTAAAGTTCCCCTTCCTCCCTCCCCAGCAATCTAATCCACAGATGAGAACCCGGGAGCATAACTGGTAGCCGGGGCTGCTGACCCTGGCCCAGGGTCTGCAGGGTTAATCCCGGGGGCCTGGAGCAGCCCCTGATTAGCAGGCCCTGCCACTCCCTGCTGATAAACTCCCAGGCAGGAAGAGGCAGGACTCATCCGGTAGGAAAGTGGAGAAACCAAAGCTGGTGAGGAGGGGAGCTCCAGGAGCACCTTAGGAGGGCTCTCTTCCCCTTTTGGAGGTGGTGAGTTCCCTAGGTGAAAGCCCTCTGGTTTTATCCCTCATTTGGCATTTTCATAGCCACTCTTACAGTCAGGGCCTGGTGTGGATTTTATGGGCCCCTGTTTAAGGAAGAGAAAACAAAATTAGGTGCAGGGCTTTAGAAGAGCCATGTGTACATGAGGTCCCCTGAGACCTAAGCTTCACTAGCTCCATGGTAAGTGTCCATCTCTAATTTTCCATCAGGGGAATAAGCCCTGTATACAGATGAGGAAGTTGAGGCTCTGAGAGCCTGAAAGGGATATAGAAAACAGAAGGGTTTCTGCTGGGATTTCTTATCCCCCAGCCCAGAACTCATTCTACCACCCAATCCATCTAAAAATCCAGTTGTGCCTTCTCCTTGCAGACCTGCTCCCACCACCAGGCTCAGGCCACAAGGAAGGGTAGCATAGGGCATGGTGGAGATGGGCGGGCTGGTGGCAACCTGCAGAGGGAAAGGGCTTAGCATGAAGCAGCATCCCTGTTGGGGACAGGATCCTGGGTGGCCAGGATTCCATCTGCCTACCAGACATTCCAAACCACACATTGTTTTTTTTTTTTTTTTTTTTTTTGAGACAGAGTTTTGCTCTTGTTGCCCAGGCTGGAGTGCAATGGTGCAGTTTTGGCTCACCGCAACCTCTGCCTCCTGGGTTAAAACAATCCTCCTTTTGCTGTGAACCGAGATCACGCCTCTGCACTCCAGCCTGGGTGACAGAGTGAGACTCCGTCTCAAAAAATTAAAAAAAGAAAATAAAGGAATCCTCTTGTCTCAGCCTCTCCAGTAGCTGGGATTACCAGCGCCTGCCACCACGCCCAGCTAATTTTTGAATTTTCAGTAGAGACGGGGTCTTACATGTTGGCCAGGCTGGTCTTGAACTCCTGACCTCAGGTGATCTGCCTGCCTCAGCCTCCCAAAGTGCTGGGATTACAGGCATGAGCCACTGCGCCTGGCCCCCAAACCACACATTCTAAACCACCTGGAGGTCAGAGCAGCGGCTCCGGGATCTGGCTGAAGATCAGAATCCCTGGGAATTTGTTAAAATGCCATCCCTGGGCTCTAATCCAAAGCTGCAGAATGAGAATTGCCAGGGGTGGGACCAGAAATTTGGGCATTGAACACACTTTCCAGGTTCTTCTTCAGCACAGGTGGGCTGGAACCCCTGATTTAACCATCAGCCTTGCCTCCTGGGGGTCTGCCTACCTGTGCCAGGGTGGGTCCCCAGGAGTTATCAGGGACAAAGGAATCCCCTTTTCCTGGCAGGGGTGAATGTGAGTGTCTAGGGCTGACTGCTCACATGATAGCATGGAGTCTCAGCTCTGGCCAGCATGACTCTGGGAAGACGAGGACAAGACCCAGGGCTTGGTGGGGACGGGCTTTGCCAGGGCATGAATCATGCTTCTAGTGCTTCTAGGGGAGCCATCTCCAGGACTCCCTCCCCTCACCTCTAGAATGGAGTTGAGGAGGCCTGACACGAGAATTATTAAAGCACTTAGGATCCTTCTGGTGACCTTTAGAGAAGCTGTGCTGTGTGCCAACACAGTCCTAGAGGGAAGAAAGACACATTCCTGATGACAGACAAGGAAGCTGAGGTCCTGAGAGGTAGGGTAACTTGTCCGAGATTACCCAACTAGGAACTGGCAAGACTGAAATTTGAACTCAGGGTGGTCTGATTTCAGGGCATGTCATTTTTAGGCCATCCTGTCTTGTTTGGCTCTCTTTTCATTTCCTGTCATTTCGCTAGGTGATATTCATTGAGCACCTCTTTTGTGCCAGTGGAGAGCTGGCACCTCCACTCCACCGTTCTGCAGTGAGGTTGGATAAGGCACGAGGTGGTGGCCCTCTGGAAACTGTAAAGTGCTCTCTGGCCTTGGAGGATTCTTCTCAACCGTGTGGCTCAGCTCTCTCTGTGCTTTCTTCACAGCCTAACTGGGCTGGGAGAGTGCTATCTCTGGCTGAGAGAACCACAGACTTCAAGATGTATGAGGGCTACCTGGGAAGCTTGTTAAAATGCAGATTGGAACCACCCCCAGAGATTCCAATTCAGTTGGTCAGAGCTGGGCCTTGGGCTATGCATTTTTGACAACTGTCTAGATTGTCTGCTGCGGGTGGTTTGAGCATTGCACTTTAAGATATGGTACACTATAATAGAAAGACAAAAGTCAGAAGAAAGACGTAGTGACCATCTGGCAGCCCAAGTCTTAGATAATGAAAGTTAAGGACTTTCTTCTTGCGAAAATGCATAAACTCACCTACATCCAAGATTTTGAAGTTTCAGGAAGTTTTGGGTCCCTGAAGGCCAGCCATGCAATTATGGATCCTTGGACCCCAACTTAATAACCCCTGATCTCCATGCTAGGCTCACAGGTCACCTGGGCAATGAAGGCCCCCCTAGGCCTCCCAATAAAGTTGCTTCTCCTCTGTGTTCCTGTAACACAGTAAGGACTTAACTCCATCAGAGTTGTGGTTTACCCTATTTACGCCTCTCCCCCTGGACTGTGGGGCATGTGGAAGTCATTTTCCTCCTCCTTCCCGGCGCAAGGTAGGATTATACTGTCCTGTCCCCTTTGAGGTTAGACATATCCATGTGATTACTTTAACCATGAAATGTTAGCAGTAGAAACTATAAGCCAGTGTGTGAGTCCCCAAGTTTGCTTCACCTTGCCACAGTGATCTTGCAAATGTGTCAAGGTGGAGGGTCCACCAGCCCCTGTCCCTGAGTCACTGGGTGAACAGAAACTCATGCTGACCTGTGTTGGACATGCAGTGTGAGTAAGAAATAAACCTGGGGTATTTTTTTTTTTTGAGATAGTCTCGCTCTGTCACTTAGGCTGGAGTGCAATGGCATTATCTTGGCTCACTGCAACCTGTGCCTCCCAGGTTCAAGCAATTCTCCTGCCTCAGCCTGTAGCTGGGATTACAGGCACCTGCAACCATGCCCGGCTAATTTTTGTGTTTTTGTAGAGACGGGGTTTCACCATGTTGGCCAGGCTGGTCTCAGACTCCTGACCTCAAGTGATCCGCCCGCCTCGGCCTCCCAAAGTGCTGGGATTACAGCATAATCCCACGCCTGGCCAAAGCTAGGTTTTTTGTTACTGTAGGAAAACCTGGCTTGTCCTGATTGATACAGGTGCTTTGAAGGCTGAGCCCCTCTCTGATTGTGCTTCGGGTCTCCAGTTCCTGGCAGAGGCTGGCACAGAATAGTGCTCAAGAATCACACCAGTTCCCATTTATGAGACCTTGCTAAGTGCCGGGCATGGTTCCCTGTTATTTCATCTAAAACTGCCAGCCACCCGTGAGTCAGGCGTCATTACTCCCATTCTGCAGATGAGGAACACTTCTGGTTAGCAAGTGGTCTGGGAAGCCAGTCTCTAATCTCTAGTGCCTTACCTGCAGAGTCACATAGCACATAGCACAGGCGAGGGGTCTCTCTTGCAACTCACTAGGCCGATCACTTCTGTCTGAGCCTCAGTTTCCACAGCGTAAAATGGCTTAATAATAATGCTTGTTCCCGAGTTGGCTGTGACATGTAAAATGCCTGGTTATTGTTTTTCATTATGAGGCTACTCGGCCTCTGATGGAAGTTGTTTGAGAGAACAAATGTATGGAGAAAGGTAGAGTGAAGTGGAACCTGGGATTTGGTGTCTGGGGACACACTGGGAGCCAAGAAGCAAACCTGGCTCTCTGTCCCTGTGTCCTCAACTGATCTGGAAGGTCAGTTTCTATCTACTGAGTCCCTACTGTGCACCAAGTTCCATGCAAGATGCTTTCCATGCATCAGTTTATTTAATCTGCCTTTGACCCTGTGGGGGAGGGACTGTTATTCACTCCCATTTTAAAGATAAAGAAACTGAGGCTTAGGGAAGTCAAGGATCTTTCCCAGTGACTCACTGTAACGAGAGGCAGAGTCGGGGCGGGAGGAGGACCTGGCTGACTCTGCAGCCTGGAATTTGAACCTCTTCATGACATGTGCCCCCCTTCCCTAGGGGAAAAGGAGCAGAGATAGGACAGTGGCAGTGCCTAGGTCTCTGGGCTCCCCGTCCAGCGCTCTTTCTCCTTTACAACCGTTTCTCCGTTTGCCCTGAAGGTGTGAAAAGCACACGCACATACACACACTTCAGAAAAAGCAAGCAAGTGAGGAACTCGCCGGGTGGCCCCTCCCCACCCAGCACCCAGCAGCCCTCTCTGTGCCAGCGCAGACTCCCTGTCACCACCATGATTGGTAGACTAAACAGCTGGAGCGGAGCCGGCCTCCTTGCTCCCTCTCGCCAGGGCGGCCGGCTGGGGCTTTCAAAGACCGGCCTCGCTGCTATCTCCCCCATCAGCCCCAGCAGCATTTAGGCACTTTCTTCAAACACCCAGCCAGGGCATGATGGTTAACGTCAAATCTGGCAGCAAGTCATAACCTATAGGGCTGGGACATTTATCACGGCCTGGGGCCCCTGGGGACTTCAAAGGGGCCTGAGAGGTGGGGGTTGGGGGACTCTGAGTGGGGCTTTTCCTCTACCCAGAGCCTCAGATGTCTCATCAGAGCTAGAGGGATCAAGGGGCTACCTCAGCTGTTCAGCCTGAATAATAATAAGGATAATAATAAATATTGATGACTAATAATAGCTGTGTATTAAGAGATTACTTACCTCCAGGACACTTTGTGTGTTTCGTCTCAGTTAATGCCCATGGCCACCCTGTGGAGCATTTGTTGTTATTTTTATCCTCATTTCAGATATCAGAAAAGGAGGGCACAGAGAGTTTAAGCCATTTGTCCAAAGTCACACAGCTAATAATAAAAATAGCCTCATCAACAATATTTGTCATTATGGAGTGATTGCCATGTGCCAAGCACTTTGTGTGTGATATCATTTGCTCTTCCATGTAGTCTATGAGATAAGCCTTATTTTTCCCATTTTAGAGATGACAAAATAGTCTGAGAGATGTTGGGTGGCTTTCTCCAAGTGACATGACTGGTAAGTGGCAGAGCTGGGATTCAAAAGCAGATCTTTGGTATACAACCCCCATTGCTAAATCTGACTGGCTTAAAAAAAAAAAACAAAAAACAAAGCTATACCTGGCTCCTAATCACCTTGCAAGACAGACTCCTGTGGCCGGGGCCTGGGGTCCTGAGGGGCAGACCTGTCCTCCTCATCCTTGTCACTGTCTCCATCATGCTCCAGGAAGCCAGAGAGTGGTCCTGGGTGCCCTGCTGTCAGATCCCAGGCCTGACAAGGATCCTTGGCACATCCCAGGGCCTTCTGACTCCTGAAGGGCAAGGTGGGGACACAGGGGAGCCAGGGCCTTTGCTTCCACCTAGCTTACTGGCAAAGTCTAAGAGGGGAAAGGTCTCATTTATTCACATGGCCCCTAAGGGTTTCTCTGGCTCTAGGCTGAGGGTGGGATAGTCCCAGGAATTGGCTATGGGGAGGGTGGTGTGGAATTTAACCCCTTGGCTGGGATCCTGCTCTGAGTCAACTTTTGGTGTGAGGACAGAGCTTTTCCTGAGATGGGGATAGTTTTTCTACAAAGCTCCCTGGAGCCATTAGACAAATTAACCAAATTTTACAAATACTATGCACACCTAAAAAGTACAGCTACTCCAGTACTGCTGAGAACAAACAGAGTGAAACAAACATTTGAAGCAAAGAACAAAAGTGGTCCCTACTCATGTGGATAAAATTCCCTCCATGAGGCCACATGCAGTAAGTATCCCAAGAGAGGATGCTCCAGAAGTCTTCCTGGAGGAGTTGGTATCTGGGCAGATGGAGGAGATGGGGACAGAGTGTATGTGGAGGCAGTAGGGCCAGTGTGTTAGGGTTCTGCAGGGAAACAGGACCAATAGGATACACATGTATCACAGACAGATAGAGAAAGAGAGAGAGAATTTAGGGACTTGGCTAACATAATTGTAGGAGTTGATACATCTATCTGTAGGTTTGGAAATTCAGGCAAAAGTTGATGCCGAATCTTGAATCTGGCAGCTGGAAACTCAGGCAGAATTTCTTCCATTTGGGGAAACCTCAGTGTTTGTTGTTAAGTCTTTCAAATGAGTGGATGAAGCCCACCCACCTCCTGGAGGCTGATCTGTTTTACCCAAAGTCTGTTGGTTTAAAATGTTGATCAGATCTAAAAAATATTTTCACAGCAACATCTACACTATTGTTTTTCTCTCCTTAGAAATAGAGTTTCACTCTGTCGCCCAAACTAGGGTACAGTGGCACAATCATAGCTCACTGCAGCCTCGAACTCTGGGGCTCAAGCAACCCTCCCTCCTCAGCCTCTGGAGTAGCTAGGACTACGGGCATGTGCCACCACACACGGCTACACTGATGTTTGACCAAAAACTGGGTACCATAGACTAGCCACACTGACATAAAATTAACCATCACAAAGGAAATATTGTGTGATTCCTCTTCTGTGTGATACCTCAGATAGTCAAATTCCACAAAGACAGAAAGTAGAACAGTGGTTACCAGGGGCTGTGAGAGGGAGGACTAGAGAGTTATTGTTCATGGGTATAGAGTGTGAATTCGGAACGATGAAACAGTTCTGAAGGCGGATGGTGATGATGGCGGTATTACGATGTGAATGTACTTAATGCCACTGGATTATACACTTAAAATAGTTACAATGGTGAATTTTATGTTACATATATTTTATCACAATAAAAGAAAAATTAACTGTCACAGTCAAGGAGGGCCTGGCTAGGCACAGTGGCTCACACCTGTAATCCTAGCACAGGAAGGCTGAGGCAGGCAGATCACTTGAGGTAAGGAGTTTGAGACTAGCCTGGCCGACATGGTGAAACCCTGTCTCTATTAAAAATCCAAAAATAAGCTGGGCGTGGTGGTGGGTGCCTGTAATCCCAGCTACTTGGGAGGCTGAGGCAGGAGAATTGCTTGAACCAGCGAGGCGGAGGTTGCAGTGAGCTGAGATCACGCCAGTGCACTCCAGCCTGGGCGACACAGAGAGACTCCATCTAAAAAAAAAAAAAAGTAAAAATAAAAACAATCAAGGAGGGCCTAACCAGGAAAGGGTGATGGGGAGGCAAGGCCCCTGTGAAGTTCACTCCTGCAGTTCCTCATGCAGCAAATGTTTTATGTTAAGCCTACCCGTGCCAGGACTACGCCAGGTATGGGAGGACAGCATTGAATGACAAAGTGAGTCCCCCTGCCATACGGCACTATGTTCCTTACGTACTTTATCTCATCTTGTGATCACAATGAGGCCGTGAGGGAAGCATGTCAATATCCCCATTTTACAGATGAGAATGCTGAGGCCCAGAGGGGTGCTGTGACTTGCTCAGGGTCACCCCATAACCCAGAGGCAGAGTGAGGACTGAAATACGGATCTCTCCAACACCCAGGTCATTCTGGAGGAGCACAGGCTGAAAAAGACACATAGAACTTTTGTTGTTGGTGTTCCAAGGAGTTTGGTCGTAAAATAAAGCAGAAATAGGAAGTGGTAGTTTGAAGAAGAAAAAGAACTGGGGAGGGCTTTCTTTTAAAAATGGGGAAGATGGTTTATATTCTGTGGGGGAGAAACTGGCAAAGGGAGAAGGGGCAGGAGCAGGGTGGGATGGCCCAGGGGGGTCGTGATGGAAAGGAAGATGGTGTCAGGAGAGGAAGTGGAGAAATTCTGAAGAGAGGCAGGGGAAGCCACGGCCCTGAAGGGCCAAGGAGTCTCCTTGGACAGGTAGAAGCCCAGGGCTCTGGCACAGAGTGTGGGGGCAAAAGTCAGGTGAGGCTGAGGAGCAGGGGACCCCAGGAATGGGGTACAGAAGGAGGCAGCAAAGAGCACTGGCTCTAGAGTCCGAGGGCTGTAGGCTCCAAGTTCAAGCCCCAGCTCTCCCTGGGTAGCCGTGCAGCTTTGGGCTGGCCACAGGAGCTCTCTGGACCTCAGTTCAAGTGGAGATAAAAATAGGTCATGGAAGGCCGGGCATGGTGGCTCATGCCTGTAATCACAGGACTTTGAGAGGCCGAGGCGGGCAGATCACCTGAGGTTAGGAGTTCGAGACCAGCCTGGCCAACGTGGTGAAACCCCGTCTCTACTAAAAATACAAAAATTAGTCAGGCATGGTGGCAGGCGCCTGTAATCCCAGCTACTTGGGAGGCTGAGGCAGGAGCATTGCTTGAACCCAGGGGGGTTAGGTTGCAATCAGCCAAGATCACACCACTGCACTCCAGCCTGGGCGACAGAGCAAGACTCCATCTAAAAAATATATATATGTCATTATTGAGAGTGTTAGGGAAGATACTGCATGGCAAGTGACTGGCACACAATGAGTAGCTGATCAACAAGAGAGGAGAGAAAGGATGTTTAGGCAGCTGAGAGCGCCAGCAGAGGTGCTCAGAATATTTCCAATCAGCCCAGATTGGCATCCTTTCACATCTTGGCTGCCCAGGAGCCTAGTGGGGCTGAGTGGGCTCATCCAAGACTGGGGACTGGCAAGAAAAGCGTCTCTGCTGGTTGTGCTGAGAGACGACTGAGTCCCCCTCAAACCCGCCCTACTTAGTTCTGCCTGGGATTGCCCTGGGCTAAGAGGAACTGGGGGTCCAAGAAATAATATCTCATGGGCTGTATAATTGGTGCTTAATAGATACTTGAGGTGGGCCAGGCATGGTGGCTCACACCTGCAATCCCAGCAATTTGGCAGGCCAAGGCAGGAGGATTGCTTGAGCTCAGGAGTTCTAGACCAGCTGGGGCAACACAGTGAGACTGTCTCTACTAAAAAAAAAAAAAAAAAAAAAAAAAAAAGATACCCAAGGTGGAATAAACAAATACATCTGGCTCTGCTGTTGAGTAGCTGTGTGACTCTGGGCAAGTCTCTTAGCTTATCTGAGCCCCAGTTTCCCCACCTATTAAAGTGAAGATTGTAACTGTAGCCCTCAGTTCTCCACAGTGAATATCTCAAGGCAAAAAGAAGGGTGGGAGGCTCATGGAAAGAATTTCACCATAGATATATGGTTTTTTTTTTTTTTTTTTTTTTTTTGAGACAGAGTCTTGCTGTCACCCAGGCTGGAGTGCAATGGCGCCGTCTTGGCTCACTGCAACCTCTGCCTCCTGGGTTCAAGCGATTCTCCTGCCTCAGCCTCCTGAGTAGCTGGGACTACAGGTGTGCGCCACCACACCCAGCTACTTTTTGTATTTTTAGTAGAGACAGGGTTTCCCTATTTTGGCCAGGCTGGTCTCGAAATTCTGATCTCATGATCTGCCTGCCTCAGCCTCCCAAAGTGCTGGGATTACAGGTGTGAGCCACCATGCCTGGCTGAATTTTACCGTATTTTTTACCCTTCCAGTATCAAGTGGAAATTTTGCAACACATCAGTATGAACGATAAAATATCACTACTGTGAAAAGTTTTTAAATGACTCAACTGTCTTTCCTGCCTACTTCAAATGTGTGCAGATGGGATAATGAATGGCAAAGTCCTTTGTGATGTGTAAATTGTGGAACAAATGAGAGAAAACATCAGCATTATAATTAATAGAGCACTTTGTCAATTTTTGCTGAGATTCCAGAGATTTCCAAGATCAGATCTCACCCTTCCTTCCTAGCTGCTTATTATATCCTTCAGTTCATCTAACAAATGTTCATTAAAGACCCTCTCTGTGCCAAGCTCTGTATTAGGTGTTGGTGATAGAGAAGTGAGCAAAGCAGAGAAAGCATCTGCCACCATGGAGCTTACATTTGATGGGAGAGAACAAACAAGCAAATAGCTACTATGCTAGGGAGGAATAAACACTGCTAGAAACATAGGAGGGTACAAAGTCAAAGCGGGTTCTGTTTTAGATTGAGTGATCAGGGAAGGCTTCCTTGAAGAAGTGATATTTAACCACAGCCTTACATGAAACAAGGAAGGTAAGCCAAGGGAATATTTTGGAGAATAATTCAGGCAAGGGAATATTTTAGAGAATAACCCTAAAGACAATGGCCCTGAGGTGGGAACTCAGTAGGCAGCCACCATGCATGCACCTGACCTTCAGTCACATTCTCATCACTTACCCCACCCATCCATATATCCATCCACATGCTCATCTACCCACTCATCCATCCATCTACCCATCAACCCAAACATCCATCCATTCAACCATCCATCCATCCATCCATCCATCCATCCATCCATCCATCCATCCGTGTAACAAACATCCTCCTATTCGCCTGTCCATCTACTTTGTATACCTGTCCATCCATCCATTTATTCATCCATCTACTCATCTAACTGTTCATCCATCCATCCATCCACCCATCTATCCAGCCATCATCCATCCATTCATCCATCCATCCACTCACCTCTTCATCCAACCATCCCCCATCCATCCATCCAACCATCCATCCATCCATCCATCCATCCATCCATCCATCCATGTATCCATCCATCCATCCAACATGTACTGGGGATCTGTTATGATTCAGTCATGGGGAGGCATGGAAGAAATATTGTGAAGAATTAGGTACTATCTCCACTGATAGGAATATCACAGCCAAAGGGGAGATGTTGACAGGTGCAAACAGTGTATGGCCTGGCAGTTGATAGTGTGTAGTCCATCACTTGCCACGTATTTTTGATAAGAAAGTGCTCTCAGTGTTTCCCCATTTTCGTGGTTTTAGGAAATCTCACTCAGGTTTCATAGCTCAGGTCCCAGCCACTGCTCCATGGTACTTTTATGGTCCTTCCACTTAGAGTTCACTGCCCCTTCTAGCTTGAACCTCCATTCTGCAGTATTGTACTCCATCTTGTTTGGAGTTCCTTGTGTAAATTTGAGTCTCCACCACTGGTTTAGGAGTTTCTTAAGGTCAGAGTTAAAATAAATAATAATAGGCTACCACATATTTGGTGTTCATAACTACATGCTTGGTATTGTGCTGAACACATTTTAAATACATAATCTTATTTATTACTTAAAATACACAGCAGGAGACCAGCTTTCCTACTAGGGAGGTACTATTATTAATTATCCCCATTTTACAGATGAGGAAACTGAGGCACAGATAATAAAGTGATTTGCCCACATCACAAGCTAGTAAGTGGCAGAGCTGGGACTTACATCCTAGGCTTTCCAACTGCAAATGCCATCTCTTAAACACTGTACCACTTACTGCCTTAGCCATCTTCTACCTTCATAATCCTGTGTCAACAAGTGAGTGATAAGCAGGAAGAATGCTGCACACCGAAGTGGGTAAGTTCATGGCTCTGACAGGCAGACTGTTTGGTTTGAATCTCACCTTCACTACTGGGACTCAAGTTTGGTGACCTTGTCCCTGGTCAAGTCAATTAACCTCTCTATGTTTTGGTGGTTTTGTGTATAAAATGGGGATAATCATAGTACCTATCTCATAGGTTTATTGTGAAGTTAAACAATGATTCATGTCAAAAAAGGTAGGTTGATGGATGGCACATGGTAAGCAACCCGTAAAAGTTAGCTATTCATTTTATTGCATAAAGATTGCAACTTTGGCAGGGCGTGGTGGCTCATGCTTGCAATCCCAGCACTTTGGGAGGCCAAGGCAGGCAGATCACGAGGTCAGGAATTTGAGACCAGCCTGGCCAACATGGTGAAACCCCGTCTAAAATACTAAAAATACAAAAAAAATTAGCCGGGCATGGTGGCACACACCTGTAATCCCAGCTACTCAGGAGGCTGAGGCAAGAGAATTGCTTGAACTCAGGAGGCGGAGGTTGCAGTGAGCCAAGATCGTGCCACTGCATTCCAGTCTGGGTGACAGAGTGAGACTCCGTCTCGAAAAAAAAAAAAAAAAGATTGCAACCTTATCTATCTCACAGTTTACCTTCATTGTTTTTTCACAATTTGCCTATCCTATTTTACATTCTTTTTCTTTTCTTATTTTTTTTAGAGGCAGGGTCTTGCTATATTGCCCAGGCTGGTCTCGAACTCCTGGCCTCAAGTGAACTTCCTGCCTTGGTCTCCCAAAGTGCTAGGATTATAGCTGTGAGCCACAGAGGCTGGCTTTTCATTCTTGCTGTACATTATTTGATACAGGCTGTTCCTAAAATTGCCAGAACTTTTTTTTTTTTTTTGAGACAGAGTCTTGCTCTGCTGCCCAATCTGGAGTGCAGTGGTGTGATCTCACTGCAACCTCCACCTCCTGCGTTCAAGTTATTCTTCTGCCTCAGCCTCCCAAGTAACTAGGATTACAGGCATACACCACCACACCTGGCTAATTTTTGTATTTTTAGCAGAGATGGGGTTTCACCATGTTGTCCAGGCTGGTCTCGAACTCCCAGCCTCAAGCGATCTGCCCGCCTCAGCCTCCCAAAGTGCTGGGATTACAGGTGTGAGCCACTGCACCTGGCCTGCCTTGGGAACTTTTAAAGTATGTCAGGACCCACAAGAGGAGGATCAACTTTAAACAGGGATGTAGAGGGACTCACCCGGTGAGGGCGGGTGGAGGAGGAGGGTCCCCACCATCAGCCTTCACTGGGACGGGAGATGCTGAGTGGGCTCAGGCGGCACTTATCTGCCCCTCCCTGGGGGCCTGAGTCAGTCGGGACTTCGAAATTTCCAGGGCCTCCCTGTAAATCACCCTGGGTGATTTATACGGAGACACCCAGTCCACTAATCTGGTAAACAGGATCAGCAGGGCCCAGCCAGATTTATGGGCTGCCAGCAGGGCCTTTCACCACAGGAGGTGTGCATGGAATGACCCTGCTCCTCCTGACCGCTAGCCGGAGCATCCTCATGGGCAGGGGTCATGCTGCCCGGATGCCAGGCCCCACTCTGCTCCCTCAGCTGTACTGCTGCTGTTGGATGGCTCCCTTTCCCTCTCTGGGCTCCAGACCCCCCAGGGCCAGGTGTTCATCGATCAGCTGACATACTGTGAGCATGTGGGGAAGCCAAAGGGACTGTAAGTTGGCCTTGGTGGAGGGACAGGCCTGGAATGCTGCCCTTATTTCAAATTCTGGCTCAGATATTTCCTGTGATTCTCTGAGCCTTAGTTCTCTCATGTCTAAAGGTGCCAAGACCATTCAATGGGAAAAGAACAGTCTTTTCAACAAATGGTACTGGGAAAACAGGATATCCACATGCAAAAGAATGAAGCTGGACCCTTACCTTACACTATATACAAAAATTAACTAAAAATAGATCAAAGACCTAAACTTAATAACTAAAACTATACCACTCTTAGAAGAAAATATGCGGGAAAATCTTCATGACCTTGGATTTGGTGTTGATTTCTTTTTTTTTTTTCTTTTTGAGGCAGAGTTTTGCTCTTGTTGCCCAGGCTGGAGTGCAATGGCAAGATCTCGGCTCACTGCAACCTCCGCCTCCCGGGTTCAAGTGATTCTCCTGCCTCAGCCTCCCGAATAGCTGGGATCACAGGTGTGGGCCACCATGCCCAGCTAATTTTTGTATTTTTAGTAGAGACGGGGTTTCTCCATGTTGGTCAGCCTGGTCTTGAACTCCCAACCTCAGGTGATCCGCCCACCTCAGCCTCCCAAAGTGCTGGGATTACAGGCGTGAGCCACCATGCCTGGCCTTAATTTCTTAAATAGGACACCAAAAGCACAGGCCACACATGCCAGAAACAAACTGGACTTTACCACAAAATTAAAAACTTTTGTGCATTGAAGGTTTTCTCTCACCATCAAGAGAGTAAAACTTACAGGATAGAAGAAAATATTTGCAAATCATATATCTGATAAGGGAGTAACATCCAGAATATACAAAGAACACCTGCAATTCAACAACAAACAACCAAACAACCCAATTAAAAAATGGGGTGCTTGGTGTGGTGGCTCATGCCTGGAATCCTAGCACTATGGGAGGCTGAGGTAGGAGGATCACTTGAGGCCAGGAGTTTGAGACCAACCTGAGCAACATAGTGAGATTCCAACTCTCTCTTTTTTTTTTTTTTTTTTGAGACAGGGTCTCCCTCTGTCGCCCAGGCTAGAATGCAGTGGCACAATCTTGGCTCATTGCAACCTCTGCCTCCCAGGTTCAAGTGATTCTCCCACCTCAGCCTTGTGAGTAGCTGGAATTACAGGCTTGTGCCACCACAGACCAGCCAATTTTTATATTTTTAGTAGAGATGGGGTTTCACTACATTGGTCAGGCTGGCCTCCAACTCCTGACCTCAAGTGATCTGCCCACCTTGGCCTCCCAAAGTGCTGGGATTACAGGCATGAGCCACCACACCCTGCAGAGACTCCATCTCTTAAGAAAAAAAAAAAATTGAAAAAAACAGGCAGTTGTTGTGACATGCGCCAATAGTCCTAGCAACTGAGAAGGCTGAGGTGGGAGAACTGCTTGAGCCCAGGAGTTTGAGGTTACAATAAACTATGATCTAGCCACTGCACTCCAGCCTGGGCAACAGATCAAGACCTTGTCTCAAAAAAAAAAAAAAAAAAAGAGTAGGGACAAAGGACTTGAATAGACATATCTCTGAAGATGATACCTACATGGCCAGTAAGCACATGAAAAGATACTCAACATCATTAGTCACTAGGGAAATGCCAATCAAAAGTACAATGAGATATCACTTTATATCCACTTGGATGGCTATTATTAAAAAAACAAAAACCAGAAAATGGAAAATAACAAGTGTTGGCAAGGATGTGGAGAAATTGGAGCCCTTGGGCATTGCTAGTGGGAATGTGAAAGGGTGCAGCTGTTGTGAAAAATCCTTTGACAGTTCCTCAGAAAGTTAAACATAGAGTTACAATATGATACAACAATCCCACTCCTAGATATACAACCAAAATAATTGAAAACAGAGACTCAAACAGATACTTGTACAACACTGTTGATAGCAATAGTGTTCATATTCACCATAGCCAAAATATAGAAACCATCCAAGTGTCCATCAGCAGGTTAATAGATACACAAAATGTGGCATATAGAGTAATACCCCCTAATCCTCAAGGGATATATTCCAAGACCCCCAGTGGATGCCTGAAACTTGGATAGTACTGAACCCTATGCATACAATGTGAAAATATCAATTGCATTCCTATGTATTCACAGGTATTGTATTCCTATGAAAAGATATCTTTTATAATACCAACTAAAACTATAAAGATATCTTAGACTAAATATACCAAAAGAACTTCTTAGAGAAAATTCTAAAACATTGAAAGGTATAAAAGGAGTGCATACATATACAGCATGGACACGCTGTACTAAGAGATGACTCATTGTCCTGGCTAGGATGAAGTGGGACATTGTGAGATTTCATCATGCTACTCAGAATGGCATGCAACTTAAAACTTATAAATTTTTTATTTCTGGAGTTTTCCACATAATATTTTTGAACTGTGGTTGACTGCCAGTACCCTAAACCACGGAAAGTAAAATGCAGATAAGGGGGCACTACTGTACATACAATGAAATATTATACAGCTTAAAGGGGAATGACCTTCTGATACGTGCTACAATATGGATTAACCTCGAAAACATTACGCTAAATGAAATAAACCAGACGCAAAAGGACACATATTGTATGATTCCACTTATATGTGGTATCTAGAATAGACAAATTCATAGAGGCAGAAAGTAGGATGATGGTTACTGGGGGTCGAGGGTGGGGGAAATGGGGGGCTATTGCTTCATGGTACGGAGTTTCTGTTTGGTGTGATGAAAAAGTTTTGGAGCTGGATAGTGGTCATGGTTACACAACATCATGAATGTATTGAATGTCACTGAATAACATCCTTAAAAATGGCTAAAATGGTAAACTTTGTGTTATGTATATTTTACCACAAAAAACACACACACAAAAGACTTGGAACCAAACCAAATGCCCATCAATGATAGACTGGATAAAGAAAATGTGACACATATATACCATCGAATACTAGGCAGCCATAAAAAAAGAATGAGTTCACGTCCTTTGCAGGGGCATGGATGAAGCTGGAAGTCATCCTTCTCAGCAAACTAACACAGGAACAGAAAACCAAACACCACATGTTCTCACTTATAAGTGGGAGTTGAACAATGAGAACACATGGACACAGGGAGGGGAACATCACACACCAGGGCCTGTCGGGGGTGTAGGGGGCAAGAGGAGGGAGAGCATTAGGACAAATACCTAATGCATTTGGGGCTTAAAACCTAGATGCTGGGTTGATAGGTGCAGCAAACCACCATGGCACACATATACCTATGTAACAAATTTGAACATTCTGCACATGTATCCCAGAACTTAAAGTAAGAACAGGCTGGGCACAGTGGCTCACGCCTGTAATCCCAGCACTCTGGGAGGCCGGGGCGGGCAGATCACAAGGTCAGGAGTTAGAGACCAGCCTGGCCAATATAGTGAAACCCTGTCTCTACTAAAAATACAAACTTAGCCAGACGTGGTGGTACATGCCTGTAATTCCAGCTACTTGGGAGGCTGAGGCAGGAGAATCACTTGAATCCAGGAGGCGGAGGTTGTGGTGAGCTGAGATCACGCCATTGCACTCCAGCCTGGGCAACAAGACTGAAACTCCATCTCAAAAAAAAAGTAAACACACACACACACATACAGACATACACAAAATGATGATGCGTATTTTAGTTTTAAAAGGTGTACATTAAGCCAATATAACACTTGCTTTTGTATATGTGTGTGTTGTGTGTGTATGTGTTGTGTTGTATGTGTGTGTGTCCCATGTGAGTATGGGAGTGAGTGATGAGGATAAATGGGAAGAGAGAAAATAAATTTGTAAACTTCAGGCATCATGGACTGACAGTGGTAATATGCCATGAACAGAGGAGGTGGTTAACTTGACCCTGCAAATCTGAGATCTAAGAAACAGACATGGCCGGGCATGGTGGCTCACACCTGTAATCCTGGCACTTTGGGAGGCCAAGGGGCGCAGATCACCTGAGGTCAGGAGTTTGAGACCAGCCTGACCAACATGTTGAAACCCCGTCTCTACTAAAAATACAAAATTAGCCAGGCGTGGTGGCACATGCCTGTAATCCCAGCTACTCGGGAGGCTGAGGCAGGAGAATCGCTTGAACCTGGGAGGCAGAGGTTGCGGTGAGCCGAGATCACGCCATTGCACTCCAGCCTGGGCGACAAGAGCAAAACTCAGTCTAAAAACAAAACAAAACAAAAAACAGACATACGAACTCATCCTGGAGATAAGAACAATGGCCAATGAAGGGCTAAGATATTATACCAGGCCATGAAATGGGCATGTAGCTGTCCATCGTATTATTCCTTTTGGTTTATGTTTGAATAGATAGGTTTCATGAGAAAAGCTAAAAACAGCAAATCGGAGTTGATGGAGTGCAGGGAAGCCCAATGGCCTGGGATTGGGGACTGGCGTGCACCTCCCTACTCACTGGTTTAGTGTATTTAGACTGCACTAATTTAGTGTTGAAGACTTCGATCTACAGCTACCTGTCAGTAACTTGGGCCTAGCACCACTGTATGCCAGAAGTGGCACATTTTATGTGTGTCTGCTCTGCCCCTTCCAGAGACTGTGGCCAGGAAACCATTCGGAGAAGTCTGCAGTGAATGGCAGGGCACCAGGTGAATGAGGGGCTTAGATGTTTGAAGGGGAAGAGGGCCCTGTGGTCTGAACCTATCCTTCCAGGCTTCAGGGAGGTGCTGATGACGGGGCACACACTGACCTTGAAGGGAGCATGTGAAGCAGACAGGTAGAGAGGAGGAGAGAGAACAGGAGTAAAACACCTGGTATAAAACAGCTGGAATAAAAATGACAGATTTGGACAAAGGAGGGGGAGGGGGAGGGGAGAAGGGAGGCAGAGAGGCAAGGAAGAGAAAGAAGTGGCTGGTGGGAGGGACATGGCCCACAGGAAACCACCAGCCAGGTCCATTGACTCATTCATTTATTCATTCATTCGTTTGTTTATTTATTCAACATGCATTGAATGCCTACCACATGCCAGACCCCACACTGGGGGCAAGGGATGCAGCACCCTAAATAAGGCAGACAGGGCTCCTGTCCTCATGGGGTGCCTACCAGTGGGAACAGATGTTACAAACACATCAAATGAAATAAGATAGTCTCTGAAGGCCACCAGCGCTGGGAGGAAAGCAGTAGGGTGCAGGAGAGACCAGGTTGTTTGGAGGTGGCCATGAAAGACCTTCAGGCCTGGTGGAGGAGAGGAGTCAGTCTTATGAAAAGCAAGGGAAAACCATCCAGGCAGGAGGAGCAGCAGCAACTCCCCTCGGATGTAGGAGAACATCAGAGATGGAGAACATGGTTGCCATGGAAACCCAGCATCACACACCTATGCCCAGAGGCACCACAGCCCTTTTCATTGTCCTAACTTTATCTCTAGAAAGGCCCTCAGGAATCACTCAGTCCTTTAAAGAAATGGGGAAACTGAGTCATAGGGAGGTGCTTTCCTAAGGTCACAGCTTGCCCGTGGGGAACCCAGTCCTCCTGACCCCATTTGGATCCTTTCCTCATCCCTTCTTTGAGATGGGGATTTCTCTCATCTGGACATGCCTTGGGAGAACTGGCCAAAAGGGAGAGGAGACATGGATGACTCCATCTTTCCACAGGCGCAGAGAGACATGACACTTGAGCCTACAGACTCAGGTCTTGGGGACAACTCAGGCTATTTTTGCCAAATAAAAACATAGGATTCACACGTCTCCTGGGAGTTCACCTGAACTACAATGATAAGGGAGAGTTTCCTTTCCTTTTCTAACATTTTTCACTTCAGGCCTTAAAAGACTTGCAGTTTGGGAGGTGGGGACAGGAGAGCTGTTTCCACAGAACTCAAGGCTCCTCGCTGATGAGGAGCAGCAGACTTGAGGAGTCCTGAGGGACAAAAGTGGGTCGCCAGTGGGTGGGTGTTGCAGGAAGACAGATTTCAGCTCAACACCAGAATGTACCTTCTCACTCCTCTGGGTGTCGATGGTGGAAGGGTTTAGAAAGCTGAATGGCCATCCATTAGGGAGATGACTGAAGAAGGTGGGAAGTTGAGCTTCTGAGATATTTTCCAGCTTGGAGTCAACAACTACACAGGTTAATGACTTAGGATCCAACCATGAAATTAATAACATAACAACTATCAAATGTTACTTGAATTCACAACTGAATAATGATCACTTCAATTTCCGTGTTTTATGTATGGTCCTTGGCTGCTTGGTTGGTCCCCAAAGGTGTGTCACTGGGCACACAGACTCAAGGGCTCCCAATATGTTACTCTCTTAATTTTGTTACAGGAAAGGAAGGAGCTTGGCTGAAAAGTGACAGCCTTAAGCATTTCCTTTCCTGCCATAATGCATTGCAGCAAATACTTATAATATTTGCGATGACTGCTCACTGTATTCTGGGCCAAGCTACAGCACTTAATTCTCACAATAGCCCTGTGAAGAGGTTCTATAAGTACCTCTGACTTTAAGACTTTTTTTTTTTTTTTTTTTTGAGGTGGAGTCTTGCTCTGTCGCCAGGCTGGAGTGCAGTGGCGTGATCTCAGCTCACTGCAATCTCCGCCTCCTGGGTTCAAGCAATTCCCCTGCCTCAGCCTCCCAACTGGGACTACAGGCCAGTGCCACCATGCCCTGCTAATTTTTTGTATTTTAGTAGAGATGCAGTTTCACCATGTTGGCCAGGATGGTCTCGATCTCCTGACCTTGTGATCCGCCTGCCTTGGCCTCCTAAAGTGCTGGGATTACAGGTGTGAGCCACCACACCCGGCCAACTCGAAGACATTTTAATGCTATTATTCTTTGTTGTCCATGTGAAGGAGCCTTTGAATTTTCTCCTGATGATTGGAGGGGATTTTCATTTGCACAAGTGGTTCTGATGTGAGGTCTAGCATAATCAGCTCCAGCAAAGAGGAACCTGCCAAGCTCTTTGCAAGCCCCGAGGAAGAGAAGCAGAGTCTGTATGGAGGGCTGAGGAGAGGGCCATGTGAGGAAGGTGGCATTTGTGCAGCACTGAGAGTGTGTGTGTGTGTGTGTGCACACATGCTCATGCACGCTAGCCGCGCAAGAGTTTTGTGTAATTCAGTGACACAGTCTCTGATTCCAAAAGTGAATTCCAGGCCACTTCAAACATATCCGGAAATCATCTTGGTACTTCTAGATTAAGTAGAATGGGCAAATAGCAAGAAGAATAAAGATAGGGGGTGGGATTCATTTTTTTTTTCTCTTTCCAAACATTGGCAACAGCTAACAACGCCGTGTTTTGAGTGCTGGGTGGACAGCCCGGGTCTACCAACCCTCTACGCCACTCGGTGTCTACCTCCCTTTCACCTACTCAAGGCTGAGGGCACATAGGGTGGATGTGCAAACCCACAACCCTAGGAGTGGCCGGGAGGATCAACTGTCGCGTTTTCTGTTTTGAATGGAACTTTAGTGCATTTCTGCTTGATTCTTTGGGCCAAATTTTTGAAAAAAGAGGTGCTTTTTTTCTTTTAAACCTGAAAACAAATTGTAGCTGAGGGAGAAAAAAAGGTGTTGCTTCATTTCAAGCTTGGTGCTATTTTTCTAAGATCTGGTTTCCTAAAAAGTAGGATAAAACAAATATCTCTTTACCACAACTGGGCTTTCTAATGAGCTCCCCTGTGTCCTCCCCCTAAATTCAAACCACTTGTCTCCACATAAAATCTCCCGACCCCTTTTAACACCCTTCTGAAGGAAGGGCCAGCCCCAGCTGGCAACCCCTGGCTGCAAGCCACAGAAGGCGTGTGGCTCAGGAAAAGGCGTGTGCTGAGAGAGAGTGGGGTCGCAGCCATTTGAGAAGCCTTTTTTGTTAAGGCTGGAGATGTCATCCACAGTGAGAAAGCATCAGGGCACACACAGATGGGGACCCCAAGGATCTCAGGCCACTGCAAATTTGACACAGTCTGGCAGAAGATGTGCAGCCCTCAGAGGGAAAAAAAATTCCATTTCCACATTCTTCTGCCCCGGACGCCCACTGGATGTTTACACATCCCTGGGAGAGGTTATCTCCACTTGACTTGAACCAACACCAGGCCTCCAATGGTGGAACCTGGGGGATGTTCAGAAAGGCGTCTGTGTGTGTGTGTGTGTGTGTTGGGGGGGGAGGTGAGGAAGTCAGGGGTTCAGAGGAGAGGCTCCTTGGAATCCAGAGACCCACAGAATCTCCTTGGTTTCTGGCCCTTCTCCAGCCACTCCCTGCCAATGAATGGAGGAGTCCTTTCTTTTCCTTCTTTCTTTCTTTCTTTTTCTTTCTCTCTCTCTCTCTCCTTCCTTCCTTCCTTCTTTCTTTCCTTCTTTCTTTCTTCTTTCCTTCTTTCTAACTTTCTTTCTTTCTCCAACTCCCTGGTTCAAGTGATTCTCTTGCCTCAGCCTCCCGAGTAGCTGTGATTACAGGCACGCACCACCATGCCCAGCTAATTTTTATATTTTTAGTAGAGATGGGGTTTCACCGTGTTGGCCAGGATGGTCTTGATCTCCCGACCTTGTGATCTGCCCGGCTCAGCCTCCTAAAGTGCTGGGATTACAGTTGTGAGCCACTGCGCCCGGCCAGGAGGAGTCCTTTCTTGAGGATGTCAAGATGTGGGGAGGCTGCTGCTGCTTTTGACTAGTTGTGCCACCTTGAACAAGTCATTTCCCTATTCTGGGCCTCAGTTTTTCTGAAACTGTAAAAACAGCCTGTTGGGTAGAGGGTTCTAACTGATAGCTTTTAACATTCTGCAGACATTGGCCTTTGGCAATCTGATGTCAGAATATCTCTCTAGAAAATGCAGGTTACATGTGCAGATTCCAAGTTTTACTTACACATTCAGGGGTTCTTGGAACCCTTGAAGTCCTCTTTTTTTTTTTTTTTTTTAAAGACAGGGTCTGTCTCTGTCCCCATGCTAGAGTGCAGTGGCATGATCATGGCTCACTACAGCCTCGACCTCAGTCTCTTGAGTAGCTGGGATTACAGGCTCATGCCACCAAGTCTGGTTAATTTTAATTTTTCTTTTTTTCTTTTTTTTTTTCTTTTCTTGAGACAGAGTTTCTGCTCTGTTGCCCAGGCTGGAGTGCAGTGGTGCGATCTCAGCTTACTGCAACCTCCACCTCCTGGGTTCACGATTTCTCCTGCCTCAGCCTCCGGAGTGGCCGGGATTACAGGTGTCTGCTACCACACCCAGCTAATTTTTGTATTTTTAGAGTAGAGCCAAGGTTTCACCATGTTGGCCAGGCTGGTCTCGAACTCTTGACCTGATGATCCACCCGTCTCAGCCTCCCAAAGTGCTAGGATTACAGGCATGAGCCACTGCACTAGTTAAATTTTTTTTTTTTTTTTTGAGACGGAGTTTCGCTCTTGTTGCTCAGGCTGGAGTGCAATGGCGCAATCTTGGCTCACTGTAACCTCCGCCTCCCAGGTTCAAGCGATTCTTCTGCCTCTGCCTCCCTAGTAGCTGGGATTACAGGTGCCTGCCACCACATCCAGCTAATTTTTATTTTTTTTAAGTAGAGATGGGGTTTCACCATGTTGGCCAGGCTGGTCTCGAACTCCTGACCTCAAGTGATCTGCCCACCATAGCCTCCCAAATTGCTGGGATTACAGGCATGAGCCATGGCTCCCAGCCGCCCATTTTTATTTTTCATTTTTTATAGAGACAGGGTTTTGCCATGTTGCCCAGGCTGGTCTCAAACTCCTGGGCTTAAATGATCTGCCAGTCTTGGCCTCCCAAAGTGTTGGGATTACAGGCATGAGCCACCATGCCAGCCTTTGAAGTCCTTTTAAGGACTTTCTGTAAGAGCCCTTGACCACAGCTGATAGGTGTTTAAGAAACGTTTGTGGGATGAATGAATGATCTCTTCCAACTCCCACTTTCCAAGAGTATATCATTCTAAGCACTCAGTTTCATTCTGCTTAGGCATGTTCTGAAGACAGAAACAAAGATCCACAGGAGAAACGCCTGTCTGCATGTTACAGGCACCCACACACAGGCCTTCTGACTGCCTTTCCTTTGACATACATAGGTTTTTCAAGCCCCTACTATGTGCTAGGCACTGGGGGTATGGTGATGAGCAGGATGACCCTTCCCTGCCTCCATGGAGCATATGGTCTAGCAGTACTGGGCAGAGACTTGTGCCAGACCTGGGGGTGCAGCAGGGCACAGATACAACCCTGTTGTCGGGGCCACATTGTGACTTTCATGGGTCTTGGACACTTTGCCTTCATGTGTCCCTTCTTCAATTAGAAAGTATTTTAAAATATTTGCCACTGTGTTGTGAATCCACGTTGGATTCATTGCTATATATTAATTCTTATTATATTCCTTTTTCTCTTCCGATTTAAAAAGATATGAACATTAAACCATTTTTATGGACTACTAAATGTATTGTGGGCCTTGATACTGTGCCTAATGGGTAAATTGGCCCAGCCTGCAGCTCAGCTTTACCCACCAGATAATACAAAATATAAGGTGGCTGTCACCAAGCATATGTTTCCGAAAGAGAGGCTGTAGGATGGCAGAAGTAGAAGAGGTTAGAGAGGGCTCAAGGGGAGATGGCAGGAGCAGAGCCCTAAGGGGGTGAACAGGACTGAATCGATGGAGCACAAAAGGCATCTGGACTGGGGAGAGATCCTGAGAGGGGACAGATAGGGATGGAGGAGCATGCAGGAAGTGCACAGAGAGCAGAGGCAGCTGGAGTTCCAGTGCCCTCAAAACTGGCCCTGGGGGTCATTCGGGGTCTTACCAGCCACCCCACCCCACTCGCGTACCTAATCTCTCCCACTGTCTCTCATAGGGATGTTGAGGTGGGTGAACCCTTAGATAGCCACCAGACCAAGCACTGTTTATTGAGCACCAACTAGAACCAGGCACATGAAACACTTACTCATTATCTCATTTTATAGAAGAGAAAACCAGGGTTCAGGGAGTTAAGTAACTTGTGCACAAACAGCTAGGAAGAGGCAGCGCTGGATTCATATGCAGGGCTGTCTGACCAGAGCTCCGAGCTCCTGCCACTCTGCCATACCCTCCCTCTGAGGGGCTGAAGGAGCCCCACACAGTCATCCCGCAGATGGAAAGACTAAGGCCCAGAGAGGAGACAGGATTGGTTCAGTATCACAGGAGTTTTTCAACAGAATTGGGAATGGAACCCAGGTATCCTGGCTCCATCCCCATGCCCCTGCCAGCAGCTGGGAAGATCTAGTGCCTTCTGAATGATCACACTGGTGTCATCTGACCTTCCCAGCCTCTCAGCCTCAGAAAACACAGAGCTCATTTCCACAAGGACCTTGTTCCCTTCCTGGCCAGTACTTCGTATCCCACTTCTCCAGACAGGTTCCTAAAGACGAGGTTTCTTGGAGTCAGAGGGAGAGACTCCTTTCTTGGGAGGTTCTCAGAGAGCTGGGGGGCCTTTCTTCCTGTTGTTCTCCCAACCCCTACTCCTTGCCTGAGGGGCAGGCTCAGCAGGGACAGAATAGGCCCCTCTGTGTCCCAAACCCATCCCTCCAATTCAAGAAGCACCTGCCTCCCAGGCGGGCTGTGCAGATGTTATCATGGGCATGAGCTGACTCACCCTTGCGACATCTAAGCCCGCTGGGCAGGAACGCAGCTTTGGGCGCCACAGTCTTCCAGGACTATAGACACACCGAGACAGTCCCCGGGTGGGGCAGCAGGAAGGGCGGGGGGCTCCATGCTGTGTCCCTTGGGTGGAGGTGCAATAAGGATGATAAAGGGTTGGGAGGGGTCCTCAAATAGCATTTGGATTCGTGGGTGGAAGTGACAGGGCAGAGATCTATTCAATCCAAGACGTAATCGCAGTCAGTGCTGCCCATCTCTCCAGAGTGTGGAAGTAGAGGCTGTGCAGGGATGTTGGGAGGATTTCACATACCAGATAGATATGCAGGAATTTATGGCTGTACGGACTGGAGTACTTTAGGAAGCCCTACACCTCTTGCTCTTCTCCTTTTCTCTTCTCTTCTCTTCTCTTCTCTTCTCTTCTCTTCTCTTCTCTTCTCTTCTCTTCTCTTCTCTTCTCTCTTCTCCTCTCCTCTCCTCTCCTCTCCTCTCCTCTCCTCTCCTCTCCTCTCCTCTCCTCTGTTCTTTTCTTTTCTTTTCTTTTCTTTTCTTTTCTTTTCTTTTCTTTTCTTTTCTTTTCTTTTCTTTCTTTTTAAGACAGAGTTTCGCTCTTGTTGCCCAGGCTGGAGTGCAGTGGTGCGATCTCAGCTCACCGCAACCTCCGCCTCCCAGGTTCAAGTGATTCTCCTGCCACAGCCTCCCAAGTAGCTGGGATTACAGGCATGTGCTACCATGCCCGGCTAATTTTGTATTTTTAGTAGAGATGGGATTTCTCCATGTTGGTCAGGCTAGTCTCCAACTTCCGACCTCAGGTGATCCACCTGCCTCGGCCTCCCAAAAAGTTCTGGGATTACAGGCATGAGCCACCGCAACCAGCCAGCTCTTCTCATTTTCTAGGGAGGCAACATGACTGAGTGGAAGGAAAGATCATAAATTTTGAAGGCAAAAAGTCCCTGTTTAAATTTCTGGTTTTCACCACTTGCTAGCTAAATAACCCTTCACCTCTCTGTGACTTAGTTTCCTCTTCTGTAAACGGGGATAGAAACAACTAGAAGATTCTGTTGTGAGAGTTAAGTAAGATGATGTATATAAAGGTCCTGGCAACAAAAGAGTTTCTCTTCCCATTTTACAGGGGGAGGAAACAGAGTTTTGGAGTTGTTATGCGTCCTACCTGCCCAAGGTTAAATGGCTGGTAGCCACAATCGATTTAGAATCAGAACACAATTGGGCACAGTGGCTCACGCCTGTAACCCTAGCACTTTGGGAGGCCGAGGTGGGCAGATTGCTTGAGTCCAGGAGTTCAAGACCAGCCTGGCCAACGTGGGAAAACCCTGTCTCTACCAAAAAAATACAAAAATTAGCTGGGTGTGGTCCTGCAAACCTGTGGTCCCAGCTGCTCAGGAGGTTGAGGTGGGAGGATTGCTTGAGCCTGGAAGGCAGAGGTTGCAGTGAGCCAAGATTGCACCACTGCACTCCAGCCTGGGTGACAGAGGGAGACCCTATCTCAAAAAACAAACAAAAGAACCAGAACCCAGGTCTCCTTTATCCAAGGGGGATGTAGCTTATCTGTCTAATCCCACTTACTGAGCACTTACAACGTGCCTGAACTGAGTGATGTCCCACTGAGTAGCTAGCTGCTCTATAACCAGGTACAATGAGCTGCATCCTAGTCTCGAATGATTATACCAGTTGCTCAGGGTCTCACAAGTGAAGAACTGGAATTTCAATTCAAGTCTGAGTCCCAAGCCCATACTCTTAACCAGGAGTTGGTAAATTATTGCCTGTGGGCCAAATCCTACCCACAGCTTATTTTTGTGAATAAAGTTTTATTGAAAACAGCCATGCTCATTTGTTTATGTATTGTCCCTGACTGCTTTTGAACTAGAATAGTAGAGCTGACTCACTGCAAACAGACGCTGGGACTCACAAAGTTGGAAATATTTGCTCTCTGGCTATTTACCAAAAACATTTGCCTACGCCTACTTTTAATCACCATTTTATAGCCTTTTCTTAAGAATTTTAAAATAGTATCTGCTTAACACTAAGACACATTTTCAGGCAGGAGGTAGGTAAGTATTCAGAATGACTCCTGGGATACATAGAGATTCCATTCCTGCCTGGTGTGTCTTTCCCGCTTCCTTCGTCTCCCTCTAAGCAGATCTTGGTCAAGGGGATGTGCCAGGTGAAATAAACACAAAGGCAGTGTGCCAAGCATGTTAATAGACCCCTGGGTTTTGCATTTGTATGCTATGATAGAATCAGGGGAATTTTATTTTTTATTTAACAATTTTTTATTATTTTAAATGATTTTTAATTTTATTACTTCTTGATTGATACTTACATTTTTGTTTTGTTTTGTTTTGTTTTGTTTTGTTTTGAGGCAGAGTCTCGCTCTGTTGCCCAGGCTGGGGTGCAGTTATAGCTCGCTGTAACCTCAAACTCCTGGACTCAAGCGATCCTCCTGCCTCAGCCTCACAAGTAGCTGGGACTATAAGCATGGGCCACCACGCCAGGTTTTGGTTTTTATTTATTTTTCTTTTGTAGAGTCAGTTTCGCTACGTCGCCCAGGCTGATATCAAACTCCTGGCCTCAAGTGATCCTCCTGTCTTGGTTTCTCAGATATTTACTGTTTTTAAACTAATGCTATTTATGCCGGATGTGGTGGTTCATGCCTGTTATCCCAGCACTTTGGGAAGTTGAGGCAGGAGGATTGTTTGAGCCCAGGAGTTTGAGACCAGCCGGGGAAAAATAGTGAGACCTCATCTCTACTAAAAATTAAAAAAAAAAAAAAAATAAGATGTGGTGGCAAGCATCTGTCACCCCAGCTACTTGAGAGGCTGAGGCAGGAGGACAGGAGTATTGCTAGAGCCTGGCAGGTTGAGGCTGCAGTAAGCTATGATTGAGCCCCTGCACTTCAGCCTGGGCAACAAAGCAAGATCCTGTTTGAAAAAAAAAAGCTATTTATTATTACTGTATCAGAACTATATCTTTTCTCCTTTTAAATATATGATCTACACTATGAATGTATAAAACCTCAGGAACTCTTCCTTCCCCAAATGGACAAGCAAGATTTTTAGCCATAACCAAGGAGATAGATTTTGATACACAGGGATTAAGGGAACAGACCTATCGAACAAAAAAAGATGTGGTCTCAATGAGTCTGAGCAGAAAGAGCACTGGACTGGGAGTCAAGGGACCTTGCTTCTAAATGCAGCTTCATCTGTGTGATTTGGGTTTCTCATAGCCGTCCTATTCCTGTTTCCCCTTATATAAAATAAACTTATGGGGCCAGATGACTGCTAATGGCTTTTCCTAGTGTGCTATTGTATTTTCATAAAAACCTACCAAAATAAAACCGTTGGGGGTAGTTTTGCCTAGAGGCAGAGGCTTAACAGAGATGACCTCTGACCCCGCGACTGGATTCTCTGTTCTGAATCTAGCAATTCCTTTGGGAAGGATTCCTCTGGGGATGGTCTTCATGTACCAGGCACCTTACCAATCATTTCTGGTTGTGTCACAGGATACAGGACTCTTTTATCAGAGGAAGGGGGATTTAGGTCTGATGAGGGTAGAGTGTTTCTGGCTGGGGCAGCGGGCCAGAGGACGCCACAGTTGGTCTCTATAATGGGAAGGAGGTGGAAGCCGAGGGAAACGGAGACTGACCTGTCATCTCTCCTTGGCCTCGAGATGGCTCTATCAGAGTGCTGGGGGGCAGCACAGGAAGGACATGTCATCACTGTGAGGGGCGCGGGGTCCCCACCTTCCAGCTAATCTCCATCACCAGTACCCAAAGTGAAAACACTGGCCTTTAATATCACTTCTTACAATTTGATAGGCAAAAGATAATTTTATTTTTTTAATTTGCTTCTATTTGATCCTTCTAAGATTTAACTATTTTTTTTGTTTCACTATTTGTATTTTTACTTCTGTAAATGGATTATTTGTGGCCTTTGCTTTTTTTTTTCTAGAGCAGTATTCGTCTTGTTACTTTTGAGTTTTTGAGGTTACATACTTAATATATAAATATGTCTTTTGTTTTGTCAAGCTTGCACCAAAGCAAACAAAAGCGAATGTAACAAGAAAACTTAGAAAATAGCCTTCCTGGGGCTGGGCGAGGTGGCTCACGCCTGTAATCCCAGCACTCTGGGAGGTCGAGGAAGGTGGATCACCTGAGGTCAGGAGTTCAAGGCCAGCCTGGTCAATGTGGCGAAACCCCATCTCTACTAAAAAATACAAAAATTAGTCAGGTGTGGTGGCAGGCACCTATAATCCCAGCTACTCAGGAGGCTGAGGCAGGGAGAATTGCTTGAACCTGGGAGCAGAGTTTGCAGTGAGCCGAGATCACACCATTGCACTCCAGCCTGGGTGACAGAATGAGACTCCGTCTCAAATATAAAATAAAATAAAAAAAGAAAGAAAGAAAATAGCCTTCCCTTTCTTCCTCTGCAGTTGGTAACTGCTATCACTTTTTCTGTACTTATACAAACATTCAAATATAAATTATATAATTATGTAAATTATATATAATTTTATGTATATAATTGTATGTTTATGTATATATATACACACACATTTTTTCCTTTTTATAAAGGTAGAAACATACCTTATCTTTTAACCTGAATTTTGTTTTGGGTTTGTTTTGAGACAGGGTCTTGCTCTTTCGCCCAGACTGGAGTGCAGTGGCATGATCATGGCTCACTGCAGCCCTGCCCTTCAGGCTCAAGCTATCCTCTCACCTTAGTTAGCCTCCAGAGTAGCTGGGACTACAGGCACAGGCTACCACGCCTGCCTAATTTTTATGTTTTTTGATAGAGACAGGGTTTCACCATATTGCCTAGGCTGGTCTCCATCTGGGCTCGAGCAATCCACCTGCCTCGGCTTCCCAAAGCGCTGGGATTACAGGCGTGAGCCACAGTGTCCAGCCTGAAATTTGTTTTTTCAAAATCCTTTTTTTTTTTTTTTACAGGGCCTTGCGATCTTGGGTCACTACAACCTCCGCCTCCTGTGTTCAAGTGATTCTTGTGTCTCAGCCTCCCAACTAGCTGGGACTACAGATGCGTGCCACCACACCTGGCTTATTTTTCTATTTTTTGTAGAGATGGGGTTTTGCCATGTTGGCCAGGCTGGCCTTGAACTACTGACCTCAGATGATCCACCCGCCTCGGCCTCCCAAAGTGCTGGGATTTCAGGCATGAGCCACCATGCCCGGCCAAAATTCTACATTTTAAACTGAACTAGCCCTCTCTTAGATTTTTATCCCTGTTCTCCATTTTACAAACTCTTTCTTGTCCTCACTTCAAGAGTTAGGCAAGCATCATTAGGCCAATTTTACAGGTTAGGGAAATGGAAGCTCAGGGAGGAAAAGAAATGCTTTGGCACTGGGATTAAAACCCTGGACACCTGATGCTGTAGGAGCTTCCTTCTCTATGTGAGTGAATGAGACTTCTGCCCCTAAAGTCACCCCTCCTGAGGTACATAGGCTGGAGTTTTGGGGTGGAGTAGGGTGGTGGGAGAGAGAAAGTGTAAGCACTAAGAGAGTGAAGGAAGAGAAATTCACAGTAACCCCAAAGTTCCATTCATTCAGTCCCTGATGTGCTAGGTGACCTTGGGGCAAGATGTTTGCCCAACCTGGTCTCCCTGTGCTCACCTGTGAAATGAAGGCTTTGGCCTAACCAGAGGATTTCAAACAATGCCCTTTGGGGCCCTAGGGGAGCCCCCACATGTTATAGCTCCTCAAAAATGAACACAGAGAGGCATATTCAGGGACACTTGTGTTTGTGTTGGTGAAAAGGTATTATTATTATTATTTTTTGAGATGGAGTCTTGCTCTGTCGCCCAGGCTGGAGCGCAGTGGCGTGATCTTGGCTCACTGCAAACCCTGTCTCCCGGGTTCAAGTGATTCTCCTGTCTCAGCCTCCTGAGTAGCTGGGATTACAGGCACGTGCAACCATGCCTAGCTAATTTTTTTATTTTCAGTAAAGATGGGGTTTCACCATGTTGGCCAGGCTGGTTTCAAATTCCTGACCTCAAGTGATCTGCCCGCCTTTGCCTCCCAAAGTGCTGGGATTATAGGCATGAGCCACCACGCTCGGCCCAAAAAGTTATTAATAGAAGCAATTGACATATCCACCAGGAGTGGGTGGGTTAAATGCATTGAATCATTCATTTATTCATCTCTTCATTCATTCATTCAGTAGTTATTGAGTAACTATTGCCAGGCCCTGTTTTAGACATTGGGAATCAGTGGTGAACAAAATAGACCAAGTTTCCACTCTCTTGGAGCTTACCTGGAAGGCAGGTCCACCCTGTCTTGAGCTGCATTCCAGGTAGGTGAAAGGTGACAGATCCCGGTGTCCCAGCATGGGTGGGTCTCCAGGCCCCAGGAGTGAGTGGTGGAAGGAAGGTGCCACACCCAGTGTGAGATGACTCCTTTAATAAAATCCCATTTCCTACAGGACAAGTCTGTGTGTGTCAGTCTCTGGGTAGACAGGCATATGAAGAGGTGCTGTGGAAGTGTTGGGGATACATCCCCAAATGATGGTGTGACCTTTGGAAAGAGAGGGGAATAGATTAGGATGAGACTTGTCTAGAGCATTTTAACTTCATCAGCATGTTTTTTTTTTAAAATAAGGAAGACACATTCAAGTATTGTTGGCAGTTAAAATAATTTTTTTAAAAATTTAAAATAAACTTAGGTCCAGAGAGAAGGGAAGGACAAAAATAATAGGTTTCAATTTCTTGGAGTCCTTCAAAATCTAACATGGTCAGGTTCTACCCAAAGTTAGGAAGCATCTCAGTTTGGGGATCAGAGATTTTAAATTAAACAAACCCATGTTTATTATTGCCTGAGTCCAAGAGCAAGCCTGGCCTCCCCATCTAGGCAGCAGCCACTACTTTCAGCCACACAGCAGGTTTCCTCCTTAGCTACTTAGAATCCTGCCTCAGCAGAGCTGGAAGGGAACACCTCCCCCAGTGCTTATTTTGCAAATGGGGAAACTGAGGCTCAGATATTGTGACTTTTTAATTTGCCAAGGGCTCAATTAATGACAGGGCCTGAATTACAAACTGGGAAGGAAGCCTGCCCTGCTTCCAGATTCTGGCAGTTGGGAGGAGGAAAGGAGAGGAGGGGAGAGGGGGTGCCATCTTCCCCTCTCCCACTGGAAGCTCCAGTGATGGGTCCTGGTGTTCAGCACATGCTGAAAGGAAGCCTTGTCAACATGGAAGGAGATCAAGGCAGCCGGGGGGGTGCTGAAACCTCCTGTCGGGTCCAGCATCTCTGAGGAGATAGGGATGCCTCTGCCGCTGCCTCCACCCCCTCCTTGAGCTCTCTCCTCTCGAATTCCGAGGGGCTTTGGAATCACTAGACTGTCTCCCGCTCCCAGGAAACCCCAGGCTTCTGTGGAGCCAGGAGGCTGGCCATCCATCATTCTTATCTCCTGGCTGTGGCGGCCCCAGGTCCCTGGCCTGGATGGGCCCAGGGGGCCAGGAGGGGCTGGGGGGGCATCGATAACAGGAAAAGCAGCTGTCCCCTGGGGGAACTTCAAAGTGCCTGGAGCTGAAATTTATGTGCAGAGGAGCTTACATTAGGGGCCAGTGCGCCATTCTTTCCACAAATATTTATTGAGTGCCTACTGTGTGCCAGGCACTGGGTTAGGGGACTCTTATGGAACCAGAGATTTCGTTGTTTGTTGGGTTATATGTCTACCTCAGTAGGCTAGGTTTGATGCATGGATCAATTCAATGATTCATTAAGTATTATTAAACACCCACTGTATGCTGGCTGTTTCTGGAGACCCAAGACTGCTGGAATGGTTAATTGAATCTGTGGGCGGGGCTTGATATCTGCTAGCACAGTGGTTAAGAGCTTTGGAGTCAGGCAGACTGGGTCTCAGCTTTCTCAGCTGTAAAACGGGGATAAGAATAGCACCTACCCGGTAAGGGCTTGGGAGAAGAGGAAATGAAACGAGATATTCTAGGTGAGAAACTTAGCCCACTCCCAGCAGATGGTGCTCTCACAGCAATAGCAGAGATTTTTGTGACTGCAGTGGATTGACATATGTATTTGTTTATTTAATATTTATTTAGTACCTGCTATGTGCTGTGCCTCTAGGAGAGACGACCAGGCGGTTTGACTTGGGAGGGTTTGCAAGAGTCTCTTTCTTTTCCTGCGAGTCTCTCCTCAGCTGGGGCTTTGAGGTCGAGACCCTTGGAGTCTGGAGGTGAAAGGGATTTGAGAAGTTGCCAAGTTCAGTGCCTCCCCTGAGCTCTGTGCAAAAGCTCCTCTTTAACTTCTGCTATCTCGTCATCCAGCCTCTGCTTTCATCCTGGAGTGGGCGTCTTCCTCCCTCCCCAGGCAGCCTGGGAGGAAGACCTTTCTTCCTTGGAGTTGTGGTCTGCCTTCTGCAGTTTTCCTCATTAGCCTCCTGGCTCTGTTCTCTGGGCCTCCCCCAAACTCTCTGAGCATCAGTTTATTCATCTATAAAATGGGAATATTAGTAGTTCCTATCCTGTAAGGTTATTGTGAGGATAAAATGAGATAAAGATTGTAAAGCATTTGGCACAATGTCTGTACAGTGTCTTTAATAAGCAGTAGCCAATAATGACAAATAATGATAGTTTTGGGAATCAATAAAACAGGAACAAGAAAGAGAAGAAGGAAGAAAGAAAAAGGAGAAGGAAGAGAAGGAGGAGAAGGAGATGAAGGAGAAAGAAAGGCTGTCAGAGCTGGACCTTCTGAGGTGGAAAGCAGTTCTCCGTTTTGGGGGATCCTAAATTTGGCAAGGGAGAGCGCACAGGAGTTCCAAGGATGCTTTCCAGCTCTGATATCCGAGTAAACGTAAAAGGGACGGAAACATGGTGTTATTGCGTTCTTCTCCAGCCAGCGTTGGTGTTGCTACCATGTCCATTTCACACATGAGCAAGCCAAGGCCCTTGAAAGTGAAATGGTTTGTTCAAGGCTTGGAGCTAGGGAGTGCTGAGCATTGCCAAGGACTGTTGTCTCTCCTCCCCTCCCCAAGGCAGCAGTGGGGAGCTCCCCACAGACAGTGTGATATGCTGAATGGTGTCGCCCGCCACCGCACCAAATTAATATGTTGAAGCCCTGCCTTAGTCTGTTCAGGATGGCATAGACTGGGTGGCTGAAACTACAGACTTTTGTTTCTCCAAGTTCTGGAAGCTGAGAGGTCCACATTAAGGCACTGGCAGATTCAGGGTCTGGTGAGGTCCGCTTCTGGTTCATGGACGACCATCTTGCTGCGTCCTCTCATGGTGGAAGGGCTGGAGGAACTCCCCGGGGTCTCTTATGTGGGGGCACTAACCCCATCCAGGAGTGCTCTACCCTCTTGACCTAATCGCCCCCCAAAGGCCCCATTTTCTCATCCCATTAAAATGAGGGGTAAAGTTCAACATCTGAATTTGAGGGGGGACACACTATTCAGTCCAGTGCCTCAGAATGTGCCTTTATTTGGAGCTAGGGTCTTCATAGAGCTAATCAAGTTAAAATGAGGTCCTCAGTGTGGGCCTCAATCCAGTACGACTGGAGTCCTTATAAGAAGGGGAAGTTTGGACACAGAGATATGCATAGAGGGAAGATGATGTCGAGACCCAGGAAGATGAGGGGAAATCAGGAAACACAGGGAGAAGCAGCCTACAAGCTGACGAGAGAGGCCTCAACAGATCCTTTTCTCACAGCCCTCAGAAGGAACCAACATTGCCAACATATTGGCCTCAGATTTTTATCCTCCAGAACGGTGAGAACTGTGGTTTAAGCCTTCCAGTCTGGGGTACTTTGTCACAGCAGTCATAAGAACCGGTACAGAGAGTGTGGAGCCCCCGGACAGCCTGTGCAGTGAGCACTGAGGGGGTCCCTTGAAGCCTGCCAGCCCTGCCTGCCCCTGAGGGAGAGGCAGGTGCGTGGTGTGAAGACACTTGACTCCTTTGCAGAGCCCGGGGATGCTGGGCCGAAGCCGGGAGACGGAAAGGCAAGCCCTCGCCCTGATCTTTTCCCTCATGTGGCTCTCTGAGAAGGGAAGACACATTTTCCTGGTGCCTCCTCATGGAAGTCCTGCTGGATCAACCTCACCTGCTGCTGGGGAGGCTGCCATCCTTCAGGAAGACCTGCCAGCCTCAACCTCCCTGAGGCTGGGGATTTGTTAGAGATTCTGAAAATTATCAAGCTGGCTATGTCCATTTCCTCCTCTTTCTGTGATCTTTTTCTTCCTCCCCACATTATTTATTTATTTATTTATTTTGAGACAGAGTCTCACTCTGTTGCCCAGGCTGGAGTGCAGTGGTGCGATCTTGGCCCACTGCAACCTCTGGCTCCCAGGTTCAAGTGATTCTCCTGCCTCAGCCTCCTGAGTAGCTGGGATTACAGGCACGTGCCACCACACCCGGCTAATTTTTGTATTTTCAGTAGAGATGGGGTTTCGCCATGCTGGCCAGGCTGGTCTCAAACTCCTGATGTCAGGTGATCCACCCACCTTGGCCTCCCACAGTGTTGGGATTACAGGTGTGAGCCACCGCGCCTGACCATTTCTTCCTCTTTTTCATTTTTCTTCTTTCCTCCTGGCTGTGCTCTGCAAATCCCCACCCTCCTCCACATCTCACTCCAAAACTGCTTTCTCCCAGCTCCCCCTTCGCCCAGGACACCCTCACCTGGTGGCTCTGCAGCAAAGCCCAAGGCTGCCTTGGAGACGGAGGCAGGAGAAGTCTAAGCTCGCTACCTTGGAGCTGAGAAGAAATTATCCAGAGCTGGTTTCTCCTCCCACCTTCTAAAGAGCCCTGCCCTTGTCCCTGGCCTGGATACATGATTATATTTTGCTTTAATTGCATTAAAGCAAATGACTGTGTCCCCCTGTGGTTTCGATCAGGTCAGGGATTTGATAATCGATCGTGGCACAGTTTAGACAGGAGTCACTTTGAAGCTGTTTTTAGCAGGATAAGAACAAACAATGTTTCCAAAGTGGCCACATTAGGCAAACATGCTGGTGGGTCATCTTTTGGGGAGAGAGTGTGCCCTGGCTCCAGGCAGCCTGCTGACTGGACCCCCAGGCCCCTGGAGAGGGGTGTGGACTACTCTCTCTGGACAGTAAGAAACTTTAAGTAGAGATACCGTAGCTTAGGCCTCCCATGATGTGAAACCTGGTCCAGGTGCCTTTTCCAGAAAGCCAGTCTTGACTGATACCACCTGGCTCACCTAAAGGTAGCGTAGTTTAGTGTGAGATGTTCTGTCCTGGAGATGGAAGAAAGGTCAAATTCACACAAGGCAATGCAAAAGGTAGACTCATATCCTGCAAAATTATTCTCTCTTCAATATTCTTTCAATCCTTTAAATTTCATTAAAAGGAAAGCCTCAGTGTGGTGCTAGTCTGTTTTATGTATTTAAATAAATACACACATTTAGAGACAGGGTCTGGCTCTGTTGCCCAGGCTGGAGTGCAATAGTACAATCACAGCTCACTGCAGCCTAGAACTCCTGGGCTCAAGTGATCCTTCTGCCTCAACCTCCTAATTAGCTAGGATGACAGGTGCACACCACCATGCCCAGCTAATTCTTTTATTTTTTTTAAGAGATGGGGTCTGGCTATGCTGCCCATGGTGGTCTCAAACTCTTGGCCTCAAGCAATCCTCCTGCCTCAGCCTTCCAAAGTGCTGGGATTATGGTGCCAGGCCTAGTTTGTCTTTAATACCTCTCTAATGTTTGCTAATCTCCCCTCCTAACAAAGAGGGCAGGCCTAGGGATCTGCAGGTGAAGATTTAGCTAGATTTTAATAACACTGTTTTCAATGAATGTATTTTCTACAATGAAAATACATCTTTCAAATGATACTAGTTTTCCCTTTATGGAAAGTGAACCGTTGTTCAAGTACAATTAAGGCAAAAATTCTGAAGGATGGATGTTAAGGAGACAGTGATGTGGGGCTCTTTCACACACAGATCTGATGCTACCTCTCCATTTACCCGCTGTGTGGCTTCTGGAAGACTGCTCTGCTCTCTGAGCCTCGGCTTCTCTGTGTAAAATGAAGTCAATGATTCTGCTGTGTAGAGTTGTGGTGTGGACTTTCTGAGAGCATGTCGGCGTGCAAGGCATCTGGATGGTGCTTAGCATAGAGTCTGCACTCTGCCTGGTGGCCCTGTCATCCTTATAGGGGCTGCTGCTTTTCCCAGCCATTCACAGAGCCTTTGCTAGTCCCACAGTTGAAACTGACTAAGCTCTGGGCTTCTGTGGAAACAAAAGGAACCTGGAGCCCCCAGCCATGCTCTGGCTCGAGCTCCCTGGCTTGGGGCCTGCCCCTTCCCCTCGTGGGGTTCACTTTCCTCATCTGTCAGCAGCAGCTCTGACCAAATGCTTTCCAAGCTCCCTTGCAGCTCTGACTTAAGAGTATTTTGAGCAATAAGCAGGGAGTGACAATTCCATGGGAGAAGAATCTCGACTTTACCAAATGTATTGTGTGCTCCTCTCAACTTGCAAGCTGGTGCATGGACCAGCAGCATCAGCCTTGTGGGAGAGTGTTAGAAGTGCATGCTCAGGCCCCAGTCAGCCTTCCTGAATCAGAATCTGCATTTTAACAAGATTTCCACATGGTTTGTATGCAAATTACACACCCAGTCTGAAATGAGAATTTAAGAAACTTTTAGATCTTCACAGATAGTGGTATACTTTCTAAGGATTTTAAAAAACAGTAAACATGAGCATTGGCACCATGGTGAGACCTCATCTCTACAAAATTAAAAAATTAGCTGGGCATGGCGGTGTTTGCCTTTGGTCCCAGCTAGTCTGGAGGCTGAAGTGGGAGGATCACTTGAGCCCAGGAGGTTGCGGCTGCAGTGAGCTGTGCTCACACCACTGCATTCCAGCCTGGCCGACAAAGTGAGATCCTGTCTCAAAAAGACAAAAAAACCCCACCCCCAAATACTGAGCATGTATGCAATTTCCTCCCCTGCTCCAAAACAATAAAGCTGTCGCAAAACTATTGAACTGAGTTAACCTAGTTAAGAGAGAAAATTATGTATGTAAATCTGATGAATGGCTTTTTTTTCAGGGAATTTTCTTTCCATGTAAATTAAGCTCTCCCACTTTCCATGGGTTATTTGGCCTCTTCCCAGTGAGTGCCTCCCTCACACCTGACTCCTGGAGGGTGAAGCCTGTGTGTGTGTGTGTGTGTGTGTATGTGTGTGTGTGTATGTGTGTGTGTTTTGGCTGAGTGTCTGTGTCTTGCAGCTGATCCACAAAACGGGGTCTTTAGCTAAGTCAGCAAAACTTCCTGGAAATAAACTAGATTCCTAAGGGCTTCAGGGTGAGCTCAGAGGGAGCAGGGGGAACCCCATCACTGATAAACCGAAGCGGCGTGTTCTGTTGTGTGGGCGAGCGAGGCATCCTGGCCTCCTAGTCGGGCCTTTCTCCTGGATGGCTTCCTGCTTCTTCCTTCACATCCAGCCTCCAACCTGGCCTCTCTTTCTCCTTGTCTCCAAGATGAAAGCCCCAGACAGTGGGCCATCTACTTTGAAGAATTTATCCCAAAGAAGTAATCATGATGTCGCCAAATATCTTCTCACAAGATTGTTTATCATATGCAGTTGATAAAAGTGAAGATGCCAGAAAAAAAAATTTAAGTGTCTAAGAATAGGGGCCTGAAGCTGCTTAGAAATGTTATTTTAGTACTACAGACAACGTCCAGTAGCGCTTACGCCCAGGAGTCCACAGATCTGAACTCCAGTGATATTTTAAGTCTATTTAATTTCTCTAAGCCTCAGTTTCTCAGCTATAAATTGGGGATGAAAATGAAACCAAATTCATTTTCTTGTGTTGAGTATCAAACAAGGATGCATGGGAATTGTTTAACACTGTGCCTGGTGCGTGGTAAGCAGTTGGTAAATGTCAGTTTGCTGTGCTGCTGTTCAGACATAGAAATGTTGTAGTCTGGGTGTGGGCTCACACCTGTAATCCCAGCATTTTGGGAGGCTGAGGCGGGTGGATTACCTGAGGTCAGGAGTTTGAGACCAGCCTGGCCAACATGGTGAAACCCTATCTCTACTAAAAATACAAAAATTAGCTGGGTGTGGTGGCATGCACCTGTAATCCCAGCTACTCGGGAGGCTGAGGCAGGAGAATCGCTTGAACCTGGGAGGTGGAGGTTGCAGTGAGCTGAGATGGCACCACTGTATTCCAGCCTGGGTGACAGAACAAGGCTCTGTCAAAAAAAAAAAAGGTGTAGATAAATATTAATTATATGAAAAGATATTTGTGACACAGGAAAAGTGAAAAAAACATTATAACTCAGCATGATCCATTTGGTAAGCATATGTGTATCTATTTGCATTTAAAATGGAATGGAACAGTGGATATAAAGTAGAGCTATGGTACTAAAGGAATGAGAAGCTGCCGGCCACTCCATAACCCTTCTTCAGGCTCGCTCCTATCATCTCTGCTGGGAAAAATCAGACTTGGACCGATCTTTGATAATGACACTAAAATATAAAACAAAAGTGGTATCTGTGAAGTGCTTACTTAGAGTCAGGCACTTTCTAGGTGTCCCAGATAGTTTATTCTTCACAGCTACCTATGAGGTGGATACTATTAGTATTCCCATTTTATGGATGCGGCAACTGAGATAGAGAGGGGGCTGATTAGTAATTTGCCTAAGGTCTCACAGCCAGAAAGAGGTTAGAGAGGGAGTCAAACCCAGGATCTTTTTTTTTTTTTTCTGAGACAAGGTGTCGCTCTGTCGTCCAGGCTGGGGTGCAGTGGTGCAATCTTAGCTCACTGCCACCTCTACCTCCTGGGTTCAAGTGATTCTCCTGCCTCAGCCTCCTGAGTAGCTGGGATTACAGGCGTGTGCCATCGCACTGGCTAATTTTTTGTATTTTTAGTAGAGACGGGGTTTCATCATGTTGGCCAGGCTTGTCTCGAACCCCTGACATCAAGTGATCCCCCAACCTCAGCCTCCCAAAGTGCTAGGATTACAAGTGTGAGCCACCACACCTGGCCCAAACCCAGGCTTTTAATCACTATGCTATAGCACCTCTCAGGTGCCTCATTTTACAAATGAGGAAACTGAGGCCCAGAGATGCAGAGTGTGTGGCCCAATGCCACACAGTGAAGCAGTGGCAAAGCAGGCACTAGGACTCAGGCATCCAGATGCCAGGCTTTGAGGCTCCTCGGTGCCCCCATTGGGCAGGCCCTCGGGCTGTGTGGAGGGCACCTGGGCAGCCCGAGTCTCCACTCCTCCGCAGCCTGTTGGCAGAGAAGCCAGGAAGGGGAGCAAAGAAGGTAGTTCATGAAACGCCTGCTCCCTCAGCCCCAGGGCACTGCGCCCTGCTCTAAATCCTGTGTAATTTAAGGCAAATGTAATCCATATGGCTCTGATTCATTTACACTTAAATCTTCAAAATATTGTGTTTTAAGAGCTGTGACTTACAAAGCCTTCAGAACCTGTTAAATAAGATTCAGCTTCCCTGTCCCTCCTCCCCTCCCACCCCCAGTCCAGCCTCTCTCCCCTTCCCCCATCTCAACTGAGGTGCACAACAGCATCTGGCAGGCAGTAAAGAAACTCAAGTTCAGACTTGGAAACTTGCAGTCATCAGGATGTTTAAAGTGGCACTATTTGTAAACCTAAAAAATTGGAAACAATTTAAACGTCCATCAAATTCATACAATGTAGTACCACACGGTAGTGAAAACAAATAAGACCTTCACATATCAAAATGGATGGATCTCACAGACATATTGCTGAGGAAAAAAACAAGCTGCAGGTTAATTCGTAATGTGATACCAATTATACAAAATTTTGTTTGTTTTTGTTTGTTTGTTTGTTTATTTTTTTGAGACAGAATCTTGCTCTGTTGCCCAGGCTGGAGTGTAGTGGCTCGATCTCAGCTCACTGCAACCTCTGCCTCCTGGTTGAAGTGATTCTCATGCCTCAGCCTTCTGAGTAGCTGGGATTACAGGTGCCCGCCACTACGCCTGGCTAATTTTTTGTATTTTTAGTAGAGACGGGGTTTCCCAAGTGCTGGGATTACAGGCGTGAGCCACCATGCCTGGCCTATTTTTTTTTCTTTTTTCCCTGTGACCCAGGCTGGAGTGCAGTGGCACAATGGTAGCTCACTGCAGCCTCTAACTCCTGGGCTCAAGGGATCCTCCTGCCTTCCAGCCTCCCGAGTAGCTGCAGCTACAGGACCACCTGCACTGGCTTTTTTCATTCTCTATCTCTCTCTTTAATATATATTTAGAGATACATGTAGATAATGTGAGTAGATGGGTGTTTATTATGTTATTTGTCCTTTTTATAATTTTGAAAAAATGCATAACCAAAATTTCAAAAGATCCTAGACTTAGTGTCACCAAAACAAGTTACCTTTTGTATTAACGAGTTCAATTTCCTCATTTCACAGAAGGAAAGAAGGGAGTAATTCAATATTTATTAAATACATAACACTTAATGAATACTTACTAGCCAGGCACGCCCTCATTTCATTAAGCTCCACACCAGCTAATGTAGCATGTGCTGAACAATGCTGACATGGTTTGGATGTTTATCCTGTCCAAATCTCATGTTGAAATATGACCTCCAATATTGGAGGTGGGGCCTAGTGGGAGGTGATTGGATCATGGCGGCAGGTCCCTCATGAATGGTTTAGTGTCATCCCGTGGGTGATGGGTGAGTTTTTGCTCAGTTAGTTCACACGAGATCTGGTTGTTTAAGAGTATCTCACCCCACCCTTGCCCCGCTTGCTCCTGCTCTTGCCAAGTGACCATCTGTTCTCCCTTCGCCTTCTGCCATGATTAGAAGCTTCCTGAGGTTCTCAACAGAAGCAGATGCTGAAGCCATGCTTATTGAGCCTGCAGAACCGTGAGCCAATTAAACCTCCTTTCTTTATAAATTACCCAGTCTCAGGTACTTCTTTATAGCAATACAAAAACATATAATAAAATTATACTGTTGTTTTCATTTTACAGATGAGGAAACAGGCCCAGAAACATCTTCGAGGTCATGCAACTTGTAAACCAAGCTGATTTGTAAGAATACAAATTGCGGCATTCTCTTTCCCAGCCTTACACAGGGGATCGCATTCTGTTGATCTGGGTGTTGTTATTTGTTCTTTCCCTACAGTTCTTTGAATTAGGTTTCATTTTTACCAATTTTACTGATGAAGAAAGCGGCTCAGAGCAGTCAAGTGGCCTGCTAAGGGTTATTCTGGAGTTAATCTGTTGCTCAGGGAGCCTCCTGACTCCTTGCACAGTGCTTTTTCCATATCAGGCTTTGTCTGGAAGAAGATGGCCATGTTTACCATTACATTTTACTCTTTTGAAGTTCTGTGCAATTTGGTTACTTCCAATGGGAATAAAGCCCCACGAATTGCTTTGGCTGGGTCTGGGGCACAGAGCTGTATGGAAGGAGGGAACTTGGTAAACCTTGGGTCTTGTGGTCAAGGGAGCCATCCTCAACTCCACTTTCATTCATGCCCCATATCCACTCTCTATCAGTCACAGTCCCTGCAGGAAAAAGGTGGCACACTCAAACGGGAGAGTTTAATAATTGGACTATACATAACTTTATGGACAGAGTTGAGGAAAAGCAACAGGTTATACTGCAGTCCTCTGGGACTGGAACGAGCTGGGAGCTGTTAGCACCTCGGTCTGGGGGGCCAAGGGTGGAGGCCATTATCCAACCCAGAGGAGCAGCTTTTCTGGAGTGGGCTGCCTGATTCAAGGCGCTCAGCCAAACCAGCAAGGAGGGAGTCAAGGAAGTATACCCCTACCTCACACTCCTCCTGCCTTCAGATCCCTTGCCAGTACTCCTTTTGGCCAAACCAAGTGGGAAACAGAGGGCAAAAGAGATTATTGATGCAGTTCACACAGGTCACCTCCCAGGGCACAGAGCTGGGTGGGAGGAGCTGGACGGTGAGTCCAGAGGGGCAATCAGAGACATCCACGTATCCCGCAGTGGGTCTGGCTTTCCTTCAAACCCCTGCAGACTCTGACCATTTCTTACCATTTGCACAGCTGGTTCCTGGTCTGAGCCACAATCCCCTTCGTTGGATCACTGCAATAGGCTCCCAGCAGGTCTCCCAGCTTCTCCAATCTGTTCTTAACTTAGCAGTCAGAGTCATTCTTGTAAATTGTAAAGTCAGGCCATGTCACTTCTGTGCTCAGTGCCCTCAAAGTAAGAGAAAAAGTCAAAGTCCTTACAATATTCCACAAGGCCCCGCACAATCTGTCATTTCCCCACCATCTCTTGACCTCATGTCCCCATTTTTCTCCATTCCTCACTCTGCTGCAGCCATACTATCCTCTTTTATTTTTTGAGACACAGTCGTCTCCCTCTGTCACCCAGGCTGGAGTGCAGTGGTGCGATCTCGGCTTGTCTGGAAGAAGCCCTCCTGGGTTTAAGTGGTTCTCCTGGCTCAGCCGCCTGAGTAGCTGGGACTACATGCACGTGCCACCATGCCGGGCTAATTTTTTTTTTTTTTTTGTATTTTTAGTAGAGATGGGGTTTCGCCATGTTGGCCAGGCTGGTCTTGAACACCTGACCTCAGGTGATCCACCGCCTCGTCCTCCCAAAGTGCAGGGATTATAGACGTGAGCTACCACACCCGGCCTCCTTTGCTCTTCTTTGAATACACCAAGAAAGTTCATGCTTTAGGGCTTTGCTGATCCCTCTGCCTGGAATGTTCTCCCTCCCTCCTCCATCAAGCCTTTACTCAAGTGTCTCCTGCCCAATGAGACCTACTCTGACACCCCTTTGCAACATTGCAAACTTGCCCTACCTCCACATTCCTGATCCCAATAACCCTGCTCTAATTTTCTTTTCCTCATATCACTTGAAATCTTTTAACATGCCAAACAATTTACTTACTTGTTACTATTTTTTTTTTTTGAGACGGAGTCTCTTGACCTCATGTCCCCATTTCTCTCCACTCCTCACTCTGCCGCAGCCATACTATCCTCTTTTTTTTTTTTTTTTTTTTTTTGAGACAAAGTCATCTCCCTCTGTCACCCAGGCTGGAGTGCAGTGGCGTGATCTCGCCTCACTGCAACCTCTGCCTCCCGAGTTCAAGTGATTCTCCTGCCTCAGACTCCTGAGTAGCTGGGATTACAGGCACTCGCCACCACACCCAGCTAATTTTTTTTTTTTTTTTAGTAGGGACAGGGTTTTACCATGTCGGTCAGGATAGTCTCGATCTCCTGACCTCATGATTTGCCCACCTTGGCTTCCCAGAATGCTGGGATTACAGACGTGAGCCATTGCGCCCGCCTATTTATTACATTAATTGTCTGTCTCTTCCCACTAGAAAGCAAGTCTAGAGTCTAGAGCTCTGTTTTGTTCATCAGTATGTATCTCCAGAACGTGGGAAATAGTTAAGTAGGTGTTCAATACATAATTACTGAGTGTTGTTGAATGAATAAAATGAGGTTGAAAAAAGATTAATTTGGAGATTTTCCAGTTAGAAAAGGGAAGAGAATGGGTAGAGCCAGTGAGATTAGAGGGTCCTATGTAAATGAGCAGAAGAAAAAAAACACAGTTAACGTGGATTTATTGATCATCTACTATATACCTGTTAAAAGTAGTGAAAATATAATTAAAAATAAGGCCAGACGTGGTGTCGTCTCATGCCTGTAATCCCAGCACTTTGGGAGGCTGAGGCAGGAGGATCACTTGAGTCCAGGAGTTTGAGATCATCCTAGGCAACATAGGATTTTTTTTTATTTTTTTGAGACAGAGTCTCACTCTATCGCCCAGGCTAGAGTGCAGTGGCTCAATCTCAGCTCACTGCAACCTTCTGCCTCCCAGGTTCAAACAGTTCTCCTGCCTCAGCCTCCTGAGTAGCTGGGATTAGAGGCGCGCACCACCATGCCTGGCTACTTCTTTTGTATTTTTAGTAGAGACGGGGTTTCACCATGTTGGTCAGGCTGGTCTCGAACTCCTGACTTTGTGATCTGCCAGCCTTGGCCTCCCAAAGTGCTGGGATTACAGGCATGAGCCACTGCACCAGGCCGGAAGACTCCATCTTAAAAAAAAAAAAATTATCCAGGCTTGGTGGCATGCACCTGTAGTCCCAGCTACTTGGGAGACTGAGGTGTAAGGATTGCTTCACCCTGAGGGGTCAAGACTGCAGTGACCCATGATAGCGCCACCACACTCTGGCTAGGGTGACAGAGAGAGATTCTATCTCAAAATAATAATAATTAATATACCATTTGTAAGTGGTAACAAAAACTGTAGAGTATCTAGGAAGTATTTGAGGATACATAAGACCTGTATGGAAAAAAATTAAAACCTCAAATAAAAAACAGAGAATATAATAAAAATGAGAAAGACATACTGTACTCTTGGGAGGAATAAATCAATAGCACAAAAAATTAATTTTCTCCAAATTAATCTATAAATTCAATTTAATCGCATTCAAAATGGAATAGTTTTTTTCTGGGAAGCTGATACACTTACTGTAAAATGTTTGTGGATGAATAAAGATCTACAAGATAGAATAAAGGGAAGGGGAGGTACCTGCCCCACCAGATGCTAAGGCATACTACAAAGCCATGGAAATAGTGATATTGGCACAAGATCAGATGAATCAGTGAAACACAAGATCAATGGAACAGAATAAAGAGTTCAGAGATGGTTCCATATGGAAACTTAATATATGTAATGATGTTACCCCAGATCACTGAGGGAGGATAATCATTCTTCCTCCCCCAATGATCTGGGGTAAAGTCTTTATAGTCAGTAGTAGATTCTATTGGAAAAACTGGCTCCTAAGTAAGGAAAATTAGACTGGATTTCTATTTGACACCACATTTAAAAGTGAACTTCAAATAGAGTGAAAACTTAAATGTAAAAGGTAATACTATAAAATTAATAGAAGAAAATGTAGCATATCTTTGGGATCTAGAGGACTTCCAGCTTTTGATAAAGAAAGAGTAGCTTGTATTGGGCTGATTCTCCTGTGAATAACATTATAGACTCTCAACAGAATATAATAAATGACTATTTGAAGACACTGGAGAATGACTAAAAGCAGGCAGAAACTGTATGTATATAACTGTAGAAAGAAGGAAAAGAGTACTGGGTGTGATCTACTTTTATCTGGCTTTTACCTTGAGGTCACTCACCATTTGAGTGGTCTATGGGGTGGAGCTCATGCAGAAAGTGGCAGTCTTATTGGGCTTGTAGAGTCAGAAGAGTGCAAGGTTGCGAGAGCAGCTGGAACTTGAGGGGGGAAATCACAGAATAAGCCACAGAAGAAAGAATCCCAAAATACATACAAAAATTTCCTTCTAATTTATAGCCATCCCCTGAACTAGTCATATGCAGGGTAAGATTCCAAAAAACTCCTGGGAAAACAACAGCTGGAAGGCTGAAAGAGCTGAGCAGAAATTTCAGCAGCTGCTCTGCCCTGGGAATATAGTTTGCAGTTAAAATTCTGCCAAATTGGAGAGACTTGGCAAACACTCCTGGCTTTTGATTGACACCCCAGAAGGGGTATCAGACCTTAGGAGTTGAGACCATGTCCCAGGACTAAGGGTTGCACCCTAGAACTACTGGCAAACTCAAATAGACTTTCCTTAGCAAAGGCTAAAACCAAGCCGCCACAGGGTCAAGGTGATCTGCAGCAATCTGAGTCTCTGCTAGAATGAAACTCAACACTTTTCAATCTGAGGGCCTTGTCAAATTCAATGCACAAAGAAAAAACAAGATAGTTACTCAACATTTTTTAATCCACGAGCCTTAGTGAACTAACAGCATAAAGAAAAATCCACAAGTCTGGGCATGGTGGCTCACGCCTGTAATCCCAGCATTTTGGGAGGCTGAGGCAGGTGGATGACTTGAGCCCAAGAGTTTGAGACCAGCCTGGGTAACATGGTGAAACCCCATCTTTCCAAAAAAAAAAAAAAAATTTAACAAGATGCATCATGATTACCAAAGATAAGGAGAAAATCTTAAAATCAGCTATGGGGAAAAAAACCACATTATATATAGGGGATGATAATGATAATGATAAGAATATTGGTTGAGTTGACTTTTCATGAGGAACAATTGAGGCCAGAAGACAATGGAACAATATGCTCAAGTTGTTGGGAAAAAAAAAAAGTCAAGTTAGAAGTCTATGTTGACCATAAACATCTCTTTTTTTTTTTTTTTTTTTTTTTTTTGAGACGGAGTCTCGCTCTGTCGCCCAGGCTGGAGTGCAGTGGCGCGATCTCGGCTCACTGCAAGCTCTGCCTCCCGGGTTCACGCCATTTTCCTGCCTCAGCCTCCCGAGTAGCTGGGACTACAGGCGCCCGCTACCACGCCCGGCTAATTTTTTGTATTTTTAGTAGAGACGGGGTTTCACCGTGTTAGCCAGGATCTCCTAACCTCGTGATCCGCCCGCCTCGGCCTCCCAAAGTGCTGGGATTACAGGCATGAGCCACTGCGCCCGGCCAAACATCTTTTTTTTTTGAGACTGAGTCTTGCTCTGTTGCCCAGGCTGGAGTGCAGCAGCATGATCTCGGCTCACTGCAACCTCCGCCTCCCAGGTTCAAGCGATTCTCCTGCCTCAGCCTCCCTAGTAGCCGGGATTACAGTTGCACGCCACCACACCTGGCTATTTTTTTTTGTATTTAGTAGAGATGGGGTTTTGCCATGTTGGCCAGGCTGGTCTCGAACCCCTGCCCTCAGATGATCCACCCGCCTTGGCCTCCTCCCAAAGTGCTAGGATTACAGGAGTAGCCACCATGCCCGGCCTGACCATAAACATCTTTGTAAAATTGAGGTGAAATATAAGCATCTTCAAATAAGCAAATACTGTTAGAATTTATCACCAGCAGACCTGCACCACAAGAAATTCTAAGGAAGTTTTTCAGGCTTAAGGGAAAATTCAGGCCAGATGAAAAATCACACATATAGGATGAAATGAAGACTGTTAGAAATGGTAAATATGTAAGTTAACATAAAAATTATTTTTTTCTTAAATTATTTAAAATTCATTTAATAATTTTAAAGCAAAATTAATGACAGCTTATTGTGGGATTTATAATATATGTAGAAGGAAGCTATATGATAGTAAAGAAGAGGAGAGGGAGTATGAATGTAACTAAGATAAGATTCTTACCTTATATGTGAAGTGGAATAATATCAATTTTAAGAAAGAGTGTGGGCCGGGCACGGTGGCTCATGACTGTAATCCCAGAACTTTGGGAGGCCGAGGCAGGAGGATGACCTGAGGTCAGGAGTTCAAGACCAGCCTGGCCAACATTGTGAAACCCTATCTCTACAAAAATACAAAAATTAGCCAGGCCTGATGGCAGGTGCCTGTAACCCCAGCTGCTTGAGAGGTTGAGGTGGGAGAATCACTTGAACCCAGGAGGCAGAGGTTTCAGTGAGCCGAGATCATGCCATTGCACTCCAGCCTGGTGACAGAGCGAGACTCCATCTCAAAACCAAAAAAAAAAAAAAACAAAAACCAAAGAGTGTGATAAGTTGTGGATGTAATTCTTAGAGCCATCATTTAAAAAATATACAGTGGCAGCAGTTCAGGTTAGGAGGCTGAGTTTGTTTACATTGCTTACAGATTTAGCTGCTGCTTTACCCAGCTCCAGCTCCAAGATGGGGAAATCCTTCACCAACTTCATGTGCAAGAAGGATTTTCATCTTGCCTCCAAATCCAATATCAAAAAAGTATGGATGGCAGAACAGAAAATATCATATGATAAGAAGAAACAAGAATAATTAATGCAGCAATATCATAAATAACAAGAACCATATGATAACAGATTGTTTATGGGAGATGAACGTGTAAATAATGGCCTTAATTTCATGTATGAAGCCCCACCAGGAGCTAAAAGAGAAAACAAAGAGAAAGAAGAAACAGAAAGAGAGACTGAATACAAATGTGAATGGCAGAAAGGAGCCCCATGAGAAAAATATGTCAAAGATGACATGAACATCAGAGAGCAGCCCTGTGGTATTGAGGTTTGAAATGTGTGGTGCATTAAATGTCACCAGTGGGGTCATGTCAACACAGATCAAGAACGTCCTTTGCTTGGTCTTTCTGGAATCAATGCAAGTTTGGTTCCCACTGATGGCTCAGGACCATCGATGCACCCCTTGGAGCTAATAGCGAAGATGAGAAACAGTGGGTTTGCACTGAACCGAAATGTACTGGGGAGAACCTGACCACAAATGATCCATCAAAGGAGTATGTTGCAAGTGAGGGTGAAGAATATCCAGAAGTTGAATGTTTAAAGTCACTAGCAGCTAAACAAAAACAGAAATTTTCAGGAAATTAGATCGACTGGAGAAGAAAAAGAAAAGAAAAGAAAAAGATAGAAAAAAGAAAAAGTTTCAGAAGAGCAGAAGTAAACACAAAAATCATAAATCCTCTTCCTCCTCCTCCTCCCCCTCCTCCTCTTTCTCTACTGAGACTTTAGAAAGCAGTAGTGAGAGTGAGAGTGACAATAAAGAAAAAAAATAGGAAGAAAAGAAAGAAAAGCAAGTGTTCAGGGCATAACAACAGTGATTCTGAAGTGAAGGACCATTCTAAGAAGAGAAAACTTCATGAAGAACTTTCTAGCAGTCACCATAACCAGGAAAAAGCCAAGGAAAAGCTCAGGTTCTTAAAACATGAAAGTTCTAGGGAGGATAGCAAATGGAGCCATTCCGATTCTGACAAAATGTCCAGAAGCCATAATTACAGCCCAGAGAAGAGAGGCTCTGAAAGAAATGACGGGAGTTCAAGTCCAGCCTGGCCAACGTGGAAGGCAAAACAGCCTGTAATACAGCACTTTGGGAGGCCGAGGCGGGCAGATCACGAGGTCAGGAGATCGAGACCATCCTGGCTAACACAGTGAAACGCTTTCTCTACTAAAAATACAAAAAATTAGCTGGGTGTGGTGGCGGGCGCCCGTAGTCCCAGCTACTCGGGAGGCTGAGGCAGGAGAATGGCATGAACCCGGGAGGCAGAGCTTGCAGTGAGCCGAGATTGGGCCACTG